>NC_000008.11:18647981-18951011 GCF_000001405.40 Homo sapiens | reverse complement strand
GGTTCTGCAGCTCCATTCCTAAGAATCTGATTCAATCTAGCAATCAGCAGTTTATCCACAAGCACCCCAGGTAACCCATTGCAGCTCGGCCCTAGAGCAACAGAAATACTGTGTCTCCTGTGTTGGCTTTCTCAAGTGCATGACACAGGACAGTTCTTGGATCACTTGCGTGTGTGGGTGAGGCCGATAAACTCTTGTCAAGGCACCAGGGAACAACCTGATGTTCCCCGAGAGGTCAGTGACCAAATGGGTCGTGGAATTTTATATTATGTATATATAAATATATGAATTATAAATTGATAAGTTATAGTTGTATATATTTATGGGGTACAAAGTGATGTTATGAAGTGAAAAGGAAATAAGCTGGGCATAAAAGGGCAAATACTGCATGTTCTCACTTGTATGTGGGCTCTAAAACAGTTGAACTGATAGAAACAGAAAGCGGAATAGTGGTTACCAGAGGCTGGGGTAGGGGAAATCGGGAGATGATGGCCAGAGGGTGCAAAGCCTCAGTTGGACAAGAGGAATACGTTGTTTCTTTTTGCTTGTTTGTTTCTTTTTTGAGCTCTATTGCAGAGCACCTTGAATATAATTTTAATAATGGTGTATTATACATTTCAAAATCACTGAGAGTAAATTTCAAATGTTGCTACCACAAAATACAAAAAGTATTTGAGGTGATGGATGTGTTAAGGGAAAAGTAACAGAGTTCCTCAAAAAAACTAATAAAATAACCACTTTTAATATGCTTCTGTAAACAATTCCTTTCTGAGAAGTTTATTCCTTTTGGCTTTCAACGAATAGTTTGTGTCTTTGAATATTCATTACAAATAAATAGTTTGTTTCTTTATAAAAGTTAAAAAGGTATAATGGGAACTTTTTCATATTGCAGGTAGTATGAGTATCGTGACAAAGCTATAGTTTAAATAGGTGCTATTGGGCACCTATTGACTGCCCTCAGAACCTCCCTGAAGCTGGGATGTAAGAATTTCGCAGTGGAAAGTCAGGCAGTTGATGCATCTTGTCTTGTCATGACATTTTGAAGAATGACTTTACTGGTAATTGACAGGAGTATTAAGCACCCATATAATGTATTTTACTTTTCTATATCATTTTAAATTAAAATTTAAAATATGATGAAAAAATTTATCAAGACGAGAGATAGTGTTATTCGTCTGAGAACTGATGTGAAATTTTTTGCTAAATTTATATTTTCAGGACCTTATGCTCTCTTTGGTGCCCCTCTTTACCTTGTCCTTACAGACATGTGTTTTGTAGATGCTCTGAGCTCAGTTTATGGACAGTTCTTCATAATATTCATTTATTAACAGCCAGGGATGAAATGCTTGGTATGATCTGGTCACGATTTATGTCCTATACACAGAACCAAAAGCTTTCCACTGAGTGACCTGACTTCAGATTTTCTTTGTGATATGAAGCTCATGATCATTTGCTTGGAGATATTTACCTTTAATGAAATTTAAGTGGGACATGTATTTCTTACAGAAATTAATGCAATGATTATATTATTTTAAATATTTCGTGTGTTATTTTAGTGTAAATCACAACATGGATTTCATGAGTTTCAGAATGTTTATATTTGCCTAGGAGATTATTTTTTTTCTGCATGCATGTAGGTTGGGTAAATGATTAATACTGTGTAAGTAGAAAATAACATTGATTTAATTTGTTTGATCACTGGTTTAACTCCTTGGAAGAGAAGAAAACTATAAATATATATATATATATATATATATATATATATATTTTTTTTTTTTTTTTTTTTTTTTGAGACAGAGTCTCGATCTGTAGCCCAGGCTGGAGTGCAGTGGCACAATCTCGGCTCACTGCAAGCTCTGTCTCCTGGGTTCACGCCATTCTCCTGCCTCAGCCTCCCGAGTAGCTGGGACTACAGGGGCCCGCCACCACGCCCGGCTAATTTTTTGTATTTTTAGTAGAGACGGGGTTTCACCGTGTATAACTATATTCTTATCTTAATCAAGAGCAATCTTTTGCCTGTCTTATTTGTAAGGTGCAGTTCTAGGTATTACATGTTTCACTTAAATACACAGTTGCCACCAAGAGGTCACTTTTAAGTTAAGGGAACTAGAGATATAGCAAACTAAGGTGAGAAGACACTTACTTCTCATGATTCCCACCTTAAAATCACATTTAGCACCTGTTTTTCTCTTTGTCAAAGTGACAAATTATGTTTTTTAAAAATATAGAGTGGATTTCACTTTGTTTCAGAAGTTATTGGAACTTCTGAAATGACCAAAGATACCATGATATTTGCAAAGCAGATTTAGGTGACTAAGGCTGATGCTTATGCAATTTCTTTGTAGGACTTCTTCCTAACCTTTTCCAAGGTTTCAAGGCTTTTTTGAGGTTTCCTAGTTTATAAGGATTCAGGAAAAATATTTATTGAACACTTCGTGTGAGCCTGTAGTCTCTGCTTTGCATAGTACTTGTTTTGATTGTTCTCAGTACCTGACCCACCTCCATTTTTTTGAGAAAGAAGTAGAGGAGCATTTATGAATGTTATTTATTCAGTCTGGTTGATTTCCTCATAGGGATCCTGATTATGCTGGGCTGACTTTTAAAGTTCTGTGTAGTTTTCAGCTTTTCCTCATGTGACCCGACTTAAATCCCCAAGTGCTCTCCCAACGTGGAGAGCTCCATCCTCCTGTTAAGAATCCAGAGTCTGTAGCCAGTAAGATGTGTTCAAAGGTTTAACAATGTTTTTATTTTTTAAATGCAAATATTTATACTATCTGCTTCATTTGTGAATTTTAAACATTATCAGAAGCACACAGGTCCAGAACCTGAGGAAGGCAAAAAAGGTCAGGAATAGGTAGGGGAAAAGGCGAGATGAAGTCTTGAATCACTAGGTTTATTGTTTGCTGTCCAAGTCCGCCCGTCTTCTCAGTCTGTCATTACTGATTATGAGATGGTGGCAAAGGCGGAGGATATGCTGTGAACTCATAATAGTCGGTTGTTAATTTTCTTCAAATTCTTTCATTGAAGGTCTCCAGCTCTTTAGTTACTGCTGTGTTAGTGAAGGAGTTGTGAAGAAGACTTGATCCCTCTATCCTACTTTAGTTTTATGGGAGGCTTTATTACAAATGAATGTGTACCGTCCTAGCTTTCTAGCTCCCAGCTTTCTATGTCACACTTCAAAAAAAATAAAGCAGCTACCACCATTGGTAAGAAGCCCTCGGGTATTATGAATTCAGAACCTTGCCCAGGCCAGGCACGGTTCCTAGAAGGGGGATAGAATCTTCCCATCTGGTTAAAAGACAACGAAAATGGGTCCAACATGAAGGTTACCAAAGGAAGATTCATTTGAACCTGTTAAAGGCATGCTTTCTTGTCCTTTCCTCTGCCTTCACATGTGTGTCGATGGAAGCCAGCTCGTGCCACTGCGGCTCTGCTCTGGGCCCCCCGCCACCCCATATGGCCGCCGCTCCCTGACCCCTTGCCTGGAGGAGCAGCAGAACCCCGGCTTCCCCTTGTCCCAGGGGAGCGTCTTTCACACTGGAAATGGACAGAGTGAAGAGAGCAGCTGGTGGGAAAATGAGAATGGACCTCCAGGGGCTTTTAACAAGGCCATGAATTCAGTTATTGGTCTTGTGCTCACACAATTAAAAACAAGCTGGCAGCGGGGCTGCATGATGACTGGGTGAGGACCGAGGCTTGCTTTTTGCCGACGTCTTCTCCCTAAGCTGGTGGTCCATTTCCTGCTTTGCCCTTTGGTTTCCATGCTGTTTCTAACCTTCACAAATTAAAGATGGGGCCTTTCAGCTACCTGGTTTGTTTCCTGGCTGTTTTGTCCGTGAAGCTCTCTACTCTTGAGAGGCATTCTGTCCCAGTTTTACTTTTTTACTTGATGTTGTTACTGACTTTTGGAATATCTATCCAGTTAGTCTGTGAGGGGACGAGGGACTGGTTGTAGGGCATACGTGAGCCATCCCCTTTGGCCCAAGCACGAGCATCTTCCCCATTTGTTTATGTGCAGGTGTATGTCAAATATATATTTATATTTTATTATTTAATTTTATTTTATAATATATTTTATTTATTTTATTTTATTTATTTTTATTTTTTGAGATGGAGTCTTGCTCTGTTGCGCAGGCTGGAGTGCAGTGGCACAATCTCAGCTCACTGCAACCTTCGTCTCCCAGGTTCAAGCAATTCTCCTGTCCCAACCTCCCAAGTATCTGGGATTACCGGCACTCCCCCCAGCACCTAGCTAACTTTTGTATTTTTTTTTTAGTAGAGATGGGGTTTCACCATATTGGTCAGGCTTGTCTTGAACTCCTGACCTCAGGTGATCCACCCACCTCGGCCTCCCAAAATGCTAGGATTACAGGCGTGAGCCACCGTGCCTGGAAAATTTTATTTATTTTATTATTTAATGTTATTATTTGTTGAAACAAGGTGTTGTTCCATGCCCAGGCTGGAGTGCAGTGGCACAATCATAGCTCACTACAGCCTCAACCTTCTGGACTCAAGTGATTCTCCTCCCTCACGCTCCTGAGTAGTAGGGACTATGGGTGCATGACACTCTGCCTGGCTGATTTTTTTATTTTTTATTTTTTTGGACAGGGGTCTGGCTGTATTGCACAGGCTAGTCTCCAACTCCTGGCCTCAGGCAATCCTCTCAGTTTGACCTCCCAAACCATTGAGATTACAGCATGAGCCACCGCACCTGGCCTCAAATATATTTTTAAAGGAAAAAAATGCTACACATGCTAGGACTTGAATCTTCCTCTTTATTGCCAGATAAACTGAGGGAATGGATAGTTTTCTTTGTTTTTCAGCAATAAAAAATTTTTAATTATAGTGGAAAGTCTTAATTATAGAGGGAGAGCAAAGTGTATTTGGATGATCTGTGCTAAAAAGGAACAGTACAGGTGGAGTAACAAGTTACATGTTAGTCTTGTGATTATCTCATTAATGACTCATTTGTACTTGAAAGCAGCATAAATACATTTATGGAAAAATATGAATGTGAACTTATTTATTAATTTTTTTTGGAGATGGAGTCTCACTCTTTCGCCCAGGCTGGAGTGCATGGCGCGATCTCGGCTCACGGCAGCCTCCACTTCCCGGGTTCAAGCGATTCTCCTGTCTCAGCCTCCTGAGAGCTGGGATTACAAGTGTGCACCACTGCACCTGGCTAATTTTTGTATTTTTGTAGAGATGGGGTTTCACCATGTTGACCAGGCTGGTCTCAAACTCCTGACCTCAAGTAATCCGCCCACCTGGGCCTCCCAAAGTGCTGGGATTACAGGTGTGAGCCACCACGCCCAGCTGACTTATGGTTTTTTATTAGATAAGGTAGATGTAGAGATAATGTAGATATAAAGTGTGTATTTGTGTATATTTCTGTTTATCTGTATTGGTTTCCTATAGCTGCTGGAAGAAAGTATCACAAACTTGGTGGCTTAAAGCAACAGAGATTTATTCTCTTCAAGTTTTGGAGACTAGAAGTCGGAAAGGAGTCTTAGGGGCTAAAATCAAGGTGCCAGAGGATAATCTGTTTCTTTGCCATTTCTAGACTCTAGAGCTACATTTCTTGCATTCCTTGGCTCACAGCCCCTTCCTCCATCTTCAAAGCCAGTGTTGTAGTATCTTATCTCTGGCTCTACTTTTCTATGCTTCTGTCTCATGACTTTCTTCTCTTCTGCCTCATAATCTTTCTTTTCTTCCCTCTTATAAGGATACATGTGATGTCATTTAGGGTTCACTTGGCTAATCCAAGATAGCCCTCCCATGCCCAGAAATTTAATTTAATCACATTTTCAAAGGCTATGCCATGTAAGGTGACATTCACAGGTTCCAGAGATTAGAATGTAGACATTTTGTGGGGGAGGACCTTTATTTAGTCTACCACAGTGAGTGTGAATGTGTGTGTGTACGTATGTGTGTGTGTGTGTGTCTGTCTGAAATTCCCTAGCTGACCTATAAGCAGCTACTCTCCAATAACAGTAAGCACAGCTAGTGTTGAGGTCTTAGATCTAAAGAATATTTTTCATCGAAAGGAACCAGTTTTGTTTTAAAATAAAATGGCTCATTCTAGGGCAGATGGAAAATATAAGAGAAGCATGGAACATTCTGTGGCGTGAGAAAGTAAATAAATGCTCAGAGAATAATGGGGACAGGTCAAAAGACACAGAAGCCAACTTGAAGAGGCTTCTGTCAGTCCCAACTGGGCAATTTGAGCACTGAAATAAAAAAGCAATAAATTCAGCCTGTTCTGATAAAAATAAATAAAATTATAAATTGAAAGTTTGGTGTGAAACAAGATATTTACATAGTTCCTAAGTGCCTTTCCACAGCGTAATAATTCGTTACTAAGAGAAAAAGTTTAAGCTGACTTAAACTTTATTTATTTATTTATTTATTTATTTATTTATTTATTTATTTATTTATTTTGAGATGGAGTCTCACTCTGTCGCCCAGGCTGGAGTGCAGTGGCTCAATCTTGGCTCACTGCAGCCTCCACCTCCTGGGTTCAAGTGATTCTCCTCGCTCAGCCTCCCAAGTAGCTGGGATTACAGGCATGCACCACAACACCTGGCTAATTTTTGTATTTTTATTAGAGATGGGGGTTTCACCATGTTGGCCAGGCTGGTCTCAAACTCCTGACCTCCGGTCATCTGCCCGCCTTGGCCTCCCAAAGTGCTGGGATTGCAGGCGTGAGCCACCATGCCTGGCTGGCTTAAACTTTTTAAGTCAACTTAAAAAGGTTTCTCAGTGGTGAAACCTGGCAGATCAAAGTGAATGTGATCTGTAATTGGACAAAGTGAAAGCATGTGCCACTGATAGGGTGCAAAGAGAAGAACAGCCTCATGAAACATGAAGATAAGCCCAAGTTGAAGAACATTCTGTAAAATAACTGGCCTGAAACTTTCAAAACCATCATAGTCATGAAAGTTAAGGAGTATAATGTGATATAGTAGTGGGGTGGTAATAGCCACGTGGAAGCTCTAAGCTTCACTGTAGGAGGATCTGGTTAAGTTATTTACTAATAGAGTCGTGACTTAATTTTGTAGGTTTTCCTTCTTGGTCTAGCTGCATTCCTCAGTGAAAACTCTTCCGGTCTCCTGCTTGCATGGTGAAGTATAGGGTGCCATAATTTCATTAGCTTGGTGAGTGAAGAAATCTAAGCATCTTAACATCCAGCATACAAATCCCAGTTTCCGCTATGGTATCTTTAACTTCAGTAGTGTGTGGTGTCCCCTAGGCCAGAGTGCTCTTTGAAAAATCTCTCTAGTTAATAAAACTATTGTTTTACCTGAGTAGGGGAGGGGCTGTCTCCCAGTGTAGTGGAGGCAGGGATCTGAGGACTTAAGTGCTTGATAACCATTCCTTGTGAATAGTCCTCTGTTATCTAAGCCACTCCCTTTTCCTTCACTTCAAGAGTTTACCAGGCTCCCTCATTCCCTTGTCCTTTGGATGTCTTGTGGGGTGCATTGAATTGTTCTTTTCCTTCTCCAGGTTTTCCTGTGGTCTCCTGTGTCAGTTATCACTAGATCATTTGCTTCAAAAATGTCATTTTTCTTATTCTATTTCCTGTGGGTTTGTGCTTTTATAAGAAGAATCTCTTTACTGTGCTTTTAGTAGCTTTGGATGAGGGCAAATGCAAATGTGTATATTTATTTTGCCATCTTACCCAGAAATAAACAACAGTGATTTTTTAAAACTTTTTCTTTTTCCTTTTTACACTGGACGTCTCCCTTCCCCATAAACCTGTTATAGAACTTGAATCTTTAAAACAGAAATGGAACTACTGTGGTTGCAAAAGTGGTGTGGGGTTGAGTGAACAAGAGTCTTTTTCACCATGCCTCCTTTGTTGATCTTTGCAGCCACCCTGTCTCTATACCCAGGCAGCTTCTTTGAATCTTAGGATTCTCATGTACACAGCTGGGAAAACCACTGGATTAGAGTATTATACATCGCTGTTTTTGGCTAGAGTGAAAGATTCACCTCCTTTTACAACTTTGCATGTCTTCAAACCCACATTCCTCCTGTGTGGGCTGGTGCAAGGATATACCTTCTCATCCAGACCCTTTTGCTTATTAAAAGGGAATAGCAGGGGCTTGTTACCTGTCATCCTGGAGAATTTTCCTTTTGCCCTCTAATCTGTAGCCTTTCCTAAAGTAATAGTTAACTAGGCTGCTGTAATAAAGTACCATAAACAGGGCACTGAAACAACAGAAATTAATTTTCTTACAGTTCTAGAGAGTAGAAATTCGAGATCAAAGTTGGAAGGGTTGCTTTCTTCTGAGGCCTCTCTCTTTGTCTTGCAGATGGCCACCTTCTCCCTGTGTCTTCACATGGTCTTTTCTCAGTGTGTGCCTGTCGTCATCTTTTCATATGAAGACATTAGTCATGTTAAGTTAGGACACACTCTACTGATTTCATTTTAACCTAATTATCTCTTTAAAGACCTTATCTCCAAATACAGTTACATTTGAGGTACTGGGGGTTAGGACTTCAACATATAAATCTTGGGGGGACACAATTCAGCCCATAACGCCTAACTGTTGCCTTTTGCAGCATTAGCCTTGAGCTTCTTGTCCCTGTCTGCACTTAAGTTGTGCGTGGCTCCCTGCTTCCATGGGCCTGGCTTCTGCTGGGCAATGGGAGCAGATAGGATTGAGCAGGATCAAGTGCAGAGTGTGACTGTTGGAACCAAGTGTTAGTTTTGAGTGAGTCATGAAATATTATTTTATAGTCTTTAATTTAGTGTTTAATTTTTTCTTTATAATACTCACTGGCTGACTTGGAGGCTTTCAGATTCTCTGAAAATCATACTGAAGTTGAAATAATTAAGGAAATGAAGGAGCATGCCACCTTTCTCAAACTCTACTCTTAACCTTTTTCTCCCTCCTCACTCCTCTAGCCCCATCATTCCCTTCCCAAATCAACTGAAAACCACTTTTACTTCTAAAATTTGCCTGTAGCTTTCTGCTTCGTCTTTTTGATTTTTTTACAGCTAAACAATTAATTAAAAGAATCATTCTAGGCTGGGTGTGGCAGCTCACACCTGTTGTAATCCCAGCACTTTGGGAGGCCGAGGCGGGCGGATCACCTGAGGTCAGGAGTTTGAGACTAGCCTGGCCAGCATGGTGAAACCCTGTCTCTACTAAAAATACAAAAATTAGCCAGGCATGGTGATGCGTGCTTGTAATCCCAGCTACTCTGGAGGCTGAGGCAGGAGAATCACTTGAACCCGGGAGGCGGAGGTTGCAGTGAGCCAAGATTGTACCATTGCACTCCAGCCTGGGTGACAGAGTGAGAATCTGTCATCTCAAAAAAAAAAAAAAAAAAAAAAGTCATTCTACATCAGTAGTGCTTATCTTGTGTCTAAAATTGGTAATTATAATCGGTAATGTTGCGAGTTGGATAACGTGAATGTAATTCTTTGTAAATGTGAAAAGTCATATCAAATGTAAGGTTGAGATTTTGTTTGTCCCATCCATTTAATGGTGGGCTTGCATCTTTAAATACAGGGTGTGTTTTGGGGATCATGCCATTGTAATTTTATCACAAGGAAAAGATGTTACTGCTCCCGTAGTGAAGTGTCTGTGAAGCTGGTTCAGAAGTGTGAAGAATCATTGTGCTTCAGAATTCAAGGAGAGCTGAGAGATAAATTTGAGTAACACTTTTTATCAATAGGGAAGCTGAAGCCCAAACTTGAAGCATTTGTGTGAGACTGCGTGGTACTATCGAGCCGAGATTTAAGTCTGATCACCTGACCATCAGTCCAGCTGCTAATGTTTCATGTTCCATACTTCTTAAGGAGATTTATGTTCGTAAAAACAACTGTGATGAAGCAAAAGAATATATTTTATTCAGTTAGTAATGCCAAAGGAAATAGTAGTCTGAATTCTGTGGGTCTGTCATTAATCTGATTGTTTTAACAATACAGTTTTCAAAGACCTGCATTAATTATTGGAGAGATCAGTAAAAATTTATAAGCCTTGCTATGGGAAGAGGATGTATCAATAGGGGCTCACAGCTTCAAGAATAACTAATTGTTTGGTAAGAATAACCCCCCAGTGCAGGTGGAGCTGAGAAACCAAAGGAGAAGGCAGACAGGTCCAGACTGTTGTTATAGGGTGTTTTATTGGGGAACTGACAGACAGAAGCGTGGTTTTTGGCAACTGCAAGACGGATAGATCTCCATGCCATTATACCCCAGACCCAGGGATTATATCTAGGGAAGGGGCACACATGCTTCGGAGGGAATAGGTAGGAATTTGATGTAAGGGCAGGATTTACTGTAAGTATGTGCCATTACTCAAGAAACAGTAGATAAATTGGAAATCTCAGAGGCATTCCCAGAACTGGGGTTAATCAGAAGTCAACATGGCATGTTAGTTTCCAAGATAGAGTTACTTTAGCCTCCACACAAATGCAAGCAGAATGAATTTTATATTATTTAGCAAGGTGGAGTATGTTAATGGAGCACTTTATTAAGCAGAGCCCTTTAGTGAATTTTACTTCTAGGTCGAGCAGTCCCTTTTAAAAAATGTTTCACTTTTGTGATAGTCTGAGCGTACTTTGAACACGGCTTCATTCGGAAGCTTTAGCGCCTTCAAGCCTTGCTCCTCAAAGCTGGTCTGTGGATCATGGTCACCAGGGAACTTTTAGGAATGCGGAGTCCCAGGCCCCACCTTAACCTGCTCAGTTTCTGTTTTAAGAAGATTCCAGGTGATTCGTATATACAACAGAGTACGAAGACCATTGGTCGAGAGCAGTGGTTCACAAAGAAGATGGCTCCTGTACCAGCAACATCAGCATCACCTGAAAAATTGTTAGAAAATGCAGATTCGCAGGCCCCACAGACCTACGGCATCAGAAACTCTGGGATGGACCCCAGCAGTACGTGTTTTACTTGGTGCTGTAGGTAATGCTAATTCATGATAAATTTTGAGAACCACTCTAGGGTAGTATGTTTCCAACAGTTTAGGTCATGAGCAACCTTGAGAAATACACTTTTAATCATGACTCAGCACACACACTCACATGCACGTGTGACTTAGACGTTCCATGAAACAATGCTTATCTTACAGTGTGTTTTCTGCTCTGGTATTTTTACTTATATTCTATTAAATAGATATGTGTGTATAAACTTATTGATATAAAAATGTGGTCATGATCCACTAAAGTGATTTTACAAGCCACTAATGGGTCATAAGTTGCAATTTGAGAAACAATAGTCTTGAGCAGGCTCCTCTTGATAGTCTGATAAAATTCTAGATCTTTTGTCAGAATAGTGCATTTTAAATGCATACAATAATGTAGATAGAGTTGCAAAAGAAACCAATTTGATTGGCTACCAAAATATTACATTTGTGGTATGATAATATATGTATCCCAACTTCTCAGGAGGCTTAGGCAAGAGGATTGCTTGAGGTCAAGAGTTTGAGTCCAGTCAGAGCAACATATCTAGATCCCATCTCTAAAAAAAAAAAAAAAGCTATGTTTCTTTATTGATAACAAGATTTAATGGTGAGTCTAGTAACTATTATCATTTCAAACTAGGGACGAGTATACATATTTCCAAATATCTGTAGTAACTGTTAGATGATATGAAAATGATGAATTTCTATTGATGACAAGTTATGGTTATTGCTACCAATACTCTGGTTTGTTGCTTACATTTGTATTTGAAAACATGCTAAATTTCATCTAAAGGTAAATGCAAATAAATATGTAAATCACCCCCTCCCCAGCTTCATGAACTTCCAGAATTCTCTTGATTGGCAATTGCTTCCCCACGGACCTGAGGTTAAGAATCCTTGCTCAAGGGGAACCTTGCTTTAGAGAACAGTTCTCGGCCTTAAAGTTGAGATTCTAAGCAAAAATTTATCTTCTTGGAATTTCTTGAAACTTTTGCTGTATAGATGGCATCTTTTCTTATTTTCTAGCACCCCTGTAATGGATTCCTTTTTAAAAATGTTCTTTCTGATGTTTTAGTGAGTCCTTGGGGCATCACTTGGAAGCCCCAGTGTAGGCTCTTGATACTGTTTCTTCTCTAGTCTCCCCATTCTCAATACATGCACCTGGTTGTTCAAGCCAGATTCCTGGGAGTCATCCGCAATGCCACGAGTTCTAGATTTGGACTGCTCGGGTGTGAATCTAGGATCTATATATCTTTGGAAAAGTTATTTAGCCTCTCATTGCCTTCTTTTTTCCACCTATAAGATGGGGATGACAGTAGCCCCCACCTCATAGGATTGTTCTGAGCATTAAATGAGATATTCCATGTATTACATTAGAACAGTGCCTGGCACAGAGTAAGTGGTTAGTATCTATTCTAATTAACCTTAATCTCCCCTTTCCCTCTTTTTTTTTTTTTTTTTTGTTTGAGACGGATTTTCGCTTTTGTCGCCTAGGCTGGAGTGCAATAGCGCCATCGCGGTTCACTGCAACCTCCACGTCCCAGGTTCAAGCGATTCTCCTGCCTTAGCTTCCTGAGTAGCTGGGATCACAGGTGCATGGCTCCACGCCTGGCCAATTTTTGTATTTTTTAGTAGAGACGGGGTTTTGCCATGTTGGCCAGGCTGGTCTCGAACTCCTGACCTCAAGTGGTGCGCCCACCCCAGCCTCCCAGAGTGCTAAGATTAAAGGCATGAGCCACTGTGCCTGGCCCCTTTCCCTCATTCTTTAAATCCAGTTTATCAGAAAACTGTGTAATTCTTCCTACAAAATATATTTTAATTCATCCACTTTTGCCTATTCCTCCAAACTTCCCTGTTCTCGTTTGGATTTCTAGCTGATATCTCTGCTGCTTCTTGTCTCACTCCAATTCATTTTCCATATAACACCCATATGATCTTTTAAAAGTGTAAATGAATAATCTTTTAAAATGCAAATGAATCACTGTATCCCATAAAACGCTTCAGTGGCTTCCCATCAAACCCATCAAAATGCTCCGTCCTTTCCTTGAGCTACACTCTTCATCCTGCAAATCTCTAAACTTGCCCACTCACTTGCTCTTCTGTGGCCACTTTGGCTTTCTCTTAGTTATCTGAGTAGCCTCATCCATCCTTCCATTCCTTAAGGCCATGCGTATGGCCTTCCCGCCAATATGTCGCTGACCTTCCCCAGCCTGTCATATTTCTCATCTCTGCAGGCGTTAGTTTCTCAGAGAGCTTTCCCTAACCACCTGCCCAAATTAGGGCACCTTACGTGGCAGCCCCTTGGCCGAGTTCCTCTTTTACTAGCCTGAAGCTCCCCAAACACTTCAAAAAATTAATATTTCCTCTCTATTGGGGAAAAGGATAATTAACAACCTGTGATTATCAAACACGTAACACCAAGAGGAGTATGCACCTTTTTTCAGACCGATACATTTGACGCGTTATGAACATTAAGTGATTGTGGAGCTCTTTTAAGAAATTGCTGTCTGAATGTTGTGCACGCTAGCTCTTGGTATTAAAGAACAAAGTGGGGTCTGCCCCCTGAACCTGTCTCCAGTGGGGTGATGGAGGTGTGATTGGGTCTTCCTAGTATTGTCAGTCATTTCTACTCCAAAGCATAGAATAGAAATACTAACATTTCCCTCTTTGAAATAGTTACTTCGTTGCTGTTAAAACCCTTCACGCTTCTCTCCCCCAAAGTGAATGGTCAGTCACTGTTCAGACATGAGAAAAGATGATGTCTCATAACCAGTGGGTAGAAACCAGTACCGGTGATATCTGTATCCTGGTTAATGTTTAGGTTCATAGTAAAGAGGCAAAAGAAGGCGTCCCTGACTGTGCTAGGTCAAATTTCTTTGTGTCTTGAAATTTTTTTCCTTGCTACTTGTTTTTAATTAGTCCTCAGCCGGAGAACAGAGACACTCCTGATTTTTGACAGTTGCCTAAAACAGCGAGGAAGGAGGTCTTAGGAGTTCAGAGTTAGGATGTACCACTTTCACCATCACCTTTGTAGTTCTTGTTTCAAATAAGGGAATTTAGGAGTTACACAGGACCCTGGGACAGATGTTGAAATGTAGGACAATCAGTATAAATGGGATGCCTGGCAGTTCTGTTCCATGCCCTGTTCGGCTGAATGGTGTTCCTGATTATATAAAAATGTGATCTATTTTGGGGAAAGACTGGTTTTTTTGTTGGTGTACTTTAACAGAAGCCACACAAAGAAATATTCTTGTTATGGACTGTGGGTGATGATAATCAGTTGGAAAATGATGTGTTTAAAAACAAAATACAGTTTTCTTTTTTTTTTTTTTGAGATGGAGTCTAGCTCTGTCACCCAGGCTGGAGTGCAGTGGCACGATCTTGGCTCACTGCAGCCTCTGCCTCCCTGGTTCAAGTGATTCTCTTGCCTCAGCCTCCAGAGTAGCTGAGATTACAGGAACCACCACACCTGGCTAATTTTTGTATTTGTAGTAGAGATGGGGTTTCACCATGTAGGTCAGGCTGGTCTCGAACTCCTGACATCGTGATCCACCTGCTTTGGCCTCCCAAAGTGCTGAGATTACAGGTGTGAGCTACCGCGTCCAGCCAAAATATAGTTTTCTAATTGCAGAAAAGTTACATTAAGTTAATTTTTTAAAAACCGACCATAATTCAGCCTCCCAATCAAGCCATCCTTTTTATTTTCCTCTGACTTCCCTATAGATGTTTATATGTATACATTTTTTATATAGCTATAATCATGCAGTGATAGTTTGTATTCTGATTCTTTTCATGTTACACTTTTCATGTTTCATTTTGAATGGTTAGATAGCTTTGAGTACATATGTCATAATTATTTTACCAATCTCATGTTGGATAATTTGTTTTATGATGTGTTTTTTAATGATGTATTTTAAATGTGTCTTTGTTTTGTTCTTATTTTGCAGGCAGAGACATTTGTTTGGGTGAACAATGCATCTGCACATTCCCAGAGTGTTGCCAAGGCCAAATATGAATTTTTATTTGGCAGATCTGAAGGGAAAGCTCCAGATACTAGTAAGTATTTCCTCATATCCCTCTCCCAGGTAAACTATATGAAGAGCTGTGATTTCAAAGTGATTTTTCTCCACCTGCATTACTTTCTTCTTCCCTCTGTGAAACCTGCTTTCCCTAATTATTCATCAAAACAATCTTCCCAAGATGTAGAATCCGCAAATATTTCATGTAATTCTTGTGGCCTATTCTTGGTAATTTCAAGTCATGTTCTTGGTTTGAAGAATTCTCAGCTTCTGATATTTGAAATTCCAAGAATTAACCAGTTTTCATAAGAGTTTTCCATAGTTACCATTGTTATATATATTGACTAATGTATTTTTGGTGGTTTTTTTTTTTTTGAGACAAAGTCTTGCTCTGTCATCCAAGCTGGCATGCAGTGGCATCATCCTAGCTTACTGCAGCCTTGACCTCCAGGCTCAAATGATCCTTCTGCCTCAGCCTCCCAACTAGCTGGGACTACAGGCATATGCCACCACACCTGACTAATTAAAAAAATACTTTTTTTCTTTTTTTTTTTTTTTTAAGAGACAGGGTCTGGCTATGCTACCTAGGCTGGTCTCAAACTCCTGGCCTCAAGCCATCCTCCTGCCTCGGCCCCACAAAACACTGAGTTTACAGATGTGAGCCACTGTGCCCAGCCCTTGGTGCTTGTTTTTCACTAACAAAATATATTATTAGGAAACATTTCCACAATGATTTTCAGCCACTGCAGTCTTTACTTTGGAGGTTATTGTAGCTCTTGTTTATTTTTAATACTTTTTAGTATTGGCCTAATCTAGTTATCAAATTTAGTCTTCTGGAACTAGAAGCAACATTTTTCACTTTGAAACAGGTAAATTTAGAACAAATAGAACTATTACTAGTGCTAATTACAGTAATAATTAACCTACTAGATTACTTACTGTGTGGTGAGGCACTATGCTAATCATCACAATCACCTTATAAGTTGGTACCGTTATCCCCATTTTCCAGATGAGGGATCTGAAGTAATCTTCTCCCAGTCACAATCACTCACACAGCAGAGCCAGGAGTATAAGGCAAGTTTGCCTGACCGCAGAGCTCATCCTGTTAATGCAATACTTTTTTGAAGGCATTTTCCTAGAAGGAGGTACAAGATAAAAATGCAAATAGCTTTGTATTGAATTTCAAAACGTGTAATTTTATGGAAAACCGATGATAAAGGGGATATTAGCATATCTTGAGAATTAGATTGGAAAAGGCTATTGCATGTGGTTAATATTCTCTGAGTTCTGGATCTAGACTTCTTGAGTTTGAACCTGGCCTTGAACTTATAAACTGTGTGACCTTGCAAAGCTAT
The DNA here is from genome assembly GCF_000001405.40 of Homo sapiens. Taxonomy (NCBI): domain Eukaryota; kingdom Metazoa; phylum Chordata; class Mammalia; order Primates; family Hominidae; genus Homo; species Homo sapiens. The sequence goes on along the minus strand of NC_000008.11, from coordinate 18,934,715 downwards.
CCAACTTATTTGCGGCTCAGTTTTCTCATCTGTAAAATGGGATTATAGTGACTTATGTCTTAGAATTATTTTGAGAATGAAATAAGTTGACATTTATAAAGATCTTAGAGTCATGTCCCATCTCTACTAAAAAAAAAATTAGCCGGGCGCGGTGGCAGGTGCCTGTAGTCACAGCTACTCGGGAGGCTGAGGCAGGAGAATGGCATGAACCCGAGAGGCAGAGCTTGCAGTGAGCCGAGATCACGCCACTGCACTCCAGCCTGGGCGATAGAGCGAGACTCCGTCTCAAAAAAAAAGGATCTTAGAGTCATGCTTGGTATGTAATAAGTGCTATAAAAGTGTTGGCTGCTGTTAATTATTGTGATAACCATCACCATCATCATCATATCCCTGACCTTTGAGGCCGATATTATAAGTGCAATCCTTAATTTTTCAGCTTTATTATTATCTGATACTTATTTTTGTTTTGGGAAGACCAAGAATCTGACTTAATACATACAGCTGTTGCTCAGCTGAAGAAACCCAGGTATGAACTACACATTTTTGACTCACATGTTAGATGGGATTATTTAATAACTCCAGAATATTTGAGGATACCAAGAAGGCAGTGTATACACAGCCATATAATAACTTCTTTTAGCTTAAAAAGTGAATATTTATTAGATATCTTAATAGTTGGGGACTCTTAGATACAGTAAAAAAAACAGCTAAATTATTTTTAAAAATCATTTGGCTTTTATCACAGTGTCCTAATTTAGAGGAGAATGTGTTTCGTAGTATATCTCTTATACTTAACATGTATTGTAGCCATTTATGCTGTTTGTCATGCATCATAAGTACCTAACTATTCTGGGCTTGAAGTTTGAGGTACCTAATCATCTGTTTACTCTTTCCCTGACAGGGTACTGATTATAGTTATCCCCAGACTTTTGAAAACTCTTTGGCATTGGCCTGGCGTAGTTGCTCACACCTCTAATCCCAACACTTTGGGAGGCAGAGGCGGATGGATCACCAGAGGTCAGGAGTTTGAGACCAGCCTGGCCAACATGGTGAAAGCCTGTCTCTACTAAAAATATAAAAATTAGCTGGCCATGGTGACATGTGCCTGTAATTCTAGCTACTCGGGAGGCTGAGGCACGAGAATCGTTTGAGCCCAGGAGGCAGAAGTTGCAGTGAGCCGAGATCATGCCACTGCACTTCAGCCTGGATGACTGAGTGAGACTCTGTCTCAAAAAATAAACAAAAAATTTAAAAAATAAAACTCCTTGGCATAGACATAACTTTGAATGTGACACTGTGATTTTTTTGCTAATTAAGCTTTTTTTTTTTGGCTATAATAAAACTGATTTTTCCTTAACTATATAGAGATAATACCAAATGTCTACATAGTTCTCTGCCTTATTTGGTGAGTGAGTTTGGTTCTTCCTTACTCGTGGGTTTTGAGTAGTTTTCCCTGTATCAGCAGCTCAGATATATCATAGCCGAGGCAAACCAAAATGACACCTTAAACCTTTTGTTTCTTATTTGCCTTGGTAAAAATGGTTGGTAGTAGTTGCTCCTGGTGTGATGTTATGCTGTAGGTGTGACAGGATGCATGCGTTGTTGAACAAATACATTTAATGAGCACCTTTGTGCAGGTTACTTGCGTTGGGCACATTGAAGGTGCAAAGACGTGGAAGACATGGTTCTTACTCATAAGTTTCTTATTCTTTAGCTAAGAAGAAACAATATGTCTCCAAGTGACTAGCAAGGAAGAATGATCACATTTAGTTTGTCTGGTGATAACTTCATGGAGGAGGTGGAAGTTGAACTTGGTCTTGAAGGATGACTAGAATTCTGAATATTAGAGTTTTGTGGGGAGAGCATTTCAAATTGCAGAAATGGTATGAGCAGGAAATAGAAATTGTTTGACGAACTGGGGAAGACTAGCCTGGTTAGTCTGCAGACATCATCACTGAGAGATAAGTTCAGAAAGATTACCATTTAGAAAAGGGCCATATCATGTAGGGCCTCCTAAGGCAAGTTGAAGAGTTTACAGACTTTTAAAAATAAGTAGGTGAGGAAAATGAGCTTCAGAGGTATTAAAGAACATGACTAAAGGCACATAGCTGAGATGATTTAGAATCCGATTAAAAATCCAGTCTCTCTCATAGCCCATGAGAAGTCTCAGCTTTAGTGCAGTCCTCTTAGTAGGCACAGCATGCCAGTAATTGGAAGTTATTTGATGTAATGAGGTAAGATAGGTATCTTCATGGGTTATTCAGTTGCGTGGAGAATTGTAGAACTTCATAAATTGTCCTAAACTTGCTTTTTAGAGTTTGTGTGTGTTTTTGAAACTCTCTGACTGTAATTACTTCTCACAGCTGTCTGTGGGCTGGCATAAAGCTGTATCTTGTTCCTCCCACTTTACTGAATGCAAAGTGCTGATGGCAGCTGCAGCAGAGCCTGGGTCCCAGCCTACGACAGGTGCCTGTGGACAACACTGAGCCTCCTCAGTTTCTTCATCTGTAAAATAGGGAAAATGGTAGTAACTTCTTCATAGAGTTGTACTGGAAATCGAATGAGATTGTAAATACACAGCTCAGGGTTTGGCACGTGGTACCCAATCAGTGTTTAGCTGTTAGGAAACCGCTTATGTATTAAAGTAGCAGAATCTTTATGTTGGAAGAAATAGTAGAAGTCACCTTTGCCTTTTATAGATGTGGAAACTGAGGACTCAAGAGAATGAATTAATTTGCCCAAACTCATTGGTAGGTTTGAGACCATGATCCAGGCTCCTCTGCTCTGAATCATGTGTGAAATGTGACATCATCTGTTCCTGTAGGAAAACCAACTCTCAGATTGGAAAGACGTAAAAGTCACATCACCCCACTCCCTTGAAATATGCTATAAATGTGCTGTGTTAGAAAGGCAACCACTATCAGAGTAAACAGGCTCTGAGGGAGGCCTTCGGGGACTCTTCTGTTGGAGAAGGTACCTGATGACTAACGGAGGAAGGAGGAGAACTGTTTTCACATTGCCTCCCTGCTGCCGTCACCTGAACTGTTCAGAGCCCATCATTAAAAGAAAAGAGTCGGGTGGCACTAGTGGGGAAGCCATAGGAAATGTGTTATAATTTTAAGGTTCTAGAGTGATTGTGTAGTGAGAGCTTAGTTGCTTGGAAGCCTCTGAAAGACATACCAAAATTTTGTTAAAATGTTAATTTTCTTTTAGTTGGAGCTCATTCTAACTTGTATTGTCTAAGCAAATTTTCTCTTTATGATGATTTATGGTCATAAGTATGAATAACTAAGGTGCTTGCTGGACTTAGATGTGAATGGATGCTGTAGCATATGATTTTAAGAAGTGTCTCATGTCAGTTTTTTAAAAATTACCTGTTTTTTTTTTAAAGGTAAAGTGAATCATATGTAGATACATGACTCCTTGCAGTATAATGTGGTTCTTTTCAGCAAAATTAACTAGATCAGGGTTTCGCAACAGTTTGACTATTGACATTGTGTGTTGGACATCCAACAAAAGACTTGTATGTAGAATACATAGAGAGCTCTTACATCTCAATGACAAGAAGGAAAATCCCCTAAGGGAAAAAAAAATGGGCAAAAGATTGTAACAGATACTTCACCAAAGAAGATATATGGATGGCAGGTAAGCACATGAAAAGATGCTCAACATTATTAGTTATTAGGGAAATGGAAATGAAAACCACAATGAGATACTAATAAAATCTACTAGAAAGGCTAAAATTAAAAAGACTGGCCATATTGTGATTGGTAAGAAAGTGGAGCTACTGAGCTCGTACACACTGGTGGCAGGAATGTAAAAGGTCCAATTATTTAAAAACAGTTGAAGGCCAGGCGCAGTGGCTCATGCCTGTAATCCCAGCACTTTGGGAGGCCAAGTCGGGCAGATCACGAGATCAAGAGATGGAGACCATCCTGGCCAACATGGTGAAACCCCGTCTCTACTAAAAATAAAAAAAATAGCTAGGTGTGGTTGCACATGCCTGTCATCGCAGCTACTCAGGAAGCTGAGGCAGGAGAATCGGTTGAAGCCGGGAGGTGGGGGTTGCAGTGAGCTGAGATCGCACCACTGTACTCTAGCCTGGCAACAGAGCGAGACTCCATCTCAAAAAAAAAAAAAAAAAAATTGAAAAAGTTAGTTAAGAAGTTAAAGATATACGTTCTGTACCACTAGGCCATTCCATTTCTTGATACTTACCCAGGATACCCAAGCGTATGCCAATGTAAAGACTTGTACGTGAAAGTTCATGGCCTGTCCTCCGGTTTCACTGTTTGGGAAATTAAGCAGATTAGGAATTAGGTAACTGAATGAGGAATGAATAACACAAGTGGTAGACTTTGCAGTGTGCGTTTCAAAATATTTAATCCCTTCTTTTGCCTTAATTGGCTTTGATTTAGTATGCAGTATGCACTGGAGTCTCTTAAATGAAAAGACCTTTGAGATCTCACCTGTGGGTAATTGGCTCTATCTCTATGGACAGCTTTCAGGGCTCTCTTGACCCCTACCCACTCACGTTTCTGGAAGTGTGAGTCTTGTGTTCTTGCTGTATGGTGCCTGTGGAGCCCTTTCAGTCATGTCTTTCCTTAGCTCTGAAAATATTTGTCCTCTCTACTTTTTAAAAATGGTTTTTACTTCTGCAGTTCCTATTAGATAGGTGTTGGTTCTCCTGGATTAGATCAATCTTCTATGTCTTTTAATTTTTCTTTCCTATTTTAAAGTACGATCTTCCACTCTTTCTAACAACATTTTTATAGTTTTATTTATAGTTTCAAGAGTTCTTTCCCATTCTCTGGTCACTCAATTTTCATTGCAGTCTGCTTTTTTATGGATGCATTATTTTGAATCTCTCTAAATAAACAATTAGATTTTTTTTCCCCCTGAGATTATCTTCTGTTTCCTGGATTTTTGCTTCATCGAGGGTCAGTTGTTTCATTAAATCTTAGAACTTCTTTTGAAAGCCACCGTTAGTCCTCAAATGTCTGTTGGAGTTTGTTTTTTTCATTCATATGCATGAATGAAAGTTTGGGTTCCCAGATATAGACAGGTGGAGTTGCTCTGGCTGTGTGGAGTGTGTGTCCTTAGCAGGCCTCTTCCCTTCATATAGAAGAGGGCTGGAATGGGTTTCTACGAGGTGGGGTGTATGGACTGGCACAAGTGCAGGTGGGATTAGACCCATGCTAACTGCCTTGCTGCAGGCAAGCCTCTGGGTTGGGGAACAGGGTGGGAGGGGGCTAGGATGGGAAGCTGTTCTGCAGATGATTTTTCAGTTAATCATGGTGACATATGTTCTGCTTCCCATTCCAGATCTGGAGACCTGCCAACTCTGGGTTTCTAGCTTCTCTGTGGCTCTACTGTTAGGATAACTGTGGCCCTCTGGGCTTGTTTGGGGTTGTGACTTCTGTCTATGGTTATTTTGTCTATGGTTATACTCTTTTTTTTTTTAGCACTGTTGTGAATTTATTTTCTTTTGAAATTGGTTGTTGCCATTTTCATATGACTTAGAGAAGATTAAACAAATCTGTATCCTTGTCTGCCATAGTGACCCAGAAGGCTGAATACTTTAAAAAATAACTTTATTGAGATACAATTTGTAAACCATACAATTCATCCATTTAATGTGTAAAATTCAGTGGATTTTTAGTACGTTCATAGAATTGTGCATCATCCATCACCACAGGCCACTTTAGAACATTTTCATCATCTTAAAAACAAAAGACTTGTTGGTGGCTCCTTCCTGTAGTTCCAGCTGCTTGGGAGGCTGGAGGTGGGAGGACTGTTTGAGCCCAGGAGTTCAAGTCCAGTCTGGGCAACATAGTGAGACCTTGTCTTGAGCAAGAGGAAGAGGAAAGGAGAGGAAAGGATAAAAGGCAGAAGAGAGGAGAGGAAGGGAGAGAGAGAGAGAAAGAGAAAGAAGGAAGGAAGGAAACAAAGAAAGAAACAAGGAAGGAAGGAAAGAAAGAAAGAAACAAGGAAGGAAGGAAAGAAAAAGAGAAAGATAAAAAGAAAAAAAGGAAGGAAGGAAGAAAGAGAGAGAGAACACCCACTGACTGTCATTCTAGGCAACCACTAATTTGCTTTTTATCTCTAGAGATTTTCTTATTCTGGACACTTCATATAAATGGAATCATTGTTATGACTAGTTTTGCTGTAAAATTTACCACTACTTTTTTGTGTGGAATAATAGTCGATTATATGGATGGTACACATTTTATCTGTTCACCATTTGAGGGAAATTTAATACATTAGTCTGTTCTCACGCTGCTAATAAAGACACACCTGAGACTGGGTAATTTATAAAGGAAAGAGGTTTAATGGACTCACAGTTCCACATGGCTGGAGAGGCCTCACAATCATGGTGGAAGACGAAGGAAGAGCAAAGGGATGTCTTACATGGCAGCTGGCAAGAGGGAGCTTGTGCAGAGAAATTCCCATTTATAAAACCATCAGATCTCATGAGACTTATTTGCTATCATGAGAACAGTATGGGGGAAACTGCCCGCATGATTCCATTATCTCCACCTGGCGCCGCCCTTGACACGTGGGGATTATTACAATTCCAGGTGAGATTTGGGTGGAGACACAGCCAAACCATACATTTGGGTTGCTTTTCCTTTTTGGCTTGTGTGAGTAATGCTGTTAGGAGAACTGTTGTACAAGTTTTTGAGTGGATGTAGGTTTTCATTTCTTTTGGGTATACAGCTAGAAGTAGAATTGCCGAGTTGAATGGCAATTCTACATTAAACCTTTTGAGGAACTTCTAAATTGTTTTCCACAACAGTTGTACAATTTTATATTCCCACCAGTAGTGTATGAGGGTGTGATATTGTGAAATATGTATTTGGTTTTTGTCCCCATTTCCTGGCATACACCTCCTAAAATCCTTAGAATGTCCGCAATGATGTCTTCTTGTGTGCTCATATGTTGACTGATGGCTGTCAGCCCCTAGGTAGCTTCAGGACGGGGCTGGGCACCAGAAGGACACAGCGGGATTGGAGGGTTCGGACTTTCTCCTACGTGTGTTCAGGGAAACTAAGTAGCATGGCAGCAGCCCAGAGCCCCCGGGTCAGTGGCTACACAGCAGCAGTGAGCAGCCTCCTGGGAGGAGCGAAGGGCTGAAGGTTAAGTTGGCCAATGATTTAGTCATTCCTTCCTGTGTGATGAAGCCTCCATAAAAACACCAAAGGGGTGGGCGTGGTGGTTCATCCCTGTCTTCCCAGTACTTTGGGAGGCTGAGGAGGGTGGATCACGAGGTCAGGAGCTCGAGACCAACTTGACCAACGTGATGAAACCCTGTCTCTCCTAAGAATGCAAAAATTAGCCAGGCATGGTGGCGTGAACCTGTAATCCCAGCTACTCGGGAGGCTGAGGCAGGAGAATTGCTTGAACCCTGGAGGCAGAGGTTGCAATGAGCCAAGGTTGCGCCCTTGCACCCCAGCCTGGGCAACAGAGTGACACTCTGTCTCAGAAAAAACAAAACAAAAAAACCCGAAAGGACAGCGTTTGAGAGGTTTTGGGTAGCTGAACACATGGAGGTTCTGGAAGGTGGCGTGCCTGGGGAGGGCTTGGAAGTTCCGTGCCCCTTTTCCCATACATACCATATGCATCTCTTCAGCGTCCTTTGTAATACCCTTTATAATAAGCCAGTAAATGTAAGTAAATGTTTCCCTGAGTTCTGTGAGGCACTCTAGCTAATTAACTGAGCCCAGGGAAAGGGTTGTGGGATCCTTGATCTAGACCCTTTCAGAAGCACAAATAAAACAACCTGGGGCTTGAAACTGGCATCTAAAGTGGCAGGGGTGAGGTGGGGTTAGGGCATGGGGTTAGGGGTGGGGTAGAGGGACCAAGCCCTCAACCTGTAGGATCTGATGCCATATCCGGGTAGATAGTGTTGGAAATGAATTGCATTAGAGGACAACTAGCTGGTATCCTCTGTAGGACTGATTGCTTGCTTCATGTGTGGAGAAAATCTCCACACCTTGTGGTGTGAGATCAGAGGAAAAATTGCTTATCTGTGTGTTTTTTCTTACTTACAGGGTTCCAGTTTCTCCACACTCTTGCCAACACTTGTTATTCTCTGTCTTTCTTTTTAAATTATAATTATCCTAGGAGATATGAAGTAGTATCTCATTGTGGTTTTGTGTTGCATTTTTGTAATGACTAATGACATTGAGCATCTTTTCCTGTGCTTATGGTTTATTGTACAGCTTAAATATCCCATCATGCTTAGGACCAGAAGGAGTTCAGATTTTGGATTTTTTGGGTTTTGTTGAATTTTGGAATATTTTCATATACATAATGAGATATCTTGAGGATGACACCCAAGTCTAAACATGAAATTCATTTGTTTTATAATTATGATTATAATTATATAATTATAAATTATAAATAATTTTGTGCATGAAAGAAAGTTCATGTATGCTGAATCATCAGAATGCAGAGGTCACTATCTCAGCCACCCATGTGGACAGTCTGTGGTTGTGTGGCATCACCCTCATTCCTGCCTCTGAATGTATATTCTTCTAAGAAGCGATCATTTTCTAACACTGATTCACACATACATATTTAACAGTAAAAAAAAAAAACAACATACCATTAATATGGTGAAAAAATAAATGTGTTCAGGATAGCTAAGCAGTACAGTAGCATCACCAGAATACCTATGTTAGTTCCTGGACAGTGGCAGGAACAAACAACGGTAGGCTTTCCGTCTTCCTCTGCCATGCTGTGTTTTGATTAAAAACTCTATCATTTCTAAAATGAGGTTATAGAAAAGAAAGAAAATTTTTTTAAAAAGATAAGAATTCACTGTACGTGGTTTTGTTTTTTGAGTTGAGCAGAAACACCAGTAGCAGTTGAGGGACCTGGAAGTGAGTCCTCTAAGGATGAGGAGGCTTTCTGCTGGATGGCTTTTTAAATGCGTCCTCCAGTCATCTTCCTCGTTAACAGTAGTTTTTGACTTCGACTTCTCTCTCGAATTTTATAAACTGGCATGATTTCTTGTTCTATTATGAATGTACCCTGCTGTAGTCCTTGAATAAACCCATCACACATTTTCATCATGTTGTCTATGGGCACTTTTTTGCAGTGTTAATTAATGTCATCATCCGCTTGTGTTACGTTGGCACTCCAACGTTTCAGATTTTGGAGCATTTTGAATTTTAGATTTTTGGTTAGGGATGCTCAACCTGTATATCTTTAGAGAAATGTCTATTCAGATTCTTTGCCCATTTTTTAACATTTTTCCAAAAAATTAGAGAATTTTTATTATATGTATATGTGTGTGTGTGTATATATATATATATATACTTTTAGAGATAGTTGCCTGGAAGTGTGGTAGCACAATCATAGCATAGCTCACTGCAGCCTTGAACTCCTGGGCTCAAGTGAGCCTCCCACCTCAGCCTCTTGAGTAGCTGAAACCACAGGTGTACGCCACCATGCCCGGCTGACTTTTGTATTTTTAAATGTTTTGTAGAGATGGGGTTTGGCTGTGCTGCCCCGGCAGGTCTCAAACTCCTGGCCACAGGGCCCAGCTGTGTTTTTTAATTGGCTTATTTGTCTGTTTATGATTGAGTTGAAAGCACTCTTTCTATAATCTGTATACAAGCCCCTTCTTAATTGTATGACTCTGGATACTGTCTTCTATTGTATTCGTTATGTTTTCACTTTCTTCATAGTCATCATTTATAGTACAAAAGGTTTTAATTTTGGTGAAGTCCAGTTATCTATATCTCTTATTTTGTTGCTTGTACTTCCCATGTCATGTCTTAGAAACCATTGCCTAAGTGAAGAAAACTTAGTCCTGTATTTCCTTCCATGTTTTATAGTTGTAACTCTTACCTTTATGTCTGTGGCCCATTTTGAGTTAGTTATTTTTTCTTTTTAGTGCAAAGAAGAAGCTGAATAATTCTGAATAACAGATAGAATGTGTTGGGTGAATGTTGAGCGTCTGCTTTAGGTAGACGCCTCACCATACACACGGAATTCCTGGAGAGCAAGACAAGAAAAAAGTAGCATGGCAGCTCAGCCCCTACTCATGCCTATTCAGATCTTTGCATCTGGCTGCAGGACCCAGGAAACCTACGAGTTATTGCTTTAGGAAAAATGTGGGCTGGGATAGAATACCACAAATAAACAAAGGAAGAAATGACAAATCTGCTAATTCTCAGGTTTTCTGTTGATTTATTTTCTTGTTTTCACCACGGATAGAAGTTGGTTTATAATTTTGTGGCTAGTCCTTTAGAAAATCTTCTATGTTTGGCCATTTTTATTTATTTTGCTCCTTTCTTTCCACTCTCCAGCCTCCTTCCCACCCATTATGGAAAGCAGAAAAATGATTTTACAGTATAATAACAAGTATGTGTTAGACTTGCTCACTATTCCTTGGCCGTTATTAAACTGACCATATGTTCTCCATTATTTTAGCTGTACCACAGCCTCTGCTTGATACGCAGTAGTTTCCAATGGTCTGTTTTGGCTTGACAAAGTGGGCCAGGAAGTGACTATAACTTTCTCTTTGGCTAGGGTTTTTGGTATAGTAAGTTAGAGGTTCCACCTTATTCCACACTGGCCCACGTATCTGTAGAATGGGCTGTATGCTGGTAGCCTTAACTACTTCTTTGGAATTACTTGGTGTTTTATATACTAAGATAACTAAGAAGTGTTGCAGAAATCAACCAGGAGAGCATACTGAAAAGCATATTTCTACTGTCTGTTCAGTGTTTTTGTCTACAAGATCTATTTTTTTAGATTGGTGTTTAATATATGTATATATATATAAAACACACACATATATGTATATATATATATTTAAAGTAGCTGTTGAAAAGCTGAGGAGCAGGATTTGACTTTTTTGAGAGTAGGATCAAATCAGCTTTGGAACAGCAGTGGACATCACATCTAACACTGTGAAGTATATACAGCCATGTGTCATCTAAAGAAAGGGACACATTCTGAGAAATGTGTCATAAAGCGATTTCATCTTTGTGCAAACATCATAAAATGTACTTACGCAAACCTAGATAGTATACCTACTGCACACCTAGGCTCTATGGCTTAGCCTGTTTTTTCTAGGCCACGAACCTACACAGCATATTACTGTATTGAATACTGTGGGCAATTGTAACACAGTGGTCTTTGTATGTCTAAACATAGAAAAGGTACAGTGAAAATATGGCATTATAATCTTATGGATCAGCGTCCTATATGTGGTCATTGGTGAGCCAGATGTCATTATGTGGCACATGACTATATTTGGTCTTCCCTCTGAGTTTCCTCTTAAAATTTCTAGGATTTTCAAAGTGGTATGTCTTTTTGTATGCTAATGAATTAACTGATGCCTGGCAACCCTTATGTGGCTTTAGAATGGGGCTACCTTGTCCAAGCTTAGAGCAAGCTTATGCAACCCACAGCCCATGGGCCACATGCAGCCCAGGACAGCTTTGAATGTGGCACAACACAAATTTTTAAACTTTCTTAAAACATTATGAGGTTTTTTTTTCAAAGCTCATCAGCTGTTGGTAGTGTTAGTGTATTTTATCTGTGGCCCAAGACAGTTCTTCCAGTGTGGCCCAGGGAAGCCAAGAGATTGGACACCCCTGGATTAGAGGGTTGAGACTTTCAGTCCCATCCCCTAACCTCTGGGGAGGGGAGAGGGGTGAAGTTTAAGGAAATCACCAATAGCCAATGATTGAGTGAATCATGCTTACTAATGAGGCCTCCATAAAAACCCAAAAGGACAGGGTTTGCAGAGCTCCCTGAAAGACGAACACATGGAGGTTCCAGGACGGCGGTGTGTCCAGAGAGGGCATGGAACTCTCTGCCCCCTCCCACATGCCTTGCCCCATGCATCCCTTTATCTGTATCCTTTGTAACAGCCTTTATCAGAAGTTGGTAAACATAAGTGGTTCCCTGTGTTCTGTGAGCTGATTTAGCAGATTAATCGAACCCAAGGAGGGGGCTGTGAGAATCCTGATTTATAGCCAGTCAGAAGCGCAGGTGAAACAACCTACGGCTTTAGATGGGCATCTGAAGGGAAGGGGCAGTCTTGGAGACTGAGTCCCCAACCCGTGGGATCTAATACTGTCTCGAGTTAGATAGTATTGCAGTTGAATTGAATTACAGGACACCCAGGTGGTGTATCCTGCAGAATTGATTGCTTGCTCGGTTTGTGGGGAAAACATTTGGTCACAGAAGTCTTCTGTGTAGGTTGAGTGAGAGAATAGGAAAAGCACTTCCGTTTAGTTTATTCCTGTGTTCTCAGAATGTCATAATTAGAACTGAGAACTTTAATCTCCACAGACTTGCTGCACCAGATGTAATTGAGGTCAAACTTTTTTCATGTGCTTATTAGCCATTTATGATTCATTTTGAAAGATTTTCCTGTTCACGAGTTTTATATTGGAGAGCTTGCCTTTTATTGACTTACAGAACTCTTTGGGTTCCGTTAGGACGTGTTAGAGTAAACTTTAGGTCCTTGAGATGTTGCAGAATCCCTGAACAAACCGTTTTTTCATTGTCAGGTGTATGAACTGACTCACAAAGTATGTTTTTAGCAGTCTCCCTTCATGGATCCTTGAATAAACTATCTACTCTTCAGTTTTATTTTTAGGTAGGAAATATCTTTTCCCTTCTATAAAGCAGAAGTGACATACTGGCATTTTTAACTTATGATTTATTTGGTCTAACCAATGTTTTATTAAAATATTGAGCTAACTTTTAAAAACTGGGAGATTTCATGTAAAAATCCAGACTTGAAGCTTCTGTTGCTGAATTTGAGGAATGCCAACACTGAGTGTGCCTTGGCATTGACATGAAATAGTGCTGGTGCCTTCAGAGCACAGGTACTTGGTCACCACTCCCTCCTGTGTTCTCATACCTTGCCTGCCTTACTCATTTATATTATCTCCTGAAGCCCGTGAACACTGGGCTTATGGCCTCTGCATACATAGTGTATGACTTTATACTTTTGCCCATGTGTTCCAGTTGTGAGTTTCATTATGTCACACTTTGCAACCCCAAGTAGCATCCAGAGATGGATTTTCTATGAAGCCAATGCAGGAAGCATTCCCAAGGCTCCCAGAAACCTGCCATTTTTTTGTTCTTTTTCTTAAAGAGACTCCCCGTGACCACCTGCCCAGTTGTGTGTAGGTTTCAGGACCCACAAAACTAGATCTGCCTCTGCCAGCATGAGGATCTCCTGTAGACCTTTTAAGAAATAATAAAGCTTCCTAGGCTCTACTTAACCCATGCCTATGCAGTTAGAATCTGTGGGCAAGGGATGACCCAAGCATCTCTACATTTTAAGCATCTCCCCTAGTGTTTGTTGTCATGCACATACAGGCTCGAGAACCATTGTGTTTTAAAAGATAATTTACTTGAGATGTTTATAAACCATTTTAACACTAAAAGGATGCATTTTGGAATCATTTAATACATTTAAACTGTAGTTTGATATATTTTACTGACATGCAGAGCTGAACTGCTTAGGAACCACTGCCAATTGAATACTAATAGTGAGAAGATAATTCTGAAATTGAAATATGTCAACAGGAAAATGCAATTTGATTGTTAAAAAAAGTAGTTTACATTTGTTTTTTCAAGGATTTCTGAAGAAGGTTTCTCATATCTGTGAAACTGTCATTCCATTCATGTAGAATTTCACCAGCAATTTCTGTTATGGTAGAATTTATGTAAATATTTGCTTTTGAAAATATTATAAGTATAGGTAGAATCACGCAGAGATTCTGGAGTCACTATCATGTATGATAGTGTCACAAGGGAAAATAATACTATAGCCTGACACAGGTACCTCTATTCATATTGTTTGGGGAGGTTGAATGGTTGGGTATATTTTTAGTTATCACAGTGATTGGGGATGGAGGGCTAGGTGGCTACTAGCCTTTAATAGGTGGTGATGAGGCATGCTAGACAAGTTTTAGTCCCTGGGATAGTACCACACCAGGAAGAACTATTCTACATTCTGTATGGCCTCGAATGTCCTGTTGGACATTCATGTAGGAGAAAAATATGTTTCTAATGATCCGGCCTTAGGATATGTCAATAAAAGGTTTTTTACTTAAATGGTTTTAAGTATCAGTGAGTTTTCTAGGACTGTAACTACCATGTAAATCGAGAGAAGATTATACTTTGTTTTGTTTGCAAATTTACTAAAAGTTGTTTACTATTTCAAAGTATCACATCCAAGAAAGCAGCGCTCATGCTCCCGCATCACCATTTCAATACCGCTGTATCTGTCCACACTCGAACCTTGCTTTCAGCATGATTCTCCTTTAGGTACAAGCAAGTGTCTGACTAACCTGAGCATTTATGTAATGAAAATCATTTTAATTTTATTTCCCCTTTGTGATATTTAGGGCATTATATGGATTATTTTGAATTTTATATTTAGGCAGTTATATTGTTGATGGATTTCACTGTAGGATAATAAAGAAGGCATTGCAAAATGTTACGAAAAGGTATTTTTGCCCTTAAAGAGTTGAGAATTGCTGTTTTAAAGCGATGGTTCCTAAGCATCAGGGCACATTAGATTGTCCTGTAGAAGTTTTGGAAATGATCATTGTGAACCTGCCCTAGAAATACTAATTTAGTAGTTCTCTAGGAAATTCTAGAAACTCCATGAAACTTTTTTTTTTTTGTGATTGTTTTTTTTTTTTTTAATTTATTTATTTTTTTATTATACTTTAAGTTTTAGGGTACATGTGCACATTGTGCAGGTTAGTTACACATGTATACATGTGCCGTGCTGGTGCGCTGCACCCACTAACTCGTCATCTAGCATTAGGTATATCTCCCAATGCTATCCCTCCCCCCTCCCCCCACCCCACCACAGTCCCCAGAGTGTGATGTTCCCCTTCCTGTGTCCATGTGATCTCATTGTTCAATTCCCATCTATGAGTGAGAATATGCGGTGTTTGGTTTTTTATTATTGCGATAGTTTACTGAGAATGATGATTTCCAATTTCATCCATGTCCCTACAAATGGCGCACATAGAAAATTACACTCTTTGTATTGCGCAGGGAAGTGAAGGAAAGCAGTGGTCTTGGGCTGCAGGTGACAGTTTCTGGGGATCCTGGCCGCCCCAGTCCTGCCCCGCCCCACCTTGCAAGCCAACGATCTGTTTCCACCTTGGATGCTTTCCATGCTTGTTAAAAATTCAGATTCTTGAACCTCACTCCAGTAATTCTGATTCTGTTTGACTCAGAAATCTAGTATTGAATGAGCTCTCGGATGATCCCGATTCAGGTAGTCCTTGGATGGCTGCTTGAGCAATCCTGTTCTCACGGGTCAGGGGCAATAACTGTGTGGTGTGTGAAAAAGAAAGAGAAAAAGGAAAGGTGGGGCTCCTTTCTAAGGGTGTGTGAGGTAATGCTAAGAGATTTCTGAGATAAAGCAGAGATACGAAACTCCTTCCTGGCTGGCGTTTCTCTATCAAGGAGTACAGTCAGCTTGTTTGAAAGGGTAGAACAAACACTGCTAGAAGAAGCTGAAGCCCCGGAAGAGATCACCTGGCTCCTTTTGTATGAATTTAAACTCTGAGGCATAATATCCTAAGAAACTGAGCATATTTGCAGGTAAATTATATATCCACTCTAGATATTCTTTGAAAATCATGAAGATAGGGACTAGTGCTTAAAAAAAAGAATCCAAGAGGCAAAACCTTAATCTGTAGAAAGGAGAATTAAGGAAATTGTAGAGCCTGGTGAGTTTCAGGGCGGTCTTTAGCCAAGCTTTAGAGGATTATTAAAAATATTGCAAGACCAGATAGTCTTCCCCGGGTCTGAACTGGCACTTATGAATGACGACTGAATGGTGGGAACCAGGGAAAGGGGCACGGTACAGGTACAGTGCCCTCCCTCCACGTAGAAGACCAAAAAGGTGGGGTGAGAGGCTTTGAGGGTGGTGGAAGTTTGACAGGTTGGTGGAACTGGAAGCTGTGTTGCATAGCTGGAAACCCACACATTATTCACATTTTCTGAATGGATGTTATTGGAACACAGTTGGAGAAATGCTGATGTACTGGGAACAGGCCTGGGCAAAGAATCAAGAGGCCTAGTTTTTTGTTTATTAGTATGTCAAGTACCAGATGCTAAAAACTTCCTTCAGTACATTCCTGGAAGTATTTACTTTTTCAACACGCATTCAGTGAATACCTGTAGTTGCTGGGCTAGAGGTAGAAATATGAAGCCTACAGCCTGACTGTGAAGTCTGGTTGGAGAAACAGGCAAGTAATAACATGATTCTGACACAGGATGATACCTGCTACAGTAGAGGTAAGAACAGAGGCTTTGGGAGGCTGTGAATTTGTACCTCAGTCAGGATGGAGAGAAGGCTTCTTGGAAGAGGTGACATCTGAGATCTGAGCAGAGTTTTTGAAGATAATTTAGAACGGGTGCTGGGAAGAAAGATGTTTTGACAGTGGCAGAAGCACATATAAAGCTGTGGTGTTGTGCAGACCATGGCTTGGTCAGAGCAGCTGGTGTCAAGAGGGAGCAATGAACTAGAAGACTTCAGGTGGGCAGGGACTAGGTTATGAATGGTCTTACGTGCCATGCTAAAGCATGCTGTAAGTGTGTATTTTATTAATTTTTTAAAAAAATAATGGATTGATTCTCCACATTTAGGGTTTAGGAAATCAGTCTGGAAATCATTCTGGAAGTAGGAAATCTAGAGATAGATTGTGGTTTTGGAGAGGTGAGATTGGAGGCAGTGAACCTTGTTAGGATACATAAATACATAAACACACACGCCCACCTGCCCACACCCACACACCGGTGGCTTAGACAAAATAAAAGTTCTCTTCCATGAAAGGAATCCAGATAGATGATTCACAGCTTGTATGTTGGTTCCACGGTGTTGCAGGTCCTGGCTACTTTGGGCTAGTTGGTCTGCCATCCTTGGAGATTTTCTCATCTTCTGATGTGTTTGCTTGAGCTCCACGTTCCTGAGAGCAGGAATGCAAGGGGCAGGGTTGGGGGTGGGAAATCGCAAGAGCAAAGGGGCATGCACTAGCTGTAATAAAAGGATATGGTAAGTCTTTAACATCCTTGATAGGTTCTTGGAAACTGCGACTTCAAGCGAAACATATAGGATGTGTAACAAAACTAATTATGTTATCAATATAACAAAACAGTGTTATTTGAGGACTTGCTGTAGGTCGTTTTGCTTAAAGTCTTGGTTTCCAAGAACTAATCTGCAATGTTGAGTGAGGACTTGCTTTTATTTTGGAGAAATTGCCACGGAAGACTTCTAGTTAGAGCTCATTGCCCCTGTGTCGTGCCATGATCACTTTTAGCTGTAAGAGAAAGGCTGAAAATACAGTATTTATTCAGCGGCCGTGTGCCTAGCTAAAAATGGAGGGGTTCTATCAGTAAGGGAAGAGGAGAAATGGATAGTGGGGTAAACCATCTCCATCTCTGCCTGAAAGTAGTGCAGGAATGCGAGGGACACATAATGAAGACCTGAACTGAGGCAGTGGAGATACAGAAGACGAGACATACTGCAGGGATTGCTGATATTGGTTACTGATATGATACGGGAAGAAAAGAAGGTGAAGGCATTGAGGGTAGTTTCTGCTTTGGGCAGCTGGGTGGATGGGAGGGAGGATTTGGGGGTAAGGTGGAAGAATGCTGACACTTTGGGACATGTTGCGTAGGAGATGCCCATGGCACATTCAGATGCAGATATTCAGTGGGCTGGTGGGTATCAGGTCTGGGCTAGAGGGAAGAGATTTTATATTATTTAAAAAGAAATGTTAAAGACTTCTCTCCCTTATTTCCTTTTTTTTCATTTCCTTCAGCTTTATTAAGATATAATTGACAAAAATTATATAGATTTATGGCATACAGTATTATATCTTCATACATATATTCGTTGTGATATGATTAAATTAAATTAATTAACATATTCTTTACCTTACATACTTATTTTTTTGTGGTGGGAACATTTAAGATCTACTCCTTTAGCAATTTTCAAGTGTGTGATACATTATTGATTATAGGCACCATGCTGTCTGACAGATCTCTAGAATGTATTCATTCCATCTAACTGAAATTTTGTTCCATTTGACCAACACCTCCTCATCCTCCTCCCTGCTGTAGCCCCTGGTAACCACCATCGTACTCTTTGCTACTGTGTGCTCAACATTTTAAGATTGTGCACGTAAATAAGATCGTGCAGTATTTGTCATTCTGTGCCTGACTTATTTCACTTAGCATAATGTCCTCTAGGTTTATCCGTTTTGTCACAAATGATGGGATTTTCTTCTTTATTTTTAAGGCTGTATAGTATTCTGTTTGTGTGTGTGTGTGTGTGTGTGTGTGTGTATATATATATATATATATATATATATATATATATATATATATATATATATATCACTTTTTTTAAATCCATTCAGCAATCCATAGACACTGAGGTCAATTTCATATCTTGGCTCTTGTGAATAAAGCTGCAAAGAATATGGGAATGCAGATATCTCTTTGACATGCTAACTTCATTTCCTTTGGCTAAATACACAGAAATGGGATTGCTGGATCATATGGTAGTTCTATTTTTACTTTTATTTTTATTTTTTTTGAGTCGGAGTTTCGCTCTTTTTGCCCAGGCTGGAGTGCAATGGCACGATCTCCGCTCACTGCAACCTCCGCCTCCTGGGTTCAAGCGATTCTCCTGCCTTAGCCTCCCGAGTAGCTGGGATTACAGGCATGTGCCACCCATGCCTGGCTAATTTTGTACTTTTAGTAGAGACAGGGTTTCTCCATGTTGGTCAGGCTGGTCTCTAACTCCCAACCTCAGGTGATTCCTCCTGCCTTGGCCTCCCAAAGTGCTGGGATTAGAGGCGTGATCCACCATGCCTGCCCTATTTTTATTTTTTTAAAGGAACTTCCATACTTTTCCACCAACAGTGTACACAGTTCCCCTTCTTCCCACATGGCTCCAGCATCTGGTACTTTATCTTTTTGATATTAGCCATTCTAACAGATTCGAGGTGATACCTTATCGTGGTTTTCATTTGCTTTTTCTGGATGATGATTAGTGACATTCAGCATTTTAAAATATATCTGTTGGCCATTTGTATGTCTTCTTTTGAGACATGTCTGTTTCAGTCCTTTGCCCATAGGAGGTTTTTAAATTGGGTTATTTGTTTTCTTGCTATTGAGTTGTTTGACAAATAAAATGTATATATGTATTTATATCTTGGATATTTTGGATATTAACTGCTTATAAGATACATGATTTGCCACGTATTTACTCACTTCTGTTGGTGTCTTTTCACCCTGACAATTGTTTCCTTTGTTGTGTGTTAGCTTTTTAGTTTGATGCAATCCAATTTGTCTGTTTTGCCTTTCATTGCCTGTGTTTTTGGTGTTATATACCAAAAAATCATGGCCTAGACGAGTGTCAAGAAGCCTTTTTTCCTATGTTTTATTCTAGTAGTTTTGTAGTTTTGGGTCATACATTTAAGTCTTTAATCCATTTGAGGTGATTTTTGTATATGTTGTGAAATAAGGGTTTAATTTCATTCTTCTGCATGTGGATATTCCGTTTTCCCAGCACTGTTCATTGATGTTCTTTCCCCATTGTGTGTCCTTGATACCTTTGTCAAAGATCAATTGACTATAAAAGTAAGGCTTTATTTATGGGCTTCCTATTCTGTTCCATTGGTTTAGGTCTGTTTTTATGCTAGTACCATGCTGTTTTGGTTACCATAGTTTCGTAGTACATTTTGCAGTCAAGTAACGTGATGCCTCCAGCTTTGTTTTGCACCAGATTGGTTTGGTTATTTGGGGTCTGTTTTGGTTCTGTATGAATTTTAGAATTGTTCTTCCATCTCCCTGAAAAATGCCATTAGAATATTTATAAGTGTTACATTGGATCTGTAGATTGCTTTAGGTAATAGGGACATTTTAACAATTCTTTCAATCCTTGAACATGGGATATCTTTCCATTTATTTTTGTCACTTCAACTTTTTTCATTAGTGTTTTATAGTTTTCATTGTATAGGTCATTCACTCTCTTGGTCAGATTTATTCTGAAGTATTTTACTTTTTGTAGGTGTTACAAATGAGATTATTTTTTGATATCTTTTTTTGGATAGTTTGTTATTAGTGTATAGAATTGCTACTGGTTTTTGTATGCTGATTTTGTATCCTGCAACCTTACTGAATTTATTAGTTTTAACATTTTTTTTGGTGGACTCTTTAGGATTTCTGTATATAAAATCATGTCAGTTGCAAAAAGAGACCATTTTACTTATTCCTTTTCAATTTGGCTGCCTTTTATTTCTTTTTCTTGCTTAATTACTGTGGCTAGGAGTTCTAGTACTGTGCTGACAGAAGTGGTGAGAGTGGGCATCCTTGCCTTGTTTCTCAAGAGTGTGATGTTAGCTGTGGGCTTGTCACATAGGGTCTTTATTATGTTGAGGTACATTCCTTCTTTACCTGATTTGTTGAAAGGTGTTTTTTTTTTTTTTCTTTATCATGAAAGGGTGTTGAATTTTCTCAAATGCTGTTTATGAGTCTATGGAGATGATCTTATAATCCCCCATCTGGAAGGGAATGTGTGTAGGCTTGCTATTGGAGCCTTTGGGCAGGCTGGTTCCTGGCTCCCCTGGGGTTTGCTTAGAGCCTGGATTTTCAGGTTCAAGTCTGGAGCCTGGGTTTACTCTGATGGGCCCGGAGCTTGTGTCTGTTGAGTTGGGCCTAGAGCCTGAGTTTGTGAGGACAGGCCCAGAGCATGGATCTGCAGGGGCCAGCCTGGTGCTGAGATGGGCTTGGTACCTGGATCAATAGGGTTGGGGTAGGAGCCTGAGTTCGCAGTGGCTGGCCTGGCATTGGGGTGTGCTTAAAGCCTGAGTCTGTAGTGGTAGAGGTAGGATCTTTAGTTTGTGGGGACCATCCTGGTACCTGGGCCTGTACGGGCAGTCCTGGATCCTGAGTCCATGAAGGCCAGCCTGGTGCTTAGACCCTGGGTTCACTGGGGGCAGGCCTAGATCCTTAGTCCGCTGGCACTGGTCCTGCCTGGAGACTGGGTCCCTAGGGATGGGCCTGGGTCCTGGGTTCGTGGCAGCTTGTGTGGCCCCAGGGTCTGCTGAAGCAGGCCTGGATCCTTGGTTCTGTAGAGCATGAGGCCCCTGAGGCTGGCCTGGCTCCTGGGAGGCCTGGAGTCTCTATCTGCAAGGGCCAGACTGGTTTCTGGGTCTGTGGGTGCAGGTCTGAAGCCTTTGGCCATTGGGGCTTAGAAGACATTTTGGAAGTGGGTATGATTGCCCAGGAATCATGTGGAAAATGACAGGAAATCTGAAGTTTGCACTCTAAAGAAAAAAAAAATGAACAGGTTGACAAAGTAGTATTTAAAATAAATTTAGAAGAATCAACCCGAGATAGAGAAGGGAAACTTTAACAGAAAAATATTTGGAAAACGAGAGAGAGGATTTTCAAAAGGTGGCAGTAGTTGCAGAGACATGCCATGGATGAGTCCAGTCCAATAAAGACTGAAGCATCTAGCAATTAGGAGGTAATTGAATGCATTGAAATAGGAGAAGGAGAGTGTGTGTGTGTGTGTGTGTGTGTGTGTGTGTGTGTGTTTGTGTGTGTGTGTGTGTTTATAAAGTTGTTTAGATTAAACCAGATTTTTTTTTTAATGATCACACAATTATTGAAATTACTCAGGGTAGATGGTGGCCGTTTCTTAAGTAGCTCTAGGAGTGTACTCTACATCCCCTGGGTGCCTTGCCACTCAGCAGCCCACTTGGGGCTTTTGTCATTGTGACAGCATGGTAACTGTTTCTCTCAAGCTAAAATTTAGGGTGTATTTCCTGTTGCATGAAAATGTTTTTTGGGAATAGTGGGTAGATATTTAATACAGTGGCCATCATGAACTAGCTTGAAATTTGTGATGAAGCAATAGGGTCCCACCTGTCACTGTTCACTGCTTTCTCTGAACTTCAACATCAGGTTGCCAAAGAGGAGGAGGGTTCTGGTCGGGACTGAAGCAGCCCTGGTCAGGTTGTGGAACTAGGTGTGGTGAGTGAGTGTCTTCATTTCTTTTAGGAGAATCCTAGCCACAGAGATGATAAACATTAACAGGCACAAAATGATTTTGAGAAGTGGACCATCTTTTAGATTTTCACCTAATTAAAGATATCTAAATTAAAGATTTTTAGGTTTTCCTTCAAAGAATATATATATTTTTTTCCTTCTGAAAGCTTAGAAAGAAATTTAAGTACAAAAGTTTTATTCCTTTTAAGAACTCAGTTCTGTTAATAGTTAGACAACACTGCCCCCTGGTGGACTGAACCTGCAACACTTTTCAGTAGCGGTTAACATTGTGAAGCGCTGTTCCTGAAGGATATTCCTGCTAGCAGATTTCCTTCAGATTTGTTTCGGAGTTAATACTCTTTTGTTCTTTCTGCTTAATTTAATCTGGAGGTTTGTCAAAATCCCAGTGGTGTACAAATATTCCCTGTTATATCTTAATCTCATTATGACATTATGAAATAAGGATCTGGGATTTTCATGGCAAAAACTTCTCAGATGGACATTTTGGTAGGCCCCAGAAGACAAGATGTGTTAACAAGAATATATGAAACCTGGTCTAGTGGGTTGATTTTTTTCCTCATGTATAAATTTTTCAAAACCTTCTGAAGAAATCATTCTTGTTGGAGTCATAATAATTGAAAGACTAATGTGAAAGGTCCCACTTAACTTGGCTGTTTGTGGACGGATAGTTTTTGAGTTGTTGCATTTGTTTTGGTGTGTATTAAGTTACGGTGTAGGCTGACAAAATGTGTAAGATATTTTTCTTAATTTGGGGTGTTCAAACCTGAGTTCTCTGCTTCATTGTGTTCATGATGACTAGTGATGTGTGTGGTGGGGGGTAGAGTGTGTGTGTGTATCTGTAGGTGTATGTGTACATTTATATATCTATGTCTATATATATATCCCTGAGTTATGAATTATAAAAAATGAAAATGCTGTTTGGAAAGCAAACATAAAGATTTCATTTTCTGTTTTATCACACCAAATTGCAGAAGTGAACGCTCTTACATCATTATTATGCAACAGACACTCTGCTAGGAACTTTTTGTATTATTCTTGGAACCTCAGACAGATCTTCTGATACAGTTTCTCCCCTCACCCCCATTTTATAGATGAGGTTCCTGAGACTCACTGAGGCCCAGTAACTTAACTAAGCTCAGGTTACACAGCAAGGAAGTCACGGGTCTGCCATGCCCAGTCAAGCATGACATCAAGGCTGTCTCTCCACCATATCCTGCAGCCTTACAGGAAATTGGAGTGAAGTGCCACTGGCTCCCAAGTGACAGTGTGCTAACTTTCCTTGAAAGTAGGCTATACTTCTGGCTTTGTTCTTAATTGTTAGTATTGAATACATTATTTAACTTCTCTGGCTTTATTTTTGTTATTTCAGTCTTTAAACCAAAGTCTGTGTCTGTGTCTCCCTGTGGTTTGAGGAAAGAGGGGATAATGCTATGAAACTGTGCTCCCACCCCCACTCTACCGAAAACACTCCCTCTTTTATCTGTTTTATTGGTTGACTGATTGATTGACATGGCCTCATTCTATTGCCCAGGATGGAGTGCAGTGGCATGATCATAGTTTACTGCAGCCAGGAACTCCTGGGCTAATGCAGTCCTTCCACCCCAGCCTCCTGAGTAGCTGGGACTACAGGAGTACACCACCATGCCTGGCTAACTTATTTTTTTTTTTTTTATTTTTTTGAATTTTATGTAGAGACAGAGTCTTGCTATGTTACCCAGCCTGGCCTGGCCTTGAACTTCTGTTTGTTTTATTTTTTCGACTTCTGTGTCAGATACCATTTGAAGGCACAATTTCTTTGTTAAAATAAAACAAAACAAAACTTAAACCACTAAACTATATGATTTTTCCCATCTAGCTGACCATTTCTTTATGGATCTTGGCATACCACAACAGCTTTTTGTATTTTTCCTTTGGAAGAGAAAGAGGATATGGCCTGGGGCATCAGACTTTTCTTTTTTTTTTTTTTTTTTTTTTATTATACTCTAAGTTTTAGGGTACATGTGCACATTGTGCAGGTTAGTTACATATGTATACATGTGCCATGCTGGTGCGCTGCACCCACTAATGTGTCATCTAGCATTAGGTATATCTCCCAATGCTATCCCTCCCCCCTCCCCCGACCCCACCACAGTCCCCAGAGTGTGATATTCCCCTTCCTGTGTCCATGTGATCTCATTGTTCAATTCCCACCTATGAGTGAGAATATGCGGTGTTTGGTTTTTTGTTCTTGCGATAGTTTACTGAGAATGATGGTTTCCAATTTCATCCATGTCCCTACAAAGGATATGAACTCATCATTTTTTATGGCTGCATAGTATTCCATGGTGTATATGTGCCACATTTTCTTAATCCAGTCTATCATTGTTGGACATTTGAGTTGGTTCCAAGTCTTTGCTATTGTGAATAGTGCCGCAATAAACATACGTGTGCATGTGTCTTTATAGCAGCATGATTTATACTCATTTGGGTATATACCCAGTAATGGGATGGAGACTTTTCAATACAAGTTCCTTTCCATTGGGAGCATTTGGGTGCCAATGACAGGGCATTCAGGGAGGGGAGCGAACTCTTCGTGGGGCAGTCCTCTGTGTCTCAGGCTGCTGAAACATCTAAATTCCTTCTCTGTTATAATTGGGCACCAGCCTGCCACTTTTTCCTTTCGCTGTAACTTCCAGCAACCAAAGTTAAAGCCCCTGCCTCCCAGCGGAGGGAAATTACAATGTCAGGAATACGATAGAAGTAAAAACATATAAAAACAAAGAAACATAAATTACAATTTCTGTTTACTTAAAACATTGTAGAATTAAAGAAGTTTAAAAACAACTACAGGACTGGCATGGTGGCTCACACCTGTAATCCCAGCACTTTGGGAGGCCAAGGTGGGCAGATCACTTGAGGTCAGGAGTTTGAGACTAGGCTGGCCAACATGGTGAAACTCCATCTCTACTAAAAATACAAAAATTAGCCGGGCATGGTAACGTGAGCCTGTAGTCCGAGCTGCTCACTTGGGAAGCTGAGGCAGGAGAATTGCTTGAGCCCAGGAGGTGGAGGTTGCAGTGAGCCGAGATCATGCCACTGCACTCCAGCCTGGGTGACAGGGCAAGGCTTCCTCTTAAAAAATAAAATTAAAAATAATAATAATAAGAAGAAGAAAAATACAAAATAGCCGAGAAGCAAGACCAAATACCCTTTTATCCATAGCTAAGTTATCTGTGCCTTTATGCAACAATATTTTGTGTGTGAGTGCCTATACCGTTCATATATTGAAGCATCCAGTCACAGTTTGTTCATTTGGTAAGACAGTGGTGTTAATGGGGCCACGGTCAAACCTTAAGGGAGAGATAACGTTCATTTCTGTACATCAGGAGCTTTGCAAGCTATTTTACAGAAATATGTTTGTTGGTTTTAGGGAAACCCAAGCAAATTAATAGGGATGGCTCAATGCAATACCCAACTACACTAGGAAAAAGCAACTTAGAGTATTTGCCCTTTTGATGATGATTGCTAAATATCTGAAATGTAATTCCTTTAGTTACCCTTGGAACAATTGTCATAGTGAACTTTGTCATAGTAAACTTTGAGTTGGTTAAAATGAGTAGAATTAAAGTAGACTGAGACCCTGTTTTAGTTTTCTATTTAAAGTGAAAATGACTAGAGACTCTTGTTTTGTGTGTGGCTGCAGGTTTCCTAGAATTTGTCGGGAACTGAGATTTGTATAGTTTTGATTCTCATATTTAGATAGTTTTAAAAAGGGGAGGGCAGGAAATAATGACGTTTAACTAATTTCTGCACATAATTATGGAGTATTTGCTGTGTACCCAATATTGCTAGTCATTGCTTATAAGGAGATAATGAACTTACAAGCAAGACAACATTCATACGAGGAACCATTAAATAGAAGATGATACGTAATTAAGTGCCAAATGATTGGTACGAATCTCATGAACAGATGACTTGTTTCATGCTGAAGATCCTGCACAGAGACAGACGTGCTTTCATAAGGAGACAGACTGTTTGAGATGATCAGGATCAGAACGGGAAGTCAGGGATATGTGGTTATCATATGGACAGGAGGGGAGAAGCAGTGCAGGGTGAAAGGGGTAATCAGAGGCTTTTTCCAGGTATGCTCATTTGTTCTTTGCCTTGAAAGGTAAGTATTATTTGAATACATGGAAAGCATGGGGAGAATTTGGTTCTAAAAAGACCTGAGACTGAGTACAGGATGTTGTGGAGGATAGTAGATTATTGACTAAGATGGAGAAGTAAATTAAGATATGATCATGGAAGACCTTAAATATTAATCCAAAAAATGGTGATTTAAAGTGTATATTTCCAAAAGTCTTACTTAATTGCTTAATTTGGGTGACTGCCCTCTTTCTGGGGGGCCTCCACTCCACCTTAGAATTTGCCTCTATTGTTGAACCAATCATTCATTCTGAAAGGCACAAATTTATAGATATTTCTTTTGCCAACAGAGATGAAACTACATCTGGTTATCTTATTGGCATTTGGCTATTTTTGAAATTCTATATTAATTTACCTGTTATCAATTCTGCATTCATCAGTTTATCTACATCCATCAATATATGTATATTCTACAGATAGTTTGATTTTAACCATTTCACGTTGCATACTTAAAATTTAGAATTTTGTGATATATTGCTGTCATTCTTGTGTGCCGAGTGCAAAAGATTATAAAAATTAAATCCAGCTTAGCAATACATTTAATAAATTCAACTTATTGAAAAAAGTTTAAATGAAAGGAAATTGAAATGCGGCAACTATGTATCATTAATGTTACTGTTTGTTATTTGTCTGTTGTTGTATTCACGGGGTTGTTACTCTGTTGGTACAGTCATGTGCTGCTTAATGATGGGTATATGTTCTGAGAAATAGGTCATCAGGCGATTTCGCCCTTGTTTGAACACCAGAGTGTACTTGCAGAAACCTAGATTATATGGTATATGAGACACACCTAGGCTATATGGTATAGCTTATTGCTCCTAGGCTCTAATCCTGTGCAACATGTTGCTGCCTTAATGCAGTAGACAGTTGTAACACAATGGTAAGTATTTGTATGTCAAAACATATCTAAACATTTAAAAGGTACAATAAAAATGCAATAGAAAAGATAAAAGGCCAGGTGCAGTGGTTCATGCCTGTAATCTGAGAACTTTGGGAGGCTAAGGTGGGAGGATCACTGGAGGCCAGGATTTCAAAGACCAGCCTGGGCAACACAGCGAGACCCCCATCTCTACAAAATAAAATAAATAAAATGAAACAATGAAAAGACAAAAAATTGTACCATCATATAGGGCATTTACCATGCTTGGAGCTTACGGGACTGGAAGTTGCTCTGAGTGAATCGGTGAGTGAATATGAAGGCCTAGGACATCACTGTCCACTGTTGTAGACTTTATGAACAATCAACACTTAGGCTACGCTAAATTTATAAAAAATATTTATCTTTCAGTAACAACCTTAGATTACTGTAACTATTTTACTTTGTAAACTTTTAACTTTTTAAAACCTTTGGACTATTTTGTAATGATACTTAAAATACATATACATTGTACAACTATGCTAAAATATTTTCCTTATTTTCTTATTCTATAAGCTTTTAATAATGTTTTAGTTTTTATATTTTCTTTTTAAGCTTTCTGTTGAAAATGAAGACACAGAAACACACATTAGCCTGGACCTACCCAGGGTCAGGATTTTCACGATGTCACTAGGCAATGGGAGTGTTTTGCCTCCATTGTAATCTTACGTGTATGTATATAATTAGGTATATAATCTTTTGTATATGCAGTTAGTCATTGACTGAAATGTTCTTATATGGTGCATGACTGTATTTGTTTTTATTTGGAACTTACTTGTTTTTATTTCTAAATCTGAGTTTTAAATAGACACTACAATTACTTTCTTATGCTAATTTTTCTTAGTTCAATTTATTGTTTTAGGATATGATACTACCACTTCTGATTTGAAGGTATGAAGTTTAGCAATAAGATCATATATATTGTCCCTACAAAACCTGTGTTTGTGCCCCTCATATACATGGCAGGATCACCAGGCCATCAGAGCCTTCCTAGCAAGTAGTAACATGAAATTGAAATCTTTAAGTCTTTGGTAATATTCCTGCTCTCCCCTCACCCGTTTGCTCCTAACTATGAATTTCCCCATTTCCAATGTTTATGATCTTCGACACCTTCTAATTTGGGTATGAATTTTAAAAACACGGCCACATCTTATTAGTGCATTGAAATTTCTTTGAATGTCTTGTGTTAAAAGGAAAATTTATTAGGTGAGTTACAGCTGTGAGTAGCTAATATGAGACCCTTTCAGGCAGGGTTTCTTAACTTTAGGGGATCTGGAGCACCCAGATATTTGATGAAAAATTCGTATAAATGTTTATCTGATATTTTTTGTCAGGAGAGGGTCTGTAGCTTTCTCAAGGATGTCTTTCTCAAAGAAAACCACTTTTCTGAGACTTAAAGAACAGAAAAATCAGTGTATTATATTTTTGCCGGTCTTTCAGATACAACTGTTATC
Organism: Homo sapiens; assembly: GCF_000001405.40. Classification (NCBI taxonomy): domain Eukaryota; kingdom Metazoa; phylum Chordata; class Mammalia; order Primates; family Hominidae; genus Homo; species Homo sapiens. The sequence goes on along the minus strand of NC_000008.11, from coordinate 18,906,056 downwards.
CTAGTTCAATCACACTAATATGATGTTTACTATAAAATAATCTCTTCTAAGTAGTTCAGTTACTGAATATATATTGTTATAATTGTTTTTGCAAAGCGTATCTCATTCTAGAAAGATCAAAGAACCAATTTATACTTTGTTTCTTTTTTCATCTTGAAAAATGATATATTTACTGTAAAGAGACCACTTGCTTTAATCTTAGTAAGTATAGGGAGTGGTAAAAATTATTTTAGGCCTATATTCGTGAATTATTTGTATGTTAATATCATCCAGTAAAAAATAATGAATACCTTTTGACTTCAGAATACTATGATAGGTATTTAGGATCTAGAAAATGTAAGATAAAAAGTAAGTAGGGAAGACAGTATGAAATTATGAAAATATAAGGACGCATAGAAAAGTATAGGCAATATATGTTTTCAGAATAAAAGAAGAGGCCGGGTGTGGTGGCTCACGCCTATAATCCCAGCACTTTGGGAGGCCGAGGTGGGTGGATCACCTGAGGTCAGGAGTTCGAGACCAGCCTGACCAATATGGTGAAACCCCGTCTATTAAAAATACAAAAATTATCCGGGAATGGTGGTGTGCACCTGTAGTCCCAGCTACTCAGGTGGCTGAGACAGGAGAATTGCTTGAACCTGGGAGGTGGAGGTTACAGTGAGCTGAGATCGCGCCACTGCACTCCAGCCTGGGCAACAGAGCAAGACTCCGTCTCAAACAAAAGAAGAAAAGGAGAGGAGAAGTCACTGAGAGTTGGTGAGGCATGGAGAGCTTCATTGAGAGCTCAGGTTATGAAAGATGAGTAGGACAAAATTAGAGAGGGGGAAATAATTTAATAAGCAAAAGTGCAGAGGTGATCATGTAACTTAGGGGGGATGCTGAGTTGACCAATGGAGAGGCAGCTTTTTGTAATGGTTAACAGCTTGGATTCTTCATCCAGCTTCTAGTCCTGGCTATAAGCTACTTAAAACACTCTCGCCTCAGTTTTTTAATTTGCAAAGCTAGTACCTTTCTTATAATTTAATATGGTATGTATTTGCTATATTTTAAAAGAAAAACCTAATACACAGTGCCAGCAAGATAGCAGTAGGGAAATAAGGTGGGGAGTTAGTAGCCAGATTGCAAAAGTTCTTGAATAACAAGTTAAAGGAAAGATTGGCAAACTATGGCCCTTGGGCTAAATCCTATTCCTCTCTTGTCTTTCTAGATCACATTTTATTGGAAAACAGTCTTATGTTAATTTACTATTGTCTGTGGTTGTTTTGGTTGCAATGGCAAAGTTGCGTGTTTATGTAGAGACCTTATGGCCCAGAAAGGTTAAGGTATTTACTGTCTGGTCCTTTACAGAAAAAAATTTGCTGACCTTGAGTAAACAATTACAGCTGTAACATAATTACAGAAGATGTACTTAAAATTTTTATTTTGTTTTGTTATTTACTTCCAAGATACAATGGTAGTACAGGTATTGGGTACACATTACCATTTCAAAAGGGAGAGATCAGCCAAAAGAAAGGGGTAGTAGGCCCCACACAAGTCTGAAACCCAGCAGGGAAGACATTAAACCTTGAAGTTCCAACATAGTCCTTGACGCCATGTCTTGTATCCTGGGTACACTGGTACAAAGGGTGATCCGCTGAAGCCTTGGGCAGCCCCATCTTCATGGCTTTCTTGGGCACAGCCTGGGTTGGAGTGCAATGCCTGCAGCTTTTCTGAAGTTCAGAGTGCACACTGGCAGTGGCTGTACAATCCTGGGGTCTATAAGGTTGATCCCTCATGAGTGGCTTGGTGCCTCCCTGAGGTAATGAGTAGTTCTCACTCTGTTAGTTTATATAAGACCTAGTTGTTTAAAAGAGCCTAGCACCTCCTTCTCTCTCTCTTGTTCCCTCTCTCACCTTGTGACATGCCTGCTATCCCTTTGCCATGTACCATGAGTAAAAGCTTCCTGAGGTCCTGACCAGAAGCAAATGCTGGCACTATGCTTCCTGTACAGCCTGCAGAACTGTGAGCCAACTAAACCTCTTTTCTTTATAAATTACTCAGTTTCGGGTGTTCCTTTATAGCACTGCAAAACAGAATCATACACTTCCCCAGGCAGAAGTAGAGCCACATCACCTACCCCTCTCCCCGCCTTCTTGGGCTGAGCTGAAGTGGTGCCCTTTCTCCTGGGGAAACAGTACTTTGGCTACTCGGAGAAGTCACACCTTCCCTCAGCCTAAGTTGGAGGGTGCCACATGTCCCCAAAACGGTGCCTTGGCCCCCCAGAAAGGTCCTATATCCTAGTACCTAAGCTGAAGCAGCAGCCTGCATCCTAGGGAAACTGTGCCTGGGCCATCCAGAACAGTCAAGGCCCCCAGGCCTGAGCTGAAGGAGCACATTGGTCCCTGGGGTATCAGTGCCCTGGCTGAGCTAAGTAGCTACACATCCCTGGGCTGAACTGACATAGCACCCCATATAACAGGGAAGTAGAACAGTGGCTTAGCTGAGACACACTGGCCTATAGACCAAACAGCTCTTGTATCCTGCTTCCGTGGAGCTGGTCTAGGCCCTAGAGTCTGAGCTGTTGGGACACATCTGTTCTTGAGGAATGGAATCATCAATGTGCTATTTCCTGACCCCACACTCTTCACCCCACCATGCTGCAAAAAACAGCTATTCTTTGCCATTCCCAGGTACTTGCTGCCACTGCACCTGGCCTCACAGAGGCTCAGATGCTGACGATCACTGCCAACCCAGGGTCTAGAGTCACTACCACAAGGTGACTCATTCCCTGGGACCCGAGTTGCCGTTCGGGTCAAGTTCCCAAATCGCAGTCATACCTTGCACCTTGAGCCTAAACCTTCAGAGTATCACTTTCCTGGAGTTGGGTGAGTGCTTCACTGTATACCCTAAAAGTAAAATCACAGCTACAACCTGGCCCCCTGAGCCTGAGCTGCTAGGGAGTAGCTCTGAGTCACAGATCCTGGTTCCGGGGGCAACTTACATCCAATCCTTTCACAGACAGCAAGTTCGCACTCCAAGATGCAGGTGCCACAGGAGGTTCACAAGATTCTGAGCCTAGGACCCTGGCCCCACAGCCACTCCAAGCAACTCAGTGCTGTTACAGCCACTTGTAGGCCATGTCAGACCTGACACCTAGAGAAATCCCCTCATCTAAGTCTCCCCATTGTGTGGAAAATGAGAATAGGAGGACTGAAGACATTAGCAGCCTATGCCACTGTCACCACTGCCACGAACATCTACAACATACGCCACTGAGGCACCCACAGTTATTGCTGACATTGAATGCAGATGAAGAGTCTGCACAGAGACTCTACTACTGCACCTGTCTGGAAACAGTTACCACATTCTTTCCAACCAGCACAGTAAAACCCTACTGAAGGTCAAAGTCTTTCTGTACAAAAGCCAGTCTAGTAAGTTTGGAAGAGGCTACCGTTCCACCAGACATCAACACACAGATATCTGCCACACAGACATCAACACAGGGAGACAAGACATGAAAAGGCAAGGAAATATGACACCACTAAAGAAACATAATAACTCTGTAATAACAGACCTCAGTGAAAAAGAATTCAATGACTTGGTGGAATATGAATTCAAAGTAATAATTTTATGGTAACTCAGTGAAAAACAGAAAAGAGAGACAATTTAATGAAGTCAGGAAAACAATTCACCATGTGAATGAGAAATTCAGCAAAGAGAGAGAAATTATAAAAAAGAATTAAATAAAAATCCTGTATTTGAAGAATTCAATCAGTGAAATAAAAAAATACAGCAGAGACCTTCAATAGAAGACTTGATCAAGCGTAAGAATCTCTGAAGTGAAGAAAGCCTATAAGACTTGTGGGACACCATTAAGTAAATAAATATTTGTGTTATGGGATTTGCAGAAGGAAAACAGAAAGAAAAAAGCATAGAAAGCATATTTAATGAAATAATAACTGAAAACTTCCCAAGTTTGGGGAGAGATATGGACATCTAGAGCCAGGAATCTCAAAAGTCTCCAAATAAATTCCACCCAAAAAGGTCTTTTTTTTTCTTTTTTCTTTTTTGCCTGAGGCACATTTATGTCAAATTGACACAAGTCAAGGACAAAGAGGAAATTCTAAAAACAGAAAAAGAGGAGAGTCAAATCACATCTAAGGGACTCTCCATTAGACTAATAGCACATTTCTCTGCAGAAACCTTACAGGCTAGGAGAGAATGGGCTGATACATAGTCAAAGAGCTGAAAGAGAAATACTGCCAGCCAGGAATACTATGCCCAGCAAAGCTATCCTTTAGAGATGAGGGAGAAATAAAGTATTTCCCAGACAAACAAAAACTGAGAGAATTCATTACCACTAGGCCAACCTTACAAAAAGTGCTCAAGGGAGTCCTGCATCTGGAAGTGAAAAGATGAAAATCACTATCATGAAAACAGGCAAAATTATAAAACTCACTGGTGGAGCAGATACACAAAGGAGAAAGAGGAAAGAATCAAGACTTAGGCTACAGAAAACCACCAAACTGCAATGATAGAAAAAGAGGAAGAAAGGAACGAAAGGAGGAAGAAAGGAACAAAGGATATACAAACAACTTCAAAAACAAATTAACAAAATAACAAGAGTGTGTTCTCGCCTATCAATAATACCCTTGAATGTCAATGGATTAAATTCTCCACTTAAAAGATATAGACTGGCTAAATGGATGAAAAAACATGACCCAGCTCTATGCTGCCTACAAGAAACTCACTTTACCTGTTGACTATTAACAACACAGGTTTTGACCTGCACAGGTCCACTTATATTCAAATATTTTAAACAATAAATATGTTGTTTAATTTTTTGGGAGATTTGCAACAATTTGAGAAAACTTGCAGACAAACCATGTAGACTAGAAATACTGGAAAAATGAACAAGAGTTGTGACATGAATTCATAAAATATATGTAGATACTAGTTTAATCATTTATTACCATGAAATAGAAACACATCTACTTTAAAAAGTTAAAGTTTATCAAAACTTATATACACCAGACTGTACATGGTGCCATTTGCAGTCCCGAGAAATGTAAAGAAACATAAAGATGCAGTATTAAATCATAACTGCATACAATTAACTGTAGTACATACTGTACTATATAATAATGTTGAAGCCACCTGTTGTTGCTATTGCAATGAGCTTGAGTGTTGTATCTGCTTAAAACACTGTGTGATGCTAACAGCTCCATGTGAACCATTCATCTGTCCAGTAAATTATGTGTTGTATTAAAAAGTGATCTCCATGTTGGTGCACACCTGTAGTCTCAGCTACTTGGGAGGCTGAGGTGTCAGGATGTCTTGAGCCCAGGAGTTTGAGCTATGATTGTGTCACTGCATTCCAGCTTGAGTGACAGAGCAAGACCCTGTCTCCCAAAAAAAAAAAAAAAAAAAAAAAGAGTTGTCTCTCATGGTTTTTGTGTATTTTTCATCATGTTTAGTTCACTACTATAAACCTTAATAACACCGTGGAACCCATACAAAGTACCACTAGTGATGCTGGAAGTGCTCCCAAGAAGCAGGGAAAATTCATGATGTTATAAGAAGGGTGAATTGCTTGATATGTACCAAATGGATTGAGGTCTGCAGCTGTGGTCACCTGCCATTTCAAGATAAAAGAATCCAGCAGTGTAAGTACCGTTGTAAGAAAAGAAAAGGAAATTTGTTGTCACTGCAGCTCCCTCAGTAGGCACAAAACCTTGAACTTTTTTATATTGAAAATGTAGCTGTTATGTGGATGCAGGATACCTATAAGAAAATCATGCCTATAGACTCTACAATGATTTAAGAAAAAATGAGGTTAGTGTATGACAACTTAAAGCAAAAGGAAGGTGTTAGATCTAAACTTGGAGAATGTAATGCCAGCAAAAGATGGTTCGATAATTTTAGAAAGAGATTTGCCTTAAAAAATGTCAAGATAACAGGAGAAGCAGCAGACAGCCAAGAAGCAGTAGACAAGTTCCCAGACACCATTAAGAAAATCATTGAGAAGAATGGATATCTGCCTGGCAGGTTTCTTTCTTTTTTTTCTTGTAGAAAAAAAGTGCCCCCTTTCTGGAAAACAGTTCCACAAAGGACATTTATTAGTAAGGAAGGGAAGTGAGTACGAGGATTTAAGGCAGGAAGGGATAGGCCAACTGTATTGTTTTATGCAAATACAGTTGGATTTATGATGAGGAATGCCCTTGTCTATAAATTTCTAACCCCTGAGCCTTGAATAGAAAAGATAAACACAGATACCAATCTTTGGGTTATATAACAAGAAGACCTGAACAACAAGAACTCTTCTGCTGGATTGGTTCCATCAGTGCTTTGTCCCTAAGTTCAGGAAGTACCTTGCCAGTAAGGGACTGCCTTTTAAAGTTCTTTTGATATAGGACAATACCCTTAGCCACCCAGAACTCTATGAGTTCAACAGTGAAGACATCGAAGTCATCTGCTTGCCCCCAAACACAGTATCTCTAATTCAGCTTCTACATCAGGGGGTCATAAGGACCATTAAGGCTCACTACACACAGTGTTTTATGGAAAGAATTGTTAGTGCTATGGAAGAGAACCCTGACAGAACATCATGAAAGTCTGGAAGATTGCATCGTTGAAGATTCCATTGTTAAAGGAAAAGCTGTGAAAGCCTTGAAATCTGAAACAATAAGTTCTTGCTGGAGAAAACTTTATCCAGATGTTGTGCAGGACTTCACAGGATTTACATTTGAGCCAATCAAGAAAATCATGACAAGATATTGTAGATATGGGAAAAAAGGTATGAGGGGTGGTGAGGAAGGATTTCAAGATGTAGATATCAGAGAAATTCAAGAGCAAATAGGTATCACACCAGAGAAGTTAACAGAAGATGAATTGCTGGAGATGAGTGCTTCAAAATTAGTGCCAGATGATGAGGAAAAAGACGTGGAAGAAGCAGTTCTAGAAAACAAATTGACATGAGATAATCTGGCAGAATGGTTCCCATGATTCCAGACTGTTTTTGACTTCTTTTATGATGTTGACCCTTCTATCATATGGGCACTGAAACTAAAGCAAACAGTGGAAGAAGGATTGGTACTGTATAGAAGAAACATTTTTGGAGAAATGAAAAAGTTAAAAAGACAGAAACTATGATTATGTCTGTACATTTACACTGAATGTGCCTGCCTCTCTTGCTTCCTGTTCTTCTTCCTCTACCTTTTCTGCCTCTCCCATCCTTGAGATGAGGACAACTCCTTTCTCCTCCTCTTCAGCTTATTCAATGAGAAATTGAGGATGAAGACCTTTATGATGATTCATTTCCACTTAATGAATAGTAAATATATTTTCTCTTCTTCATCATTTTCTTAGTAACATTTTCTTTTCTCTAGTTTATTATAAAAATAAAGTATATAATACATACAACATGCAAAATATGTGTCCATTCCCTATTTATATTATCAGTAAGACTTCTAGTCAATAGTAGGCTAATATGTTAGTAGCTAAGTTTTTGGAGAGTCAAAAGTTATGTGGATTTTCAACTGCATGGTGGTGGTGCTCAGTGCCCCTAAATCCCATCTTATTCAAAGGTCAACTGTAGACTGAATGTGAAAGTATGGAAAAAGACATTCCATGCAAACAGAACCCAAAAGCAAGCAAATGTAGTCATTCCTATATCAGATAAAACAGACTTTAAGTAAACTCATGTAAAAAGAGACAAAGAAGGTCATTATACAGTGATAACAGGATCAATTCAGCAAGCAGATATAACACTTATAAACGTATATGTACCTAATACTGGAGCACCCAGGTAATCAAAGCAAATATTATTAGATTTAAATTGCACTTAAACAGGACAGTAATAGTTGGGCACTTAAACACCCCTCTAAGCATCAGATAGATCATCTATACAGAAAACAAACAAAGCAACATTGGATTTAAACTGCACTTTAATCAAACTCTCAGCAAGTTAGGTAAGAAGGAACATACCTCGACACAGTCAAAGCCGTATATGAGAAAACCATAGCCAACATTATACTGAACTGGGGAAAGCTGCAAACTTTTCCTCTAGCTCTGGAACAAGACAAGAATGACCACTTTCTCCATTTTTTTTCAGGAGTACTAGAAGTTTTAGCCAGATAAATGATCTTATATAAATAAAACTATGAAAGCTTCAAAAAATAAAAACCTCTGAACTGACCGTCTAATTCAGTAAAGTTGCAGGATACAAAATCAACTTAGAAAAATCAGTGGTGTTTCTATATACCAACATTCAAATAGCAGAAAAAGAAAGTAAGAAAGCAATTGCAGGTACAGTAGCTACAAAAAGTAAAATACCTAGGGAAAAATTTAACCAAGGAAATGAAATGTCTCTGCAAGGAAAACTATAAAACACTGATGTAAGAAATTGCAGCAGGCATATGCAAAAATAAAAACACATTGCATTTTCATGAATTGGGAGAATTAATATGGTAAAAATGGCCATACTACAAAAAGCAGTATACTCATTCAGTGCATTCCCTATCAAAGTACCAGTGTCATTCATCACAGAAATAGAAAAAACAGTCCTAAAATTTGCCTAGAACCACACAATACCCTGGATAGCCAAAGCAAGAAGAACAAAGCTTGAGACATCACACTACCGGACTCCAAAATATACTGCAAAACCATAGTAACCAAATAGCATAGTACTGTCATAAAAACAGATACACAGACCAATGGAACAGAATATAGAACCCAGAAAAATAAATCTCATCTTTATAGCCGACTCATTTTCAACAAAGGCACCAAGAACATTCACTGGGAAAAGGACAGTCTCTTCAATAAGCAGACACATCACGTCTCAAAAGAAGACATATAGATGGCCAACAGGTATATGAAAAAATACTGAACATCAGGGAAATGCAAATCAAAACCATAATGAGATATTATATCAACCTAGCTAGAATGGCTGTTATCAAAAAGACAAAACATAGGCCGGGCACGGTGGCTCACGCCTGTAATCCCAGCACTTTGGGAGGCTCAGGTGGGCGGATCACCTGAGGTCAGGAGTTCGAGACCAGCCTCAACATGGAGAAACCCTGTCTCTACTAAAAATACAAAATTAGCCGAGCATGGTGGTGCATGCCTGTAATCCCAGCTACTCGGGAGGCTGAGGTAGGAGAATTGCTTGAACCTGGGAGGCGGAGGTTGTGGTGAGCCGAGATCATGCCATTGCACTCCAGCCTGGGCAACAAGAGCAAAACTCTGTCTCAAAACAAAACAAAACAAAAAAAGACAAAACATAAAAAAATGCTAGTGGGATTAAGAGAAAAGGGAAACTCTTACACATTGTAGGTGGGAATGTAAATTAGTAAACCCATTAAGGAGGCCAGGCATGGTGGTGCACGCCTGTAATTCCAACACTTTGGGAGGCCGAGGTGGGCAGATGGCTTGAGCTCAGGAGTTCAAGACCAGCCTGGGCAATCTGGTGAAACCTCATCTCTACAAAAAATACAAAAATTAGCTGAGGTGGTGGTGTGTGCCTGTAGTCCCTGCTACTTGGGAGGCTGAGGTGGGAGAATCACTTGATCCCAGGGGGTCAAGGCTGCAGCAAGCCAAGATTGCACCAGTGCACTGCAGCCTGAACGACAGAGCGAGACCCTGTCTCAAAAATAAAATAAAAGTATAGCCACTAAGGAAAAACAGTATGGAAGTTGCTCAAAAACTAAAAATAGAGCTCTCATATTATGCAGCAATCCTACCACTTGGTATATATCCAGAAAAAAGGAAATCAGTATGTTGAAGATCTATCTGCACTCCCATGTTTATTGCAATACTATTCACAATAACCAAGAAGGGGAATCTACCTATGTGTCCATCAGCAGATGAAAGCATAAAGAAAATGTGGTATATACACACAATAGAATACTCTTTTGCAGTAACAAAGAATGAAATTCTGTTATTCATGGCAACATGGATGAGTTAGCTTGGGGACATTATGTTAAGTAAAATAAGCCAGGCATAAAAAGATAAATACCGCATGTTCTCACCCATATGTGGAAGCTAAAAAAGTTGATCTCATAGAAGTAGAGTAGAATAGTGGTTACTAGAGGCAGGGAAGTGTGGAGGGGAAGGGGAGTAGGTATAGCCAAAGGTTAGTTAACGGATACAGGATACAAAGGTACAGCTAGCTAGGATGAATAAGTTCTAGTATTCTATAGCAGGACTGGGTGAGTATAATTTACAAACATTTATTGTATATTTTCAAATAGCCGAAAGAGTGGACTTTTAATGTTTTCAACACAAAGAAATGATAAATGTTTAAGGTGTTAGATATGCTAATTACTGTTCTTTGATCATATCACATCATATATGTGTGTGGAAATACACTGTATCTTATAAATATGTGCAGTTACTATCTGTAAACTGAGAGTAATAATAAAAACCCCCAACACACAGGTTTCTTTTGTGCTTTTGTCAGAAATTAAAAAAGGAAAAGTGCTATAGGAAAATTAATCTAGCAAACTTGCTTAGAGTGGATTGGAAGATATGAACCAGTGTTGAGGAGGGAGACTTGTTAGGGTTGGCATTTAATTCCAAAACGAATTGTATGCACTGTAGACAAGAGATGCTGATAGGAATATAAATGCGTAAATGCATGAGACTTTCAGAAAGTCATGATAGTCTTGGTGACTGTAGATAGGGGGAGATATGATGACTCTGAAGTTTGGCAGTAAAGTGACAGGAGATGTTAATGATGCATCTGAAATAGGAATTCTCCACCATGAGCTAGTTTTTCAGGGAAGGCAATCACTTTGGTTTTGACATGTTAAATGTGTGACATGGGGCATCTGCCAGACAGTTGGGAATTGTTGACTCTTTGCTGTATTCTGCTTCTCTGGATATGCCCAACTTTCCAGGGGATGATAGGTGCAGGGGGCACACAGTTCAGAGAGCAGGCTTCCTTGATTGCCAAGAGCACATACAGGATCTCAGGAAAGTGAGACTCTGTCCTCAGTGCAGGATTCCTGTTTTCCGTTGGTGTCTTTCAAAGGGTGGGGTGGCCTTCTGAGATAATGTAGATATGTAACAGCATGGCCTGTCACTGGCAATGACTTGACCACTGTCTGTGAGAGATGCACAGGACAGAGTACCCAAAATCTCTCTTGAGAGCTTTAACACTTCATACAAAACTCAGATCCTTCCCTTTCATTCAAAACATGAGATACTTGTCCCTTCCGGATGTCTCCTCAGACCTTCCCGCAAAGTGAGCTAACTAGACCATGTGTGAGCTTCTCCTGGTTATGGTTTACTTTGTATTTTTTTCTCATTACGTTATTATCATAGGGTGGGAGTTCCGATTGTCAAGACAGATGCGAATGTAGCTTTGAGATGGTTAATTCTGCTTGGTAAGATTTCTTTTGTATTTGCCTTTCTTTATTCTTGGGGTTAAAAGAATACAATCTCATCTACAGTTATCTTGCTTTCATCTCTCCTTGTTCTGTTACCCAGTTCAAGTTTAGACTCCTGCCTCAGATGTCTGTTCTGGCTGATTGACATAGTTGCTTCTGAATGGACTAAATTACTGACATCTTTTGCTTTTCCTGTGTAATAGTTTCTATTTGGTGATTCCTTCTCACACAACGGAACTGTGAGGTAGCCTGAAGCCTAGGGGAGATGTCAGGTCTGGACACCTGAAATTATCATCATAGAGCTATGGAATTATTGATGTAGAGCCTTATATTTAGTCATTTTGAGGTTTTCATGTGCCGCTTCATGTGACTTCTGTCATTTTAATCTTACAAAAACCCGTGAAGTAAGCATCTTGTTTGCCTACAGTGATTGTTTGAATTAGGTTCAAAATTAATTGTACAAAAGCCTGGGAGTACAAATGTACTTTGTAGTGAGTACAAAAGGCTGGAAAAGAAAGGCAGAATTACTGGCCCAAATCACATGGTAATGTAGCAAAGGCTGGTTCCCAGCACTGGTAGTAATAACAGCTAATTCTTACTGAATATTTCCTATGTGCTGGGCACTGTTTTAAGCAATTTATATATATTGACTGACTTAGGGTACATTTGCCACCGCACCGGTGTGTTGATTGGATGATAGATATTGCTTCCAAGCTCTTGCATTTTGAAAGGCAGAGAATGTGAAATAAGAAGAACAGCGGGTGAAAAACTAATCCCTGGGCCTTCACCTATCACTAAAGGGGAGTGGGAGAAGTACAACAGGCCAAGGAAATGGAGCAGAATGGCAGCCGTGGCAGAACCGCAGCTGGGAGAGCATGTTGCCTGTGAGCCAGTGAGAGAGAGGGATTCTAAAAGAAATCCTTTACCCTGCCTTTCCTTTAGTTGGCCAGACTGTGCTCTGCTCCTGGGCCTGGGCCTGGAGTTCTGATCCTGCTTCCCTGCCCTCTAGCACATGGATGTGCTCTGCTCCTGGGCCTGGGCCTGGAGTTCCGATCCTGCTTCCCTGCCCTCTAGCCCACCGATACCCTCATTCATCCCTACAGAGAGGTGGAATGATACATTTCACTTTACTTGATACTTGAGACGAAACTAGACTGTTTGAAGAAAATCTTATACTGAAAGAAAGAAAAAATAAATAAAAAGAAACGGCTTAGAGTTACAAACCTAATTTAACCAAAGGCTAGCTGGAAATCAACTCGATAAGTACAGTTTATCGAGCCCTTCTGGCTGGTTCCTGTTGCCCACTTAGATGCCATTTGGATGCTTAGTGACTTTTCTACTTTTAGGGAGATTCAGTTACTCCCAGAACTTGCTCTTGCTTTTTCTTTGGAGGTATATTATATAAACCCCCTCAGGTCAGCCCCTTAAGCCCATCCCTCTGTTTGCTTCCTGCTCCCATGCTGACCCCGCACCCTGTGATTCTGATTCCATCCCAGGCTCAGTACATGGCGAAAGCAGTTTCTCAGCTCACCATCAAAGTGCTTCTTGCCCAGTACATGCAACCGTGTTTTATGCCATCTTGACCTTGCAATTTGATGCTGGTACTTTCTGGGGTTCTCAGTGACATGGGGATACAATAGTGCACAAAACAGATACATATCACTGACTTCTTGGACATTTATTTCATTTGCATCAGTTGCACTAATATTTTGATTACATTCTGAATCATATTATCCAGTTGTCAGTATAAGAATTTACTTAGGGGCTGGGCACGGTTGCTCACATCTGTAATCCCAGCACTGTGGGAGGCTGAAGTGGATGGATTATTTGAGGCCGGAAGTTTGAGACCAGCCTGGCCAACATGGTGAAAACTCGTCTCTACTAAAAATACAAAAGTTAGCCATACGTGGTGGTATATGCCTGTAATCCCAGCTACTTGGGAGGCTGAGGTGTGAGAATCGCTTGAACCTGAGAGGCAGAGATTGCAGTGAGCCAAGATGACGCCACGGCACTCCAGCCTGGATGACAGAGTGAGGCCCTGTCTCAAAAAAAAAAAAAAAAGAAAATTAGGATAATATTGGAAATAACTGGAAATACCCAGACTACTCAACAATGACTAAATTGTATTACTGATGATACATCGTGTGTTCATTAAAAATGTTTATGGCCAGGTGCGGTGGCTCACGCCTGTAATCCCAGCACTTTGGGAGGCTGAGGCAGGCAGATCATGAGGTCAGGAGATCGAGACCATCCTGGCTAACATGGTGAAACTCCGTCTTTACTAAAAATACAAAAAATTAGCTGGGTGTGGTGGCGGGCGCCTGTAGTCCCAGCTACTCGGGAGGCTGAGGCAGGAGAATGGCATGAACCCAGGAGGCAGAGCTTGCATTGAGCCAAGATAGCACCACTGCACTCCAGCCTGGGCAACAGAGCGAGACTCTGTCTCAAAAAAAAAAAAAAGTTTATATGGTTTATATTAATAGAAAATAAAGTTTGTGTGTGTGTGTGTGTGATTGTAAGTAAGTGACAGCAAACAATAGGGAAAGAAAGATTAAAATTCTCCAACTGTGCTAGAAAAAAAGTGCAAATAATGTAAAAGAGTGACTTTGTTCTCTTCGGCTCTTCTTTATGTTCACATGTGGGCTGCCAACTAAATGCCCCTTTTGTAAACTTTGGTCTGAGGGTTGCTTCTTATTCTTTTAACTGTGTGTTGGGTTAACTTCCTCTATATGCTTCAGGTTGCCTAAACTTTCTCTATATTCTTCTTTTGTAAAAAGGAATGAATACTCAATATATCCCAAAGTTAGGGTGAGGATGTTTTTCTCAAAAAGATACCAGAAGAGAGGGAGTGGTCTTACATTAAGTTCTTAAAGTGTTCTGTATTAGGGATCCTCTTTTGATTATTTTGATTAACAAAGAATTCTTTGGAGAAAACATATGAGCTTGAAATAACTATAGATAATGTCAGTTTGGAATGCTTATGGAGATCACTAAAACAGGGTAAAAAGAGGGAGAAAACAAGTTGAACACACATTTAGTAATTCTTTCTGGGGAAGTGCTCTCGGAGGTGCAGGTGTTGGATGTTGGATAAACCAGCTTCTTAAAGATGACTTTTCTAGGTCATACATGCAGTAAGTGATGTTCAGATCACTGCTAGTGAATGGATACTGTAGGTTAGGATAGAACTTCCATCACACATTTAAAAAATTGCTGTATCTCAAATAACTTAGAACTGAAGATGCAAGATAAGGAGACTGTAGTCGTAGCAAAGATCCTTATGACAAATTACACATGAAAATCTTGAACAAAATCATTTCCTGAAGTGGAAGCGAACGAAAACGCATTTATTTATTGTTTTAATGTATTATGTGATTTTATATATGCAAATTAACATAATAAAATATTATAAGGAGCCATTTGATTATTTCATCCATCCTAAAAATTTAAATATTCAATATGGCCAATAACTTTTTGCCCCATTGGAATTTATAGAGTACCTAACAGTTACTTAGAGTTGCCTTATATTTAGGTATACCTGATATCTACCTGGTAGGGAGGTTTTTAAGGATTAAATGAAACAATTAATTGGGTGTGTGTGATGTAGCAAGCATTATCCATAGTAAGCTCTGGGTTAACAGGGACTGACAGAGACCTGCTGTGAGATCTGCTTCCTGCTCTTTTTTGATCTTTCCTTTCTATCACAGGCTGGGTTAGGACACAGAAACTGGTAGAGAGTTTCTTAGAAAGTGACAGGGGAGGCCTGAGAGGTGAAAAGCATCTTGCTTGGTCCCTGGAAGACAGGAATCTCAAAATGTTCATTGTGACTTTCTGCCACTCGACCCCTTTTCTCTTTGTTCCCCCTCCCCCACCCTTACCCCCAGTGCAGTTTGCAGCACAGGGAACACACATCACTTCTGTGCTGAGAGGGATCACACTCAGTAACTCAAGACAATGAGCTTAGCTACTTTGTTCATCTGTGAAGTAGCTCTAGGACAATTATAGAGGTTTGCAGGTGACTTGTAATTACCTCTTTATTACATGTAATGTTTCCAGCATACAAACCTTTTATACTGTATGTTTCCCAACGAGCTTACCGGGAGGGTCGTATGTATACCCTTTATAAGTTAAATTTCACTTTTGAGGTTTTGTTTTCTTTTCAAAACAGCGTATTAGAGTACAGAGCTCTGGCGTGACTATCATTATTGACAGGTTTTGGCTTTTCACCTCTCTCCTCTCGGCTCACTTGGATTTATTTCACATAATATCTTCTTGGAATTCTGATTTTCTCTCTAGATTAAGCTTGAACATTTAGATGTACCTGGTAATGGAGACAACAGACTAAAATACAAAAACTCAATTTTTATAAGCCTTAAATTGGCATTGAATTTTTTTTTCAAGATCTAAGAACCAGACTGAAAAAGTATTAAATTGAGCTAGGAAAACTGATTTCTTGTTTACTGGAACTTGTTCAATGAAGGAAAAGTTACTTTACATAAGGAATTATTGTTACCAGTTCCTCCAGTAATCTTATTGTCTCCTACGTGGATCCCGTGCTTTAAAAAAAGGTAACAATAAAACAGAGGATGTTATGATAATAAAACTCGATATCATGCAGTCAGTCTTGATTTGTGAAAAAGTTGTATTTCTAAAAATCTTATATCAGGTTGGGCAATAATAGCTTGCTTGCCTGTTTATATTACTTTATTTGAAATTTTTTAGAAATAACACATTATATCAAATAAAAATTTATTACCTATAGTTTGTCATTTCCAAACTAAACTTTGGAAAGCACTAGTGACTTTCGAGTCTGGAAATACATTGTGCATTTGAAATTTTGTTCCTGATAATTAGTGAGTAATCATTTGTTCCTCCCAAAATTTTGTTCTAAAATTTGTACATGGGGTTTTTAAAAATTCAGGTATGGGGAGACATCCAGACATGGAAATGACTGTTATGAAAGAGGTTTATGCTTACAGATCCTTAGACACAGGAGGCTCAGTACATTGCACGGGATCACAGGGAAACACCAGGTTGGGATGGGAGCCGGAGATGGGAGATGGGGGAGCATGGCCCAGAGCCTTTATTGTTTGTTTGTTTGTTTGTTTTTTCAGAAGGGAACGGGCAAGACAGGGTAGCCAAGCTGGGTAAGTTTAAGATTGGCTAGTTTGAATAATTTTGGCAGGCTTTGGGCTATAGGGATGGCCCCCAGTTGTCCAGGACCTGGGCCTGGGTGATTTAGGATGGGGGAATATTACCTGCTGTGGCTCTGGATTGGTTGGTTTGTATATCACAGGCACGCTCGCACAGGGGTGTTTTCTGTCTCTAGGAATTAGCCAGCCCAGGGAGGAACAGTCTCTCCACAGTCAAGGCCCCAAATACGGGAGTATCAAGAACACAGATAATAAGAGAATATAATCAATACAAACAAAACAAAACAATTGAGGAGTTGAAGATGGCACTGCTAAGCAGGTGCTGTTTTTGTGCATGTTTTTAAGAGATGGTGCTGTAAAAGACTAGAGAACATGTAAGTAATTTATTTCTGAGCTTTACGTTTTGAAATGGTGTTTTAGGGGGTTAGTCAAAGTAAGTGTTAACTAAAGCCTAATGCGATATGCTATAGACATTTGGAAAACTTGAATTCAGTAACCTGACCCGTGTAAATTTCTCCCCCATGTGAAGATGGTGGGTGGGGGTGGGAGGTCTGTGGTGGGTAAGGGGTGCTTTCAGCTTTGCCCCGCTAGCTTATGGGATGCTCACAATTCCTCAGGGCTGCTTCACTTCCAGCTCCATCTTCTGAATTCCAGGCATAAGGAAGAGGGAGAACAAAAGGGCGCTTACCACTCTTTCCTCCCCTTGGAAGGAGCGGTCTTAGAAGGCTTGCCCAACAAATCCAGCTTACATCTCATAGGGAATTGGTGATTCACGGACTGGTTAGTGCTTGTATGAAGCCAGCAAAGGTTGTCCTTTCTGCTGTTGAAACCAACTCAAAAAATAGCTCTTCTTTGAGAGGATTTTGAAAAGGGAAGAAGTGGGTAGTTTTATAAAAAATGTAATTCTACTAAAAGTCATAGTGATTATAGTATCAGTAATAAAACCTTGAGCTTTTATTCTATACTGGTTGCTACTCTGAGTGCTTTATGTATTTCTATGTACAGTTCATTTAGTCCTCAGAAAACCCCATTATTATTCCCGTTTTTTTTTTTCAGATGGAAATTGAGGCTCACAGAGGTTAAATAACTTGCTCAAGGTAACATAATTGGAAAGTGACGGAATCCAGATTAATAGCCGAGATTGTTTGCTTTAACCACGTGGTTATACTGATCTGTAATTTAAACATCTCTAGCTCAGAGATAAGGAAGCTAAAGCTGGAAAGTTTTAAGGCATTGGCCCAAGGTCATGCCGGTAGTCGGCACTGAGCTTCTGTTTCTGGGTGTATTTCCACTACCCTGGTGCTGTCTCTAGGTGCACACTCTCATCTATATCCTCTTATATTTGGGCCAGGCTTCTTGAGAGGTGGATATTTTTGGCTTGCGATGGTTCTGAATCCTGAAAATTATATTCTTTCTTTAGACTTCTTTTACTTGGCAAGGAATCCCCCTGGAGGCACTTTAGCTTAGGGGTAGGGAGGGTGGACTTTAGAGGCACATTGCCTGTGTTTGAATCGTGGTTGTGCCAGCGTTAGCCGTGTGATCTTGGACAAGTCACACACCTCTCTTGAGTTTTAGTAGTTTCATCTATAAAATGGGTTAATC
Organism: Homo sapiens; assembly: GCF_000001405.40. NCBI lineage: Eukaryota > Metazoa > Chordata > Mammalia > Primates > Hominidae > Homo > Homo sapiens. The sequence goes on along the minus strand of NC_000008.11, from coordinate 18,887,935 downwards.
ATAGTAGCCATCCCACAGGGCTGCTGGTAGAAATAGATGAATTAATACAATAAAACTGCTTAGTATAGTGCCTGGCACATAAGTAAATACTTTCTATCCTGCTTATATTATTACTTATCAGAAACGTTCTCCAAATTAAACTGAACACATTTTTCAGCACCCTGTTTGGCACTCAGTAAATGTATATGGAATGAATAAAAGCAACTGTGAAGTGGTTTGTATTGTCAGCCCATGCATCCTCATACTGGTTGGAAATATTAGGGTTACAGAAGATTGGAATCTTCATGTTATTTTTAATATTTGTATTAATAGCCATTATCACTATTAAGTATCAATAATATTACAATATCTTACTCATCTTCTGCTACTTTCCACCTCACTTCACTTTTCTCATGTATAAACCTATTAGTTTTTACATTTGGTGCTTTTATACTGAGACTGTGTTGAAAGACATTGTATACATACAAGGTACTGTAAGTGATATAAAAGTTTATGGCTTCATATTTAAAAATGGATGTTACTGGTTTTGAGTCTTCTCATGTCACATTTCCAAGTAACAGCAATCACCCATTAAATATTAATTTAATCACAGGAACAAGATACAATCGTCACTAAAATGACTTTAAATGGTAGCATCACTAAGCAGTGAGATAAGGACTGGCAAAGCAGGATTTGTGTCATTCTGTGGCAGCTTTTAAACAATGTGTTTGCATTTCCCTTGTCCGTTAAAATAATACAAGAATTAAACCCTTTTAAAGAGAACCTACCCATCTCTTTCCCATGTGTCATTCTTGCATCAGAGAAAATGCTGCATAATACTAAGATGACAGCCCCACCTCTGATGTCACCCAGGATGGTACAATCCTCTCCAAGCCTTTGCTGGGCTTCCTGCTGCTGCACTGGGGGACATGGTTACATTAAAGCTAACTCCCGTCATCTCAATTATCTCCTTGGAAGTAGTTTTCACAAATATAAAAACGCCCTACGGTGGCTGTTTTCGGTAAGCTACCAAGGTAGAGAGCGGCAGAGGCAGACAGGGAGAGCAAACGGGAGAACAGGCTGCTTCCGCCTTTGTGAGAGGGACTGAGGCAGCAGCTCCTCTCGGCTCGGGTTCCAAGTGCTCAAAGTGCTTCCATTTCCATCACCGTGTGCAGTGCAGGGCAAAAGGGGCTGCCAGGAAATCTGAAACTAATTTGCTTCCAGTTGACTAGAACAGCATATTTTGAATTAGCTTGCTTCTTTTTAAGCTAACTTTTCTCAAGCGTTAAACTGATGAACTGGGCATTTTCTATGATCAATGGGTAACTGCTGGAGCTACAGTAATCTCTGTGAGTAACCTCTATTTGTAGGTCTATGCAGGCAAATATATTTTTATATATCTATTTCTTTTAAATGCTGCTGTGAAAGTATCCGTCTGTATTATTGACTGCTTTTGCTTACTAGTCTTGTCTTTCGAGCGTCCCAGTAGGAGACCCCTGGGGCTAGACCAGGTTCTGCTGAATCCAGACATAGAGGAGAGCATTTTGCATTTATTCGGGGATGCCCGCGCCAACCATTCTTTAATTCCCAGTCATCAGAGAGATGCCGGCTGCCCTCTGAATGCCTATGCCCAGCACCTCACCTGGCTTTACCTGGAATGTTGATTTCAGCATGTGACATTGAGTTTTTCAAAATTTTTATTTTTATATAGAAAGCAAAATATTATTCTTACCTGTAATCTTACTTCTTTTCTTTTTTTTTTCCCCACAAGCTTTCCTGGGAACACACAATTCTGTCACCCTATGTCTGCTCCCTGTTTGTGATATATTATATAGACAGAAAGAGAGAAAACAGGCTACCCCTCCAGTTTTAGAAAGACATAATGTTGTAGTGCTGGATGGGAATAGGGGAGGAGTTTCTCTTAAAGAGCTCAAACTGCTTTCCATCTGTGTGCCTGAAGTACAGCTTAGTATCTGAATAGCCTTGAAGGGAACAAGGTTAGCTCAAAGGTAGCACCAAAAATGTTCTGGAAACACGCTAGTTGAGGCTGAGATAGAATCTTTACTGGAAGTTTGTAACAGGTATCTCAGTTTACACACAAGGATGTGTTTTTCCTGTTTGTTAAAAGTGTCGCTTTTATAGTAATTCAAGATTTATTTCTCTCTCACCATGGAAACTGACTTTCAACTCTCTGCAAAATTTGCATTTCTAGATATACTTGGGACAATTGTTTATGTCAGATTGTAGCCTGAATCCTTAGTGAAACTGTGGGTCTCTTATTGAGCATGAAAACTACTGGCTGCAAATGTGGATCAGCTGAGTCCTGAGTCTGCTACACACTGGAGGCTGAGTGAGGTGGCGTGTTTACCACTGCACCTAACATCTGTCTTCATAGACAGAAGTTTAAAGAAGTCCACAGCTGTAGTTGATCATCACTGTGAAGAACTCCAGCTGCTTGGCATTCATGATTATTTTTTAAAAGAATTGTATGGTTTTTTGAAACATCAAATTCTTAAATGTCCCAATATTTCCTACATATATACGAAACAGTTTATATTAATCTTACCATATATGTGTTAATTTTAGCAGAAGAAAGCTTGCTGTGAGCGAGACTGTGGGGTTATTTAAAAGTTTAGTTTAAACTTTTTTTTGTCTTTTAAAAATAAAATTAAAACTAAAGAGTCAGTAAAGAGAGAAATTTTACAATTGGATTTTTAAAAGTATGGATTCCCCAACAGAAAGGATCGTAGAAAGTGGACAGAATGGATGAAATCAGAGGGGCATCCCTGATCAGAAGGTAAAAGGCTGAAAGGAGAAGCACAAGATGTGGATATAAAAAACCAGAAGTTATGACAAAGAGAGGCAGACAAGAGTGGAGAACCCCACTGGTTGAAAAAGGAAACCAGCTTTGAAAAACGGCAATTTTAAAGATGAGCTCAAATTCAGCTCTTACAGCTTAGTGTTTCTTCTCTGTAACAGGTAACAGTGCTCTGCACAGTTGCAGAGACTACGGTTTAAAATTAATGGGCTGTTCCCTGTCTCACTCAAGCTTCCCTTTGGTATGCTGTATGCGGTGCCACTCCTTAGCTCACAGAGCTGCCTCTGAAATTGACTGAATGGTAAACTAGTATCATTTCTCTAGGGATTAGAGCTGAATAAGAAAAATTGGGTTCTGAATCATTAGTATGTGAAATTTAGTTTGCCGTAAGCACAGCTGTAACTATTAATCACTTGGGGAAAGAGTGTCCAATTAATGGAATATTTTCTGTTCGTGTGCACACGTTAGAAGCTTGTGTAGTGGTTGGCAGGTCTTTTCCTGTTTTTTTTTATTTTTTTCCTAACACATAAACAACTTAAATATCTGTGCCTTTAGCATTATCAGTGTCCAGGCAATAGCCAGCATCCTGGATTACATACCGTAGTTTTCTTCAAAATGTGACTTTTCTTAGGGTGAAGAGAGTGTCTTAAAATATAATGTATTTAGATTACTCATTTAGTAATTCTCATTACTCATATTCATTTTTCCGTTATTTTTATCATACCAAATTTATTTTCTATTGCTGGGCAAAATGGGTTAGATTATCCTCTTGTTTTATTTTAATACAAATTTTACTATTGCATTGCAAATTTGAGTCATGTATCACTGTGTTGCTGGTGAAGTTTATTGATTATTAAACGTAAAAATGTTGATAATTATTACAGTTAAGGATTATAGTTACTTATAAATGAAATGCATTTGAGATTTTTTTTTTAACTCTGCAAGGCTTGCTCTTTATATTTGTTTTGTAAATTAAGCATTTATCTTCCAATCTTACAGATTTATGAAATTTCACACTAAGGGATCAGAGTGGTCACTCTTTTTCCTGCCCTCGTCTTTGGAACTGAATTCCTTTCTGACAAGTGAGGGGAATGTGATTTTAAGCTTGCTTCTATAAATTTTCAAGTGTTAAAATAGCTTACTAATTTATAGTTTTCTTGTACTAACATAATATTAATATGTTTTAAGGTGTTTACTAACTGGTATTCATTAGGGAACAGAGAACACCAAAGATGTTATTGCATTTATGAATATCACATGTAGAAAGGAGGGAAAACAGATTATTAGTGGCTGGGTTAGCCATAATTTATAAAGGATTGAAAATCCGATGAACTATAGTCATAGGAAATAGATTATAAGACCCTTAGTGCATTCTCCATAGTATCTTATCAGACTGAATTTCCCCGTACATTTCTATTTTAAAAGCAACGCATCCAAAGATATGAACATTAAAAACCTTGGGAAAATATTCTGGTTTTTAAAAATTGGAAAGTCCTTACCCTTCCCTGAGCCCATTTCTTTAAGCTCCAAAGTAATTTTTTTAAGGCTGTGTACAAATAATAATATACAGGTTTTGACTAATGGTCAAGTTTACATTTGCAGTTATTTTAGGATCTTTTTGTGTAAGTAGAGAGTCATTGGCCATTCATTGTGAGAGAAATTTACTATGAGCTGTAAAATCAAGAAGGGGTCATATTACAGCAGAGGCAATTCTCTTCCTCTCTTGGAAAGGGACCGGGGTTACTTGGTAATTTGAGGGTAAACCCAGACCAGAATGATCAAGTGTTTCTCTTTGCAGTAATGAGATTGTTTTCTTGGAACTTACTTTAGTTGATGTCTATTTGATTGAACAGTTGGACCTCTGAGTTAGGAGGCAGGCAGTTATGATCTCTTTTAAAATAAAAAAGTAGGCATTAAATGTAATCAGAATGACTTGTAGATATTGTTGTAGTTTTCTGGAGGTGTGTTTCTCATCCTGTAACGTGTATACAAATCCTCTGGGATTCTCGTTAGAAACCAACAGGATTCTGATTGGGAATGTCTGAGGTGGTGCCTGAGAGTCTGAATTTCTAACAAGCCTCCTTGGTGATATCTATGCTGCTTTCTCAAGACCACACTGAGTAGAAAGGCTCTAGGGCAGCACTTTCAAATAGAGCTTTCTGTGATGACGGAAATGTTCTCTGTGTATAGACAGATACAGAAATATACAGGTATCTATACAGACATACATACTCCACTATACAGATATATGGATATCTGTGTGTGTGTGCGTGCGTGTGTGTGTGTGTGTGTATATATATCTACATAAGCTATATATATGTATATATATATCCATATATCTGTATAGTGGAGTATGGTAGGTATTAGCTATATATGGTATGGAGCACTAAGGAACTACAATTTCAATTTTATTAAATTTTAAGTAACTTAAATGTAAATGTAAATAGGCTTCTGTGGATATGGCTACCAAATTGGACAACACAGTGTTAGAGAGAAATCCATTGAGAAATTTATACTTAATGGTATCAGCTCATGTAGGATCATGCTGAATTCTAGAATAGGCTGAGATTATCTCCACTGAAATTTACCACTGCCTGAACTTTGTTTGCGAGCAGACAGTATATATAGATGGAGCTGCTGGATTGTAAGCTCCTTGATGACAGAGGCCAAGTTGCTCTTGTTTGTTGCCCTTTTCTCTGCTGCTTGATGCATTCATGGTCCACAAGAAATGTTGGCTGAGTAAATGAGAGAATGAACTGGCTCTAATATCAGGAAGCGCCCTACTGTTTCCTGAATCCTTTTCAAGCCTGGACTTAGAAGCAACGGGTAGGACTTGGGTGACACTAACATATAGTGTTTTGCTTATGTTTAAGGAGGCTGCTTTTTTGCTTCTGTCTTAAGGTTTTTTGTTTGTTTGTTTGTTTGTTTGTTGAGACAGAATCTTGCTGTGTTGTCCCGGCTAGAGGGCAGTGGCACAATCACAGTTCACTGCAGCCTCAACCTCCCAGGCTCAAGCAGTCCTCTCACCTCAGCCTCCCAAGTAGCTGGGAGCACAGGCACACACCACCACACCTGGCTAAGTTTTTAAATTTTTTGTAGAGGAGGGGTCTCCCTGTTTGCCCAGGATGGTCTTGAACTCCTGAGCTCAAGTGAACCTCCTGCCTCAAGCTCCCAAAGGGTTGGGATTACAGGCGTGAGCCACCTCATCTGGCTTTCACCTTCTATTAATTGGTATCCTATTGGTTCTGGGACATTCATAATTGATTGCTTCAACAAAAATACCCATTTTGCTAGGTAAAATTGTTATAGGCTCTGGAGATATAATTGTAAAGAAAGCAAATAAAGTTCTTGCCTTTTAGAGTTTATATTTTTGTGGCAACAAAACAATACAAGACAAAACAAAAACCTTTTACTAAAAAATGGCATGACTGATCCCAGGTTCTAGAAAATATATGTGTGTAGAATCCGTAACTGTGGCTCTCCTGAGGAACCTAGGCATAGATGTGACTGCCATATAGTCTGGGGAAACGTATGTCCTGTTGCTGAGAATCCCGCATGAAAACGGTTTTATCTGGTTCAAATTTCAGCTTACAGTGACCGAGTCTACGGTAGATGTGGCAAATAGTTCTTATATTTTGTTTTTCTTGAACTATTGTCTTTTCAGGAGTTTGCTAGCCAGAGTGGAAGAAAACCAGTTTGATTTACTGCTCCTCAAACAGGATAATTCTTAGAAAGACCCTGGTTTTTCTGCAGCCGATCTTATGGAACAGGCTTATTTTCTCACAATTTGAAGAAATTTCTTTCTATTTCATTTCATTTTATTACAGCTCTGTCCCTGTGTTCCAGAAACAGATGACTACTTAATATATAACCCAAAGCACTCCTAAAATTCATCTTAACATTCAAATGTATCTCATTTCTTTCTCAATATACTAAATCAAAAGAAAAAAGGTCTTTAAAAAATCAGTGGGTTTATATGTCATTGCAGGAAAAGCATCTTTGCTAAACAACAGGAAACACGATTTGTTAGGAATCTAACCAGATACACAAAGCCGCAGATAAAGTCTCTGATAGAAAAGTATGACTTCTAATGGACTGTAAATAGATACCTCCAAAAAGTACCTGTATTTCACATGAATGTGAAAACTCTTCTCTCTTCCCTCCTCCACACTCTACACTACATTTTCATTTCTTTAAGGGGAAAAATACACGCAGTAAAGTATGAACTCTTTATTAATTCACATTCTACTAGTGTGTGGTTTATATTTAGGTAAGTGCTAAAGTTCTTTTTTTATATTTAACAAGTCCCTGAGTCCCTTTGTCACACATACAAGACCAAATTCAGGTAGGACTAATTCAGGAAGGCTCGCTGGAGGGGAAATGTTTTCAGTGGATTCTTACATTAGTAATAGATGTAGACTGAAAGGGAAAGTGTTAACAAGTTTCAAGTTTGGTGTAAGAGCTCACAGCAGTTGGAAGAAGCCATGTTGAAACTAGAGGGGCCTGGGGCAGAGGAGATGAGGAGATGATGGGCATGGATGCCGGTCCAAGTAGAGTGTCGTGGGAGATGCAGCACCCCTTGCATCTTTGTTCCTGTCTATTCTGCCTTTGTTCTGGCTCTAGCACTCACCGTCTCTCACCTGTACTATTGTCAGAAGCCTGCGTGGTTATTCCTGAGTCTATGCTTGTGCCCTCTCTGCTACACATCCTTCACATTCCACCAAGGCGAGCTTTCTAACATGCCAAACAGACTTTTCATGTTCTGGAAATACTCAGTTTTGAATCCCCTGTGTTTAGTACATAGCAGGTAATCAATATTTGCTGAATGCGTGAATGAATTTTGGAAACAATGGGCATTTAATAGGAAGTATCTAAGGCCCTATTTTACAAGGGAGCAGCTTAAAAAATCTTAAAACAATAATTTGGTCTTTTTTTAAAAAAATAATTATCTTAGCATATAGTCCCAATTTTTAAACAGAAGGAATAAATCAGAAATTCTAAATAAAAGGTCAGGATTAACAACACAGTCAAGTTGTGATAACCAATGCAAACAGCAAAAATAAACTGCTCATGGGGTGTGGCAGAGGGTGCCTTATTTGAAAGGAAATTCTTGCTGTTATGCTGAATCCTTAGGGACATGATAATTAAGGCTGTTTCTACCCAGAAGCTACAACTAGAACACTTCTGGTTTTATTCTTCATTATATTTGTTAACATTACTGCTCTTAGCAATGATGGTCTTGGCTAAATGCGTTAGTTCACGCCGTAATCCCAGCACTTTGGGAGGCCAAGGGTGGGAGGATCACTTGAGCCCAGGAGTTCGAGACCAGTCTGGGCAACATAGGGAAACCCCGTCTCTACAAAAAAATAAAAATAAAAAAATTAGCCGGGTGAGATGGCACATGCCTGTGGTTCCAGCTACTCCAGAGGCTGAGGCTGGAGGATCACTTAAGCACCGGAGGAGGCTGAGCTGCAGTGAGCTATGATGGTGCCACTGCACCCCAGCTGGGTGTCAGAGTGAGACCCTATCTCAGAAAAGAAAAAAAAAGCAATGATGAATGATGATCTCTCACGGTTCAGTGTCCCTGAGTTTCTCCCAGGCTTTTACTCCTGAGAGACAGAAGACTAGAAATTTAGTCCTGACTTAGAGTTCTAAAACAATACTTTATTGAACATCATTTTATTGACCTTGGTCAGGTCCTTTCGCCTCTCAGAACATTTGTCTCCCCCCGTCTGTTCCAGTTCTTAGAACAGTAAACACAGACCACGAGAAACTACTCCAGTATTTAATAGTAAAGCAAGCAATCTGTCACGCAGGGCTTTGCCTTGCCCTGTCTCCCTCTTATCTGACCTCGTTTTCTTTGACCGGTTGCCAAGTTGTTATATCAGACATCACAAGCACTTGCCCACAATTGTTGAATTTGCTGCCCCTTTCTGAGGGACATTTCAATGAAAACTATTAAAAATGGGGTGAAGGAATTATCAGAATTCTCTGAGGCCCCTTGATATCTTTTGGTCACTTCTCTTGGGGCCAGTGTTCAGTTGTGTGTGCGTGTGTGTGTGTGTGTGTGTGTGTGTGTGTGTGTGTTTGTGTGTGTGTGTTTGTTTGTTTGTTTTTTCCAGAGGGCAGTTGAAACTGTTAAAGCAAAGCGGGCTCCCAAGTGTCTAAGTTTAACTTTTCTTCCCTTTGTTGAATGGATTTCACTGTTATATGTTTTGGTGCAGTTTATAAATACAGCTTCAGCAGTCACTATGGTCAATTTTCTTAAAACACTTCATGATGGGTTAAACATTATTGCCTTTGGAAGCTTTAAGGCGTGAGTAACATTATGCTTATTTGTTTTGTATATTTACACTATATATACCATACCGCAAAAGTCTTTTTGACATTTATTTATACAGAGGAGAGGACTTTTTTCAAGAGTTGGTGAGCAAGGGAAGGCTTAATTAAGGACAGGGGATTTGGTTTAGGTGTTGAAATGTGAAAATAATCTGATTTATGTTGAAATGAGAAGAAAAAGTATGTCAGGTAGAGAAAGGAAGTTGAACAAAGGCAAAGGAGCGTGTGTATGTCTATGCATTCAGAATGTATGTATGCTTAAGCTTATTTCCAGTGTGTATTAGGATTAGAACAAATCTTTTCAGGGTATTCATGGGCTGCCTCCTACTTCAGTGTAGAGGCAATGGTATAACATGTGAAAGGGGGTTGACAGAGACTTGATTAGAAAGATGGATTGGGATTGTAAAGGAAGAAGTAAAGCTTTTATCCACAGATGACATGATCTGGTATGTAGAATCCTGAGGAATCTACAAATATGTTATTATATGCTCCAAGTTAAGCAAGGTTGTAGGATATAAGATTCACATACAGCAACAAATTGAATTTCTATGCATGGCTACTGAATGATCTAAAGAAATTTGAAAAGCAATATCAAAAGAAATAGAATCTTAGGGGAATAAATTGAAAATCTGTACATTTAAAATTATAAAAAAAAATGGCTAAAAGAAATTAAAGAAGATTAAGTAAGTGAAAAGACAGCCCATGGTCATGGAACGAAAGATGTAATAGTAATACTGTTAAGAAGCCAGTACTGTATAGATTCATTGCAGCCCCTATCAAAATCACAGCTTTCTGACGAGTTGATTCTAAAAGTAATGGGAAATTCAAGGGGCCAAGAGTGACCAAAACAACCTGAAAAAGGAAGAACAAGGTTGGAGGAGACTCACACTTCCAGATTTCACTTACTGCAAAGCTACAATAGTGAAGACAGTGTTATTCTGGCATAAAGATAGGCATCTAGCCAGGTGTGGTGCTACATGCCTGTAATCCTGACACTGGAAGGCTGAGGCGGGAGGGATCACTTGAGCCTAGGAGTTCAAGACCAGCCTGGGCAATGTAGTGAGACCCTGTCTCTTAAAAAAAATGAAAAATTGTCCAGGCATGGTGGTGCATGCGTATAGCCCCAGCTACTCGGAAGTCTGAGGTGGGAGGATCGCTTGAGTCCAGGAGGTCAACACTGCAGTGAACTGTGATTGCACCACCGTACTCCAGCCAGGGCGACAGAGTGAGATCCTGTCAAAAAGAAAAAAAAAAAAAAAAGATAGGCATCTAGCTCAATGGACTTGAGAGTCCAGAAATAAACCTTTGCATATATATTAATATATGTATATGTTTGATTTTTGACATGGGCACCAAGGCTTTTTGATGGGTAAAGAATAGTCTTTTCAACAGATAGCTCTGGGACAACTGGATATCCACATACAAAATAATGAAGTTGGATTTCTACTTCACATCATGTACGAAAATGAATTGAAAGTGGATGAGAGAGCTAAATGTAATAGCAAATACTGCAAAACTCTTAGAAGACAACGTAAAAGTAATCTTTGTGACGTTGGTTTAGACAATGATTTGCTACATATGATACAAAAAGCACAAGAGACCAAAGGAAAAACGGATAATTTGGATTTCAGCAAAAGTAAAAACGTTTGTGCTTCAGAAGACACTGTCAATTAAGTGAAAAATGACCACTCACAGAATGGTAGAAAACATTTGCAAAGTGTACATCTAATAAAGAACTTATGTCCAGAATATATAAAGAACTCTTAGAACTCAGTAATAAAAAGACAAATAATTCAGCCATCAAATGGGCATGTCTCTAAAAAAGATGCACAAATGGCCAAAAAACACATGACAAGGTGCTCAACATAATTAGTCATTAGGGAAATGCAAATGAGAATCACAGTGAGATACCACTTCTAGGATGTCTGTAACAATAAACAGACAATAATAGAATCTTAGACATTGCTTGTAGGAATGTAAATAGTGCATTTGCTTTGGAAAACTGTTCAGCAGTTTCTTAAAATATTAGACATAGGTTTACTATATGATCCAGAAATTTCACTCCTAGGTATATATAGAAGAGAATAACAAATATATTTAGGCCAGATGCGGTGGTTCATGTCTGTAATGCCAGCGCTTTAGGAGGCCGAGGCAGGCGTATCCTTTGAGCCCAGGAGTTCAAGACTAGCCTGGGCAACATGGTGGAACCCCATCTCTGCCAAAAGAAAAAAAAAGAAAAATTAGCTGGGCATGGTGGTGCATGCCTGTGCCTATAGTCCCAGCTACTCAGGAGGCTGAGGTGGGAGAATGGCTTGAGCCCAGGAGGTCAGGGCTGCAGTGAGCCATGATCGTCCCACTGCACTCCAGCCTGGGTGACAGAGTGAGACCCTGTCTCAAAAAAAGGAAGAAAAGAAAAAATGTATTTAGACCCTGAAACTTATATACACATTTTTTATTCATAGCAGCCAACAAGTTGAAACAACTCCAATATCTCATCAACTGATGAATGGCCAAAGAAAAGACTGCTCCCGTATGATGAAACATTATTTGGCAATAATAAAGAATGAAGTTCTCAGCCAGGCTCAGTGGCGCATACCTGTAGTCCAGCTACTTGGGAGGCTGAACTGGGAGGTTTGCTTGAGATCAGGAGTTTGAGACCAGCCTGGGAACCATAGAGAGACCCTGTCTCTCTTTACATGTAAAAAATAATAAAATAAAAGGAATGAAGTTTTGATAGATGATATGACATGAGTACACCTGACAACCTTGTGCCAGGTGAAAGAAGTCAGACCCCAAATGCCATATATTGTATGATTGCATTTATATGAAGTGTCCAGGATAGACCATTTCATAGAGATAGAAAGTATATTGGTAGTTACCAGGGGCTGAGAAAAGCTGAAATGGGGATTGGCTGCTTATGGATACAGGGTTTCTTTTTGGGAGTGATAAAAATGTTCTGGAATGGCCAGGCGCCATGGCTCACGCCTGTAATCCCAGCACTTTGGGAGGCCTAGGCGGGCGGATCACAAGGTCAGGAGATCGAGACCATCCTGGCTAACACTGTGAAACCCCGTCTCTACTAAAAAAATACAAAAAATTAGCCAGGCATGGTGATGGGCACCTGTATCCCAGCTCCTCGGGAGGCTGAGGCAGGAGAATGGCGTGTATCCAGGAGGCGGAGCTTGCAGTGAGCCGAGATCGCGCCACTGCACTCCAGCCTGGGTGACGGAGCAAGACTCCATCTCAAAAAAAAAAAAAGTTCTAGAATTAGATAGTGGTGATAGTTGTACAGTTTTGTGAATATACTAAAAATGCCTGAATCTTAAAAGGTGGAACCATGAAAAGACCTACTGCCTTCTTTACTGAAAGACATAAAATATCAATATTCCACCCTAGGAAGAAGGCTCTTTATTGTTTTTAGCTATCATCTTTTTCAATTCATTGTTTGAAAAGTCACTTCCTCTTCAGATGTAAGCAAGCTACATTTTATTAGTTCTGTCTTGTAGAAGGTGTTATAAATACTATCCCAGAGAAGTGCTTGTTAGATTCCATCAACACTTGATTCAGATTTAATTTTAAGAATATATTTCAGGCCAGGCATGGTGGCTCATGTGTGTAATCCCAAGGTCAAGGCGAGAGGATCATTTGAGGCCAGGAGTTTGAAACCAGCCTGGGCAACACAGTGAGACCCCATCTCTACAAAAAGTAAAAACGTTAGCTGGACATGATGGTGCATGCCTGTTGTGGTCCCAGCTACCCGAGAGGCTGGAGTGAGAGGATCACTTGAGCCGAGGAGTTCGAGGCTGCGGTGAGCTATGTTCGCACTCCCACACTCCAGTCTGGATGATAGAGTAAGATCCTGTCTTTAAAAAAGAGAAAAAAGTGTATATATTTCAAATTATTTTACAACATGGAATATGAAACAGCATGTACTCTCAGAGGTATTGCTATTTAACACACTGGGGGATACCGTGTGTTCAATAGCAATACACCTATTATTAGTAATTGTATCAGTAATTAATAATTATCAGTTATTAGGATAACTGATGTTTCCAAGTTACCTTGGAAATCAAATTTTTTTTTTTTTTTTTTTTTTTGAGATGGAGTCTTGCTCTGTCACCCAGGCTGGACTACAATGGTGCAATCTCGGCTCACTGCAACCTCTGCCTCCCAGGTTCAAATGATTCTCGTGCCTCAGCCTCCCAAGTAGCTGGGATTACAGGCAGAATCAAGTCTTTTCAGCCATTTCAGTGTATATATATACACAGACATTTATAAAATATTTCACTAAATAGGAAGGTTGTAGCTCTGCAGTAGTTTAAAAATGGTAACAATGGCCAGGTGCGATGGCTCATGACTGTAATCCCAGCATTTTGGGAGGCCGAGGCAGGTGGATCACGAGGTCAAGACATCGAGACCATCCTGGCCAACATGATGAAACCCCGTCTCTACTTAAAACAAAAAACAAAAATTAGCTGGGCATGGTGGCACGCACCTGTAGTCCCAGCTACTCTGGAGACTGGGGCAGAAGAATCACTTGAACCCGGGAGGTAGAGGTTGCAGTGAACCGAGATCGTACCACTACACTCCAGCCTGGAAACAGAGTGAGACTCCATCTCAATAAATAAATAAAATAAAATAAAATAAAATAAAAATGGTAACAACTAATGTCCTCTTTCATAAAGTAAAAGTGAGTACACTGTATTTCCAGCATAGATGAGGGTTTTCATGATACAAAGTAACCAAAACTAAGTTCAGAAGAAGACTGGATACTAGGGCTGATAGGACTACAGCTGCTATCTGTAAACCCCCAATTGAAAGTTTTGGTTTGTCAGAATGTCCCCATTTTCAGTTCTCACTGGCTATCATTTTAACAAGAAAATATTATAAATTTGGTTCAATATAGTGAATATATACTAATACTGTTTACTTCGTGTATTGGGGTTCTTCGTAAGATGCCATTACAATTTTATGCAGGTAGTGATCTTACTAATATGTAGAATCTAAAATGTTGAGCTCTTGGAAGCAGAAACTAGAATGATGGTTACCAGGGACTGGTGGGTGGTGGGATTGGGGAGGTGCTGGTCAAAGGATACAAAATTGCAGATAGGTAGGAGGAATAAATTCAGGAGGTCTGTTGTAGAACATGGTGACTATAGTTAATAACAATGTATTGTATACTTGAAAATTGCTAGAAGAGTAAGTAGATTTTAAATGTTTTCACTACACACCAAAAATTTGAGGTACAGTACTGGTATGTTGTTAATTAGCTTGATTTAGCTAGTCTACAAAGGTACGCATATATTAAACATTATGTTGTATACTATATATATATAAACTTTATATATGTAAACATATATCTAGATATATAAACAAACTTTTGTCAATTGGGAAAATAAATGAATAAAATGAGAAAAATGAATTTTCCGTAGTTGGGTTCCTGGAAGTCTTTCTCAACACACTAAGTTTCTCATTCCATGTTGGCTTCATTCTTATTTTTCAGGGATGTTTTGAAAGCATTTTTTCCCTCCACAGAAACCCAACAATGAAGGGGAGACTTCTGGCAGAAAAAACATATTGACTGAGTTTAAATAGATCATAAGCATTTTGCAGAGGCTCTGTCTCGGAGCTTGCACTGCACAGATACTGTTGGCTAGATCATAGGGCTCTTTAGTGTTAAGCCCAATATACACATTTTAGTTGCTGTTTCATGAGTGGTATTTGGAAGTTGGTACATATCCTTATTGTAACCCCTTTTTGCATATGAAGCAACTGAGGTTCTGAATCCTCATGTATGGGACATCAGAAGCAAAGTTAAATATGGCAGGTGTCATTAGATTGCCTTCTAGGCCGAAAGTTTTGTGGTTATACTCGCGTAGGCTGAGTAGAAGGGATCACTGTAGTGTCATGAGGAGTGTGTGTTACAGGGTGGTGGGAGGACTGATATAATGCAATAATCAAGTTAATAAGTATTATTGAGTGCCTAATCTGTGTGAATATGCATTATTACCTACTGGGCCCTGTCTTTCTACAACAAGTCATATGTCCATTGTGTTCTCTTCACAGGTGATCATGGAGGAAGCACTTTACTCCCACCAAATGTCACAAATGAATTTCCAGAATATGGGACCATGGAGGAAGGTGGAGAAGGCCTAAGGGCTTCTCTGGAATTTGATGGTGAGGCTCTGCCATGCCACCCACAAGAGCAGCAGGGTGTCCAGCCTCTTACTGGCTGCCACTCTGGGCTCGACAGTGTTACAGAAGGACCAAAAGATGTCAGAGAGGCCCCCTCTCAAAGTCATCTCAAGGAACAAAGTTTACAGCCCATTGACTCTTTGATTTCAGCTCTGAAAGCCACAGAAGCCAGAATCATTTCCGGAACATTACAGGCTACAAAGGTACTGGACCAAGATGCTGTTTCTAGTTTTTCAGTTCAGCAGGTGGAAAAAGAGCTGGACACTGCCAGTCGTAAAACACAGAGAGTCAACAAAACGCTCCCTGCTGGCCAAAAAAATTTACCAGAAATACCTCTTTCAGCTGAAGTAACAACGGAGGAAAGTTTTTATTTGAGCATCCAGAAAGATCTCACCGCGCTGTTAACTGGAGACACTCAGGCAGAGATTTCCCAGATAATGAATAATGGGAGGAAAGGGGCTGTCTGTGTGCAGGAGCCATCTTGTCCTTTGGCCTCCCTCGGGAGCTCAGCAGTGACCTGCCACTCTGCAGGCAGTGTTGGTTTCTTGAAAGAGCAGAGGTCTGCTCTTGGGAGAGAGCACCCAGGGGGATGTGATCGAAGCAGCTCCATGGGACGCCCAGGCCGGGTCAAACATGTGGAATTTCAAGGAGTGGAAATACTGTGGACAGGAGGAGACAAGAGAGAGACCCAGCATCCTATAGATTTTGAGACATCACTGCAAAGAACAGCCTCTCCTGACAGCAAAGAGTCTTCCAAAGTGCCACGCCATCTCATCTCATCAGCTGGTTTGTGTAATTCAAGTAGTTTAACTGAGAATGTTTGGGATGAATCCTGGAAAGCTCCTTCAGAGAGGCCTGGCACTAGCTCGGGGACATTTTCCCCTGTGCGTCTTGATGAGAGTGGAGAGGATGAAGTCTTCCTACAGGAAAACAAACAGCATCTTGAGAAGACACCTAAACCAGAGAGAGACAGGGAAAGGTGAGCTCCCATAGTAGCCCTGCTGTCTCAGATGCCTGGTACATATCATAGAAAACTGTTATCCTGTACTTGATATGAGAACTCAATCACAATACCTTGGGTTCTTGTTATCATGGAATATAAGATGAGTTACTGTGAGCTAGGTCCTTCTAAGCTAAGATTCCTCCTAAGCTTCTCAGATATTAAAGTGATCTTGTTATAAAGTCATCCGTTAGGCATGGACCAGGGAAACAGAGTTCTGAAGAGACTGTGAACACTAAACTGTGAATTCTTTTCTGACATTTTCTTAACATTTGACAGATTTCAAGTTTCCCAACGTCAAGGTAACTAACATACCCCACAGTCATCTTTAGTAATATGAAAAGGTTTGGACTCTTTTGACACACCCTATATAGCTGGTACTTCCAACCTTGGCATTTCTTCTGGGTATAACACCAATGCCTTCAGTCCAGCCGACATACATGTATGAACACAGAGGTTCTTGGCCCACTCAATTTCCTATGTTTGTTTGTTTATTTATTTATACAGAGACAGGGTCTTGTTCTGTCCCCCGGGCCGGAGTATGGTGGTGTGATCACGGCTCACTGCGGCCTTGACCTTCCAGGCTCAAGAGATCCTCCCACCTCAGCCCTCTGAGTAGCTGGGACTACAGGTGTGCACCACCACACCTGGCCAACTTTTGTACTCTTTGTAGAGATGGGGTCCCACTTTGTTGCCCAGGCTGTTTCAAACTCCTCGCATCAAGTGATCCTCCCACCTTGGCCTCCCTAAGTGGTGGGATTACAGGTGTGAGCCACTGTGCCGGGCCCTTCCTATGTTTTGAAATGACATCTCAGGGGGTCAGAAGTAGATTTTATAATTCAGTTGTTCCCTGGTATTCACATGGGAATTTCTTCTTCTCACAAGTAGCATATATTTTGATTTATGGCCTTTTTTTTTTTTGTAAATTATACTTTAGGTTCTGGGGTACATGTGCAGAACGTGCAGGTTTGTTACATAAGTATACATGTGCCATGGTGGTTTGCTGCACCCATCAACCCGTCATCTACATTAGGTATTTCTCCTAATGCCATCCCTCCCTTAGCCCCCAACACCCCGACAGGGCCCGGTGGGTGATATTCCCCTCCCTGTGCCCATATGTTCTCATTGTTTAACTCCTACTTATGAGATTTATGGCCTTTATGATTGAAACTTGACATCATGTGGTATTTCCTGGTCTTTCCCTGCATTTCTGACATCTACACCAGCTTAGACCCTGGATAAATGGCAGACGTGACCCATCTTTCTGCACTCCCTTTGATCGTAGTCATTTGTTGTGTACTGTACTTCTAATTGGTACCATCTTTTCTTCTGTCAGCCCTCATGACACCACATTTTATAGTTTATACGGGAGAGCATCTGTGTCAAGGCCGAGGGTTGTTTTTTGTTTTTTTGTTCGGTGTAAGGAAATGCCTTTTCCTCTGCAGTTAAAAAACCCACTGAGAGTGGTGCTCCTTTGGGATCACTGGCAGGATCCTTCCCACTCCCCTCCCCAACCCATCAGCTCTCCAGACTTCCCTCCAAAGCGGCCTTGATATGTGGCATGTGGCCCAGTGTTTATATTCCCACTGGAATATGCACTTTTACTGTTGTTCAGATTAATAATTCATTCCTCTTTTCTTCCCACAAATATTTTCAATTGTCTCCTATGTCCTGACACTGCAAGATGCTGGGCGTAAAGGAATGGTCAAAATAGATGTGGCTCACGGATACTGTCCTCATGGAATTTACCACTGAAGATAAACATTGATCACATAAACATGCTAATAGGTATAGGATCACAAAGTGTGCTAGGTTCTGTGAAGGAAAGAACAGAGACCTACAAGAATGAATAATTTGGATGGAGGGAAGAGGCCAGTTTAGTTGATGGCTTGGACAAAGCTTTTCTGTGGAAATGGAAATTACACTGAGACGTGAGGAAGGAAAGAGTTTGCCAGCCAGAGAAGGGGTAGGAAGAATGTTCCAGCTAGAGGGAACAGCATGTGCACAGGAGGCTGCTGAGCTCCCTGACTAGTGTGTGCTTCCTGCAGATGTGTGAAGCCAAGGCCTGTGCCAGGCTTGAAGATTTGAAACTCTCCCTGTGTGGCTAATGCCTGAAGAGCAGGGGAGGCTTGGCATGGTGGCTCACACCTGTAATCCCAGCACTTTGGGAGGCCGAGGCAGGCAGATCACCCGAGGTCAGGAGTTTGAGACCAGCCTGGCTAACTCCATCTCCAATAAAAATACAAAATTAGCCAGGCGTTGTGTTACATGCCTGTAATCCCAGCTGCTTGAGAGTCTGAGGCAGGAGAGTCACTTGAACCTGGGAGGCGGAGGCTGCAGTGAGCCGAGATTGCACCAATGCACCCCAGCCTAGGTGATAGAGTTAGACTGCATCTCAAAAAAAAAAAAAAAAAGCAGGGGAGAGTGGGGTGCAGTGAGTGTGGAGAGGTAGGGAGGAGCATCATCTTAGGAACGGTCCAGTTTATGCCAAGTGCAGTGGAAAGCCATTAAGAACAAGCATTTGGTCCCATGGGTGACCTTCAGTATTTAAAAACAACAAACCAATTGCAATGCTGAATGTGGATTCCAGTAATACCTGGGAATGTGGATGACTTATGAGATGCTTAATAGATAATTCCTAATTCTATGTTATTCCTATTTGTAGGAATCTGAGGCTCAGAGAGGTTAAGTAAAGTTGCTTCAAGTGATATAGCTAGTAATTGAGACAGCCAAAATTCAGCTTCTGGTTTTTCTAACTCTTGACCTCTTGCTCTTAGTAGTGATCTATCTCCCAAGTTTTTAATTTTACTTAGTTATCCTAATGTTCGTTTTTAATATTTGTAGAACATGCTGCATATTAATTGTTCACGTTTGTGTGCCAAAGTGAATGCCCTACCCTGTATGTTGACTTTTGAGCTGTTTCTAATCTCTCAAAGCTTTGGTTAGCCTTGCTTCTGTTGCCTTTTTGTTAGGCCGTTAATTGGCTATCTAATTTTGGACGTGAAATCTCTCTGCAGTGCTGCTCTGTTGTCAGCAGGGGGCAGCTCTTGGCTTCTGATGCAGTCATCTGCTTGAGAGCATTTGGCCTTATTTAAATCAGAAAGTATTAATCAACTGATGAAAGTTTGGTGTATTTTTACTGAAATTTTGCCGTATCAAGTTTCCATGATATATTTATCTGCTTCTGTTATAATTAGGAATGCTGGTAGTTGCAAATAATCTGAATGTGTACGGTATATTTGGCTAAAATGAGAATTGAATATTTTATTCATATCTTCATTGGACCAGATGTATTCACACATTAGGAAACTAGTTTGAAACTTTATTAAAGTATTTATAGTGTCCTAGCCACATGCATGCCAAGAATTTTTCAACCTGATTATATTTCATAGCTTCCTTCCCAAATATGTTAAGATATAAGTCAATGAATAGAAGAGTTAGATCTTCAGAATGTTGTCCTTTTTATATGGTTGAAGTGGGAGAAATAAAGACATTAACCTAATATTGGAATTCTTCACTCTTATTTACTTTCCAGGATCAGCGAACAAGAGGAGCACGTTAAGGGGGAAGATGAAGACATCCTTGGGCCTGGATATACGGAGGACTCCACCGACGTGTACAGCTCCCAGTTTGAAACCATTTTGGACAACACTTCTTTATACTACAGTGCAGAGTCCCTGGAGACATTATACTCAGAGCCTGATAGCTATTTTAGCTTTGAAATGCCCCTCACTCCAATGATACAACAGCGCATTAAAGAAGGTGGTCAGTTCTTGGAGAGGACATCAGGGGGAGGACATCAGGATATCCTGAGTGTGTCTGCAGATGGTGGCATCGTGATGGGCTATTCTAGTGGCGTCACCAATGGGCTGAATGATGCCAGCGACTCCATCTACACGAAAGGCACCCCGGAGATTGCTTTCTGGGGAAGGTACTCGTCCCATTCTCATTCATTTCATGCTGGTGGTTTTTGTAGGATTTCTTTTCTGGGAAATCTGAGTGTGGAATATATATTTAAATCATTTGGCCAATTTCTGTGGACATAAGCAAATGATGTGAGTAAAAAGTAATTTGAGTTTTAGGGCAGGAAAGACACACCTTAGTGGTTTGTCACATTGGCACACTGTGATCATTTTAGTCTGTGGGATTTCCTGGATGACTATATATAAATTGGATACCAAACAAATATTTGGGGATGATGAGTGAGGTTATCAGCTCCGATGATGGCAGAGACGTGGTGCTGTGAAACGAACACTGAGAGATCGTAGCTTTAGTCTGGCACTGAGGGTGGTTGAAGACTTCAAGAAGATTGTTTGATTAGCTCAGAGATTCCTTCATTGGAAATTAAAGTGGTGGACTATACAGTCAGCAAAGTCTCTTCCAGCCCTTTGCTCTGAGAGTTCCTGTTCTGTCTTCCTGTTCCTGACGTGTTGAAGGAAGGATCCGATTAGACAGATGCTTGAGAGAGCTGATATCTTGGTCTAGGCTCCGTATTTATTTTCTCTCTCTACTTTAGGATTTTTAATCTATCTGGGAGATAAAATGACAAATTATGTACATTGTATCCACCATGCCTGTTATTTGGGGATTCCGCGACTATTTATGGATTATCCAGCGTTTCATTTCTTCATGCTCGTCATCCTCAGGTTATCTACCTGTGACAATTTTATGAATTTTGTTTTGGTATATGTGTGTGTGTGTGTGTGTGTGTATGTATGTATGTTTGTGTGGAGCTGGTGGGAGGTGTTAAATGGTGATCAACTATTTTAAAGCTGTTTAAAGCTGTATTAAATAATACCAGTGTTTTTTGTTAAAAAAAAAAAAAGCCAGTATTAATATTACAGGTTTTCAATGGACCTCTCTTTTTGAGCAGTCTGCCCTGTGCTGAGCATTTTCTATAACCAGTTTGAAGGTTTATAGTTCATTAGATGAGCAAATTCAGGATTGGCTCCTTGTGACATTGTAGCTATGCATTTTCTTGTGAATATGGATTGTGGATATTGGTTGTCTTACTGGGTCACAGTGAGAATAAAAAGAACAAGGTGTCAAAACCACAAGACTTTGGTCTGAAGTACTTGGGCAAGCCACTTACGTTCTCTGAAACTGGATTTATTTATTTGCGAAATGGGGTTAATGATCCAGTGTGTTGTGAGGCTGTGAGATTTAAAGGGTTAATAGAGACTAAAGCACCTCGCACAGGACATGGTACAAAGCAGAGCCTGGGTAAGTGTGTGCATATGAACTGGTTGCCTGGTTAGTCCACATCTAGACTTCTTGTATCTCTGAGATCAGAGTGTCTCTCAGTGGAAGAGTACTGGCGAGGAGGCATTCCTGAAAGCAGTGTCCCCGTGAGGCGGTGCTCCTCAGTGGAGGGTGCCACCTTAGTCCTCCCCTTTCACCTTCGTCTCTGAGGACTGCAAATTGTGATAAAACGCTGTAGGAAAGGTATGCAGATAATTGCACTGAAATTCCCACTCAGTTTTCTAGGGTGAGTGGAAGTTGTTTATATTACAGACCAAACATGGTTTGGGGAGTGGAAGAGTTTTGGGCTAAGAGGCTTCACTGCAAAAGCCACAGGGAGTGGTTGTAAGTGAAGCCGAGAGATGAACACCAGTGAAGGAACTGGGTGAAAGGTTTATTAAATGTGCGGCTTGTGCACTTAGAACAGGAGGTTGTCATCATTTGGGCCAGCATGGGTGCCAGTCACGAGGATGGACAGAGTTGGGAGAGAATATTAGAGTAGGTCATAGTATTTTAGCATCTCATATTTAGACAGTGGTATTCTTCAGGCCGTGTTGAGATAAAGTTTCAGCTGTGTCACCTGCATTGTCAAACCAGGAGATCTTGTCTAGTGGTAAAGGACCACGTTCTAGTGGTGAGTGACAAGCACCTTGGAGACGCGCCAGCTTGCCTCTCCCCGAGTCTGGGCACTCCTACTGTACAATTCCTGATTGGTGGTCATCCTACCATGTGCTGAGCACTGCCAGTGGCTTGGACAGACAAGCTTGGCAGGACTCCCCCATTTTGTGTTATTTGAGGTTGGCATATGATAATAAGTGGTTACAGGTGGAGGAAGCTTTATTTTGTGATGTATGTCTCTATTCAAGGTTAAAAGGTAGGGCAGGTTTAATGATCCTAAGAAATTTTAAGGAAACTGAAAAACCCATATTTTTCTTTACTCCCTTCTACCTTCCTTGCTGATTTGGAGAAGTTGTAACCAAAGAAGAATTGTGTTACTATTGTGGGTTAGAGAATGAGAACATTTTACTACTTGAAGGGGCCTCAGATAGCCTTTAAAAAAAAAAAAAAAAAAAAAAATATATATATATATATATATATATATATATATATATATATATATATATATATATATATATATAACATAGAATCTGTATTCCAGTTTGGTGGGATATCTTACCCAAAGCCACGTGGCTGTCTTGTGACAGATACCGTAGTAGAATTCAAGTTGTCTGGCTCCTAGGCCGGATTCATTCACTGTGCTAGGTGTTGGGTCTTTTATTTTGTTATTCTTCTTTTGATCGGATTTCTCTCATGCCATGTGTTGATAAAGCCGGAAGTCTGAGATGGTCTGTTTTCAAGAAACTAAGTTCTAAATGTAGAGCTGCTTGTTGTTGTTGTCGGTGGTGGTGTATGCATTCAATTTGAAGGAAAATTTACCAGGTCAATAATACACACGTTTCCACACATTTTTAAAGCAATCAGTGAGCTGGCCTTTTAAAATTTCATCTGCGTTAAAACATCCCTCTGCCGAGGCAAGGAAGTGGACATTGAGGTATTAAGCCTGTCCTTCAGCCAAGCACTGAGGGCCCAAGTGTTAGAATTAAAGGAAAAAAAATTTCCCATTGTATTAATATATTTACAAAAGAAAAGTCATAAATAAAAGCAGTGGCCATGCCTCCATTCCATCTGTGTTCACTCGCCTCTCCTGCTTCCTTGCTAGTGGTGGGGGTCTGAGTACATTGCATAAAGTGAGCTCTGAGGAAGGCTTAAAAGAAAAGGAATAAGACTAATGAATTCTCCCCTGATCGCGCCTCCTTGATATTTGGTAGACATGAACCAAGGAAATTAAATATTGATTTTAATGTATAAAGTGTTAGTCGCTAGCTTGTAAAAAATATTATTACTTTAGCTAGTCTCTGAACATAATTGTGTGTCATATGTGGCCCATAGGTTTGATTTATTTAGTAAACACATGATGCTTCGTTCTCATAATGAGCTATAGGGGGAAGAAAGGAACTATTAGTGTTCTAATTTTCCGAATAAGGAAACTGAGGTACAGAGAGGTTGAGTAACTTGCTAAAGGTCACACAGATGGTAAGTGGCATACTCAGCCCTCGAACACAGGCAGTCAGCCTCCAGAGCCCGTGCTCTTACTGAGCTATGCTGAAC
Organism: Homo sapiens; assembly: GCF_000001405.40. Taxonomy (NCBI): domain Eukaryota; kingdom Metazoa; phylum Chordata; class Mammalia; order Primates; family Hominidae; genus Homo; species Homo sapiens. The sequence continues at coordinate 18,864,194 of NC_000008.11, read as the reverse complement.
TGGACCAAGTGGTAATGATTTCATGGTAGATCTAGAACAAGACCAGATATCTTCAACAAAACAAAAATGTATTTGCTTTGCTATTGCCTAGATTTACTTAAATCCTTTTCTGTTTCAAGATCTGTCTTTACTTTGTCATTAAAGATTATTTCAGTGGCGGTATTGGACAGTGATTTTTTTTTTGAGCACAGGATGACACTGTTCTCGGCTGAATTGCTCTTTTAAAGAAAGGTGCAAGAGGTTGGGAAGGCTGATTGTGGTGTTGTAGCACTTAGTTCCTTCTCTCAGGAATGCCTTCCAGTCTTGGGCTCAGCCATCCTTTGGCGGCCAGAGGGACACTGTTCTTCCCTGTTACTCTCTCTACTCAAGTCAAAGAAGAAAATATTCCAAATCTATAATATTCTAGTATGCAGTTGGGAAAGACAGTTTTTTTTTTGAGTGCGTGTCTATTTGTCTTTAAAAGTATTAAATACCTTTGTGACATCAAGCGGCTCACTCTGTGTAAGGTGAAAAGCCTCTTAAAATCCTGGAATAAATCTGGATGGACTATTAGATTGTCACAAACATAATTAAGTTTTTTGTCATTACTTTCAATGGCAATACTGCAATTACTTTTGCACCAGCCTAATGCATTCTCCCAGGTGCTTGCTCTGCCTGCCTGTTGATGAGTGAGCCACATGTCAGCCGGAAACAGCTCAGCCTCTGCATGGAACACAATATATCAATGAAGAAGCAAAGAGGAGCATCCCCTCCCCATGTAGCCCAGCTACATGGCCCTCAGGCTGACCGGGGGTCAGCGGTGCTGTGTGAAGTCCTGTCACATGGCTCCAAAATTAGAAAGGATAATTAGAGACTTACAATTATACACGTTTCAATGGGTTCCTTTGTGTCTGAGTGCTTCTCGCTCGCCGGCTTATCAGCAGATGACCACAACTTCAATCAGTAAGTTCTTAAGGCACAAGTGTTGTCACTGTGACCATTAGCTGGATATTGTCCATTTCCATTGAACTTGGGTTTGGACAGGAGAAAAAGAAATAGCAAATACCGTGACATGGCAGGAACTTCTTTTTTGGTTCTTTGGAATATATGAAGCTGCTTTTTGAAATAACCTTTGTAGCGTGATGATCTATTTTATATCTAAGCTTCCAAGTTTTCCTTTCAGATCTTGCTCGGGATACTAACGGGTATGGCAGAACAGGTGAATTACATCTGCGTGCAGCTGATCTGCCTGAGGGAAGCGCTTCAGTCTGTCTTCAGCCCACTCTGAATTTGATATTTGTGGGGATTTTTTTTTTTTTTTTTGCCTTGCTCTTATTTCTTTCTCCTCCTTCTCAAATGGAATGCAGTGTTTGGAAATTATTCTCTTTCTTCCTCAGTTTTTCTCTATCTGTATTGTTTGTCCGCTTAGGAAGAATTCATGTGAAATAAGAAGTAGAAATTTGTTGAAGTGCGATTTGAAAAACTGTTTCAACATCCCAGTTTAAACTTGAAGTCACTTTAATATAATATATAAATATTAAAAGAATAATTTAAAATAATGTGACATTAGTGAAGCTGGTGACAGAGAACAACATTTTCATGTTGTGAAATTGGAGAGATCTGGCTGCCCACGGAGCTCCGGGCTTCTTTTCTGCCATTGGTGCTGGGAAGGTCTGCTGCCTTGTGGCTTCATGAGCCTGTTGCTGTTGCTCCAGTAATCTCTTTAATCCTTTTCTTTTACATTTTAAATTTGTTCAGTCAAAAAAGAGGTTCTCATTTTTCTCTTTCTGGCTTCTTTCCAAAGTAGTGTAATGGTGATTTGATTTTTTTTTTTTAAAAACCACAAAGGAGTTCCTGCTCAGTGATGTGGGTTAGGGGCTCTTCTAGGTCTCAGAGCCATTTATTCCTGGTTTCGAATTGTTTCACTTTCTAGGTGCGTATTTTTGAATAAATACATAAAATCTGGGACCCTCTGCAAGCGTAAAATGAAATGAATAATACCTATCTCGTAAAGGAGGAAGGAGGAGGAAACGAGATTAATCAGATGGAACAAAAATCAAGAAAAGAAAGTCAAGTGGCCTAACAATGTCCGGTACCCAGTAGGAGCTCATTAAATACAAATGAATACCAATGACAGTAGTAACCCAAAGAAAAGTTATTCTGCCACTCGGCCATGGACAGAAGTCCTGCATCGGACCCTTACTACGGGGCTTCCTTAGAAATCACTTTCTGTCTATGAAGCACAGTGCACTGTGGTAGGTGGAATAAACCTGGAGGGTTGAGACTGAAGAGAAGAGGTGAAGCCATCCTCTTTTCTGGCAGCTTGTTCTCGGGGAGGTCTTTTCATTCGTGGAACTTCTGATTGCTTATTGGTAAGATGGAAATAGCCTTATCAACCAATGTGCAGTTTTGTGGTAAGACTTTGCTAAGTTCTAATTTGTGGATATTTATTTTAAACCTATCATGGGTGTTGTAGTAGTCTAAGAGTCTAAGGAATAATAAGAAAATAGATAAGAAATAGCCTGGTAAAAAGAAAGATGCAAGGATTTGATGAATGTTTGACTCTAGGACACATGGGGCTGAGTCAAAATGATTGTGAGAGTTCAAGCATGGGTGACTGGCTGGAGCAAGAAACCCTGCACTGGAGTTGGGGGAAGCAGCAGGTTGGTAGGAGGACACCTAGTGTGATCAGATATAAAGAGGTCAAATTGGAGGAGAGAGAGGGTTACTTGTGAAGTGCTGGTGGGAATATGGGACTGAAGGTCACTGGAGAGACTTTGGAGTCACCCTTTTAGATGTAAGACTTGCAGCTGTGGTTATGAGAGGGCTCTCAAGGGTGAGGAGTGGGCTGAGGATGGGACTGTGAGGAGGGGCTCACACAGGAGCACTTGGGTTTTGCTTATGTGTCCTTCTAATGCCATCTCTGTAGAAAATGTGCCCTGTAAGGTCAGTTTCCTGGAAGCTCTTCTGTGTGTTGTCCCTTCTCCAGCAGTGGGTCGATTGTCAGGGAGCCCAGGATGGAAGCTAAGTGCACTGGTCATTGGTTGTTCTTTCAGTGCCCTTCAGACAGCCCTTGCCCTGGTGGTCTTGTGCCCTCCCTGTCTGTTTGGTGCCTCTTTTATAAATTAGTGATGACTTCAGGAAATGGTCCTGGATTTCAAATAGCTATTCCTGGAGACATTCTAATTCTGTGGTTTAAACCTTAAAACAAACAAACCAAAGTAATTCCCTGGATATTGGTGGCTACTGGTGTGAAGAGCATGGTGCGGCGCCTGTTACTTGGATGAGCTTTGATCAAAGAATGGCATCAAATGATAACAGACATTGGAGGTATAAGTGATTACAAGGAGAATCATAGATCTAAATAAAAATGGAATGGTGGTTAATACTTTAATTGATCGAGATGATACAGCAATATTTTTATTCATATATCAGTACAATATTTAACTTTTAAAGGAAGTGATATTCATCTTAGCAGAGGTCTCTTAGCACCATATTTGCAACATTGGATGTTATCCATTGAGCCTTGTTTTGGGGAGGAAAAAAGACACCAACTTTCTTGAGTAAATTGTTCTCTGAAGGTGTTTTACACAGGAATACAAATTTGCCTGAACTCAAAAGGGTCTTGTTTACAGTACTTTAATCTTGTTTTTCACTTCATAAGCCCTCTGTAAACTGAAATACAGAGCTACAGGCAAACCTCATTTTATTGCACTTAGCTTTATTGCTCTTTGAAGATACTCTGTTTTTTTTTTTTATTCAAATTACAGATTTGTGGTAACCCTGCCTCAAACAAGTCTGTTGGTGCCATGTTTCCAATAACAGGTGCTCACTTTTTGTCTCTGTGTCACATTTTAGTCATTATCTCAATATTTCAGACTTTTTCATTACTGTTATATCTGTTATGGTGACCTGTGGTCCCAGATCTTTGATGTTACTATTGTCATTGTTTTGGGGCCCCATAAACCATGCCCATATAACGTGGCAAACCTTATCAATAAGTTTTGTGTGTTCCGATTGCTCCATGAAACCAGCTGTTCCCCCTCTCTCTCCCTCTTCTCGGGCCTCCCTATTGCCTGAGACACACAATATTGAGATTATGCCAGTTAATAACCCTGCAATGCCTCTAAATGTTCAAATGAAAGGAAGAATCTCATGTCTCTCACTTTAAATAAAATTCTAGAAAGGATTAAACTTGGTGAGAAAGGCATGTTGAAAGCCAGAATACGCTGAAGGCTAGACCTCTTGCACCAAACAGCCAAGTTGTGAATGCAATGAAAAGTTCTTGAAGGAAATTAAAAGTGCTACTTCATAGAACACATGAATAATAAGGAAAACACCTTATTTCTGATATAGAGAAAGTTTTAATGGTCTGGATAGAAGATCAAATCAGCCACAACGTTTCCTTAAGCCGAAGCCAGAGCAAGGCTCTAACTCTCTTCAATTCTCTGAAAGCTGAGACAGGTGAGGGAGCTGCAGCCAAAAAGCTGGAAGCTAGCCGAGGGTGGTTTATGAGGTTTAAGAAAAGAAGCTATCTCCGTAACATAAAAGTACTAGACGAAGCAGCAAGTGCTGATGTAGAAGCTGCAGTGAGTTATCCAGAAGATCTAGCTGGGATAATTGATAAAGCTAGCTACACTAAACAACACATTTTCACTGTAAACCAAATAGCCATCTATTGGAAAAAGATGCTGTCTAGGACTTTCTTAGCTAGAGAGTACGAGGCATCGCCTTTTCTTAAAGCTTGAAAGGACAAGCTGACCCTTGGTAGGAGCTAATGCAGCTAGTGACACTAAATTGAAGTTAGTGCTCATTTTCCCTTCTCAAAATCCTACGGCCCTTCAGAATTATCCTTAAATCTACTCTGCCTGTGCTCTAGGAATGGAACTACAAAGGCTAGATAACAGCACATCTGCTGACAGCATGATTTACTGACTATTTTAAGCCCACTATTAAGACCTACTGCTTAGAGGCAAAAAAAAAAAAAAAAAGGATTTCTTTGAAAATACTACTGCTACTCATTGACAAGACGCCTGGTCACCCGGGAGCTCTGATGGAGATGTACAAGAAGACTGATGTAGTTCTAATGCCCGCCAACACAATATCCATTCTGCAAACCATGGATCGAGGAGTAATTTTGACTTTGAGCTTTTTTGGAAGGAATATATTGTGTAAAGCTGTAGTCACTATAGATAGTGATTCCTCTGATGGATCTGGGCAAAGTCAGTTGAAAACCTTCTGGAAAGGATTCACCATTCTAGATGCCATTAAGAACATTTATGATTTGTGGGAGGAGGAGGTCAAGATATCAACATGAACAGGAATTTGGAAGATGTTAATTCCAACCTTCATGAGTGGCTGAGTGGTTTGAAACTTCCAGTAGATTAAATAACTGCAGATGTGGTGGAAATAGCAGGCGAACGAGAAGTGGAGCCTTAAGATGTGACTGAATTGCTACAGTGTCATGATAAAACTTTAATAAATGAGGAGTTGCTTCTTATGGGTGAATAAAGAAAGCGGTTTCTTGAAATGAAGTCTACTGCTGATGAAAATGCTGTGAACCTCATTGAGATGACTACAAAGGATTTGGAATATTTCATAAACTTAATAAAGCAGTGGCAAGGTTTGAGAGGATTGACTTTAACTTTGAAAAAAAAAAGTTTTGTGGTGGGTAAAAGATGATCAAGCAGCCTCACAGGCTACAGAGAAATATTTTGTGAAAAGAAGAGTCCATTGATGCAGCAAACTTCATTTTTGTCTTATTTTCAGAAGTTGCCACAGCCACCGCAACCTTCTGCAACCACCACCCTGATCAGTCAGCAGCCATCAACATTGAGGCAAGTCCTTCCATCAGCAAAAAGATTAGGACTTGCTGAGTACTCAGATGATCATTAGCATTTTTTAGCAATAAAGTTTGTTTTTAAAGGAAAGTATGTACACTGTTGTTTTTAGACAAAATACCGTTGCACACTGAGAAACTACAGCGTAAACCTAACTCTTATAGGCACCAGAAAATCCAGAAATTTGTATCACTTGCTCTATTGTGATATTTGCTTTATTGCAGCATTCTGGAATTGAACCAGCAATATATCCAAGGTATGTCTGTCTATTGAATTGGCTCAAGCTGTTAGCAGAGCCTTCATTTTTAGTACTTGAGACAGACAGTGGTCATGGTGCAAGGGAAGGTAAATAAGTTTCTCATGAATGCTAATGAGGATTAATATTAATCTCTGTCCTGTCTAATGTTAGATAAATGCTTCCATTTTGTAATCCCCATACCTCATATGCTGTTTCTTATGCCTGTGCCTGACGCTCTATTTGCAGGTATTCTACTGGTCTCTGAATCTAAAATTACAAAAGGAAAGCCTTAAAAATCACACACACTGAACTCCTGAGATTTTCTGATGTTTTTACTCACCATCTTGCCACCCAACAGCATTCACTTGGGAGCTTATTAGAATTGCAGAATCCTCAGCCCCACCCTGACCTACTACATTAGAATCTGCATTTTACCAAGAGGTCCAAGTGGTTTACATTCACGTGGAAGTTTGCAAAGCACTGGTCTACAACGGTGGTCCATGGAGCAAAGCTTGAGTAGTAAAGCTGTAGCACAGTAGTTCTCAAACTTGATTGCTCATTAGAATCATACAGGGAGCTCTGTAAGCTTCTCATCTCCAGCCTTCACCGTCAGAGATTCTATTTGTTAGAGTGGCACCTGGACATGGATAGCTTTAAAAGCTTCCCCGGTGATTCTGATGCGCAGCCTAGGTTCTCAACACCTTGCTACTCCCAGGTGTGGGCCTCAGACTAACAGACATCACCTGGACCTGGTTAGAAATGTGTCTCTCAGATACCACCCTGGACCTGCTCGAGCAAAATTTGCATTTTAACACATTCCCAGGTGATCCATGATCACGTTGAAGTTTGGGAAGCGTTTACTGGAAGCTGCTTTTGAGAGGCGTTTACTGCAAGTTGCTTAGAGGCAGAATACAAAGTTGAGCCAGTCCCCGTTCTCAGGGGGATGTGGGCCTGTTAAAGGTAACTCCGCTTTTGGAGGGGAGGATTCTCCTAACAGAGGTTTGGGAAAGTGAGTGCTCCTGGCTGTGAACCTGGAAATGATTTCTTCTGTTGTCTTAGGTGTGGTGGTGATAGGGAGTCCCTCCAAACTATATCAGCAGGGATTGATTGATTTTCCTGCTTAGGAAACGTATGGTTGGTGGCGAAGAGTGTGGGTTCTTAAGTCGGAGTGCTTTGGTTCAAATTTTAGTCAATTCTCTGTCTAAGTCATTTACTGGCACATAATCAGTAATCATTTACTGGCACTTAATGAGTACTCAATAAATGTTGGCTATTATCAGTAATAACAGTGCTTGAAATGCTTGAAATGTCTTTAAAACCTCTTCAAAGTCACCCAGTATGAATGGACTGTGGTAAAATCGAATTGACTTGAGATGTTGTTTTTCTGTAATAATAATTCTAAGAGCCTTCAATTCCTTGACTCTGAGGAGGTTTAATGATAGTTTCTTTTATTGTCTTTATAATTACTCTATTTAGAAGCCCCACCTCAACGCAAACAAGGTGACATTTTCTTGTCAAGAGTAATATTATAAAGTCTTTAGTATAGAGAAAATAAGATGTATTGAATAGTTACTATTGCGAAGCAATCCTAAAATTTCATTATTCGTAGTTGGCATTCACTTAGCAACTATTTGAGGATTCAGCACGTAGTATTAATAGTGTTATACTTCGCTACAGGCCTGTCTCTTCTGTTAGGCCGTGGTCTTCTCAAGTTCTACGTTTTGGGACTCAGAGAACCCCTGGCATAGTGGCCAGCACATACTGGGCACTCAGTTTTTGTTGAATGAAGAACTTAATGAGCAGCTGCTCTATAGTAGATACTAAGGTGTCTCCCAAACAGGCAGATCAGATAACTTCAGAAATAACTCTAGTGCAGAGCCCAGAGAGCCAGGCTTCATGGTTCTGAGTTGGGGGTTACTTGCATCGTGGGATGTCACGGAGGTCCTTGTGGGGGTGCTGCATTTTGAGGTGGGCTGTGAAGGCTGAGTTGGCTATGTGTAAAGGGTTGTGGGTGGCGTGGAGCAGGGTGACATGCCAGAGAGAAGGAGCTGAACTATGGCAGAAGGAGCAGCAGCTGCTTGGATTTGGGGACTTGAGAGTGAAGGGAATTGTTAACCTCTTTGCCCCCTGTTCTGTTAATTGTCCAGACTGAACAGGTGTTGCTGCACTCAAAGAGGTTGTAGTCATTATGCAGTTGGCTTTCTAAAGCTTCTGTAACATTTGAGGCATACCAAAAAGTGTAGACAATAATAAACACCTGTGATCTCATCATCCCACTTAGGAAATAAAAGTATTTCAGATGAATTGCAAACTCCTCTCCTCTTTATGCCCCCAGATCTCATTCCTCTCTTTCCTTCCCTACGTAGTGAAGTAACCATGAGCTGCTGATGTTTATCATTCCTTTAGAGATGTGCATCTGTAATCATTAGACAGTGTTTCACACACTTTTCAGCTTCATATACAAGCTATCTTGTTTCCTTTTGTGAAACTGGCCATTGTGTCTGAGTTCTTTCATACATGCAGGTTGCCTTTGCCTGGCAGTGGTGGCTGCTTTTTGAGGACATACCTGTATTTCTAGATTGTCCCTTTCTGTCTTTACCCTTTTTTCCTCAGTATTTGAAATTCATTCTTATTGACTCAGCCCTAGTTTGATCAGTTTAATTGCTGTATAGTATTCATTATGTGAACATACTATAACCTATTTTTTTCATTTTTCTATTTATGGGCATTTTGACTGTCATATTATGTCAAACAGCATGGCGATGTGCACAGAACCTTCATGTGGCTTTTTGGGAACACATGGAAGAACTTCTCTAGTCTGGGTATATATTTAGGAATAAAATTACTGCATGGTAAGTATAATCATTTTCTGGTAAACCAGAACATTCTTGAAAGGGCATATTACATGTTCTTCGAGTGTATAATTTTTATCCACTTCTGTTTAGAAAGTAATTTTTAGTCTTTTAAATCTCCAGGTCCTCATAATCCCCGTATCCCAACAAAAATAGCAGGATCCCCAGGAAAAGCATGGAAAAGAAACTGAAGTGAGGCTGGTCTCCTATCCCTGTTAGGGCTGACACACACTCTGGCATCCATTGGTTAGGTCTGGCGGCCACGGCTTCCAGTGGATCTCAACTCCTGCTGTCCCTGGTTTCTCGGATGCCTCTGTGGCAGTTGTTGCCTGTGTCTGACAGCTGTGTGTGTTGCCTGGCCACTTACGTGTCTGAAGCAGGCTTTGGACAACCAACAGGACAATAAATATTTTCACATCCACGAGCAGAAAAAACAAAACTAGAAATGAAAATAGAAAATCACAAATTACATGAGATTAAGTGTGAATTTAATAGAGCTAAATTGTGTATAATATTAATGACTTAAATCTATTTTGTTGTCTATTTCAGTCAAGTGTGAATTTAACAGAGCTAAATTGTGTATAATATTAATGACTTAAATCTATTTTGTTGTCTATTTCAGTCATTTCTTTAGGACCAGGCTGTGTGTGCTGTAGGAAATTGCAGTCTATAAAATAGTTGTTCAAAAAACTTTAGTGCTATTAAACCAAATCAGTGGCAAAGTTACTTTGTTTTGAACGATGCTGGACAAATGTCTCCTTTCCCTTAAACGGCAACCACTCCAAATAAGCTTAGACAGTTGCCTTTTCTGACTGCTGTCAGCTTGCCATCTGGCTCTTAAAGAGTTAAACTAGAGGTTTGTGAGGTCATGAGTGACTTCATTGGGTCTGGACTTTTGAAGCAGGTCTCTTGGAGGGAAGCTGTGTTGAGAGAGGAGGCTGGGAAGAGGGGGACGTCCTCCTTCAACTTCTTTCAAGTTCGTATCCCTGAGCCCCTGAGGGATCCAGTGGCATTCTGGGAGAATGTCACTGCGGAGTCAGTGTGTAGCAGTTTGTACTTGCAACAGAAGCAGCTTTAGAAGTACATTAAAAGAGCCCTTGCGGAAGATGAAAGTTTGCTGAGCAGATGGAATGGGAGAATGCTCTTCAATTCCTGACAAAATTATGGGCAGACTGTTTGCTGACGAAGGTAACTGGAAATTGGTGTATTGTCTTTGTCTGGTCCTAGGCAGTGCTGGATTATGTATAATTGTAATTGTAGAAACTTCCTTGGATTTGAAAATAGATTATTTCAAATGAAAAGCATTGTAAGGAGATCCTAGGAAAGACTTAGGAAAATGATCATATGTTAATTTCTAAATAAGGATGACAAATGAAGAGTATATTTATTACAGGGTCTACAATGTTTGGGCAAAATGAGATTTTTCCCTAGTGGAGTTGTGCTGCTCTTTGAGGCGCTTAGACATAGCTTGGTGTTCCTAGACTGCATGTGAACTCCAGCTACCCTTTGTGAAACTTCATCCAGGCTGTGGAAGGTCACTAATTTGAGCTTAGTCATGTAGTGGGGTCCGTAATGACTACTGCACAAGGCTATCATTCTTATTTTGGTATATCACTGCTCTGAAGGGAAAGTTGGCTGTGCTGTTAGTATGGAAAGGTGATTCACCTTAGAATTCAACGTTTTACTGAAACTTCAAAGATTAACCAGTTATCTAATGAAAAGGGCATAGGGAGTTTTTTTTTTCCCCCTGGAGCTGAGGGAATTTCAGCCTCACGGTTTCTTTCTGGGAAAGTTTCTGTTGTGATGTTCAACAGGCAGGGGATAAGTGAGGTCAACGATGCTAAAGAAGGGGAATTGAGCCTAGTCCGTTGATATTATGTCCATTTTCAAGATGCCTGGGATTGAAGAATAATTCCTGACCATCCAGAACCCAGCAAGAACTCCAGGGCTTGATCTTCCAGGGTAGTCAATGATTATAACAGGTGTATTTGTGGGTATGCATTGGTAACATTGGCATTGCTTGCCTTGACTATGGATTGTAAGTTCCTATTTCCAGTATTTTTATAATGCCATTTGTCTGGCTAGCCCATCAGTATAACAATTTTGCCTCTTCTGTTTGGACATTTTGTTTCATAACTTTAATAAGAAATGACAAAGAGAATATTTGAGGGAAAAAGGCCATGAAATATATTTTATGAGAGACATAAGCAGAGTGGCTCTGAGTCTGACTTAGGAGTCATAGGCCCATAGGCTTCAGTTTTACTCCTTACAGTTTGGTCTCTAGCAAGTTACTTAACCACTTCTGAAGCTCAGCTTCTTCGTGTATGAAATAGGAATGATAATAGTATCTAACATGAGGGGTGGTGGCTGTGAGGATTAACTAGTGTGTAGTGCATGGGAAGCAATTACCATAGTTCCTTCTGCTCTAAAAGAGCTCAGTAAACATTAATGATCATTGGCTATTATGACGTTTAAATTGTGCTTCCTTATGTGAGGCACGTGAGGACTTCGATGTTAGAGCATGATGGTGATGAATTTGAAGTTGTGGGCAAGCTCACACTGTAAACACATCAGGGCTTCCTTGTGGCCAGGTTCCAGGGTAGCACCTCTGTTCTCGTCTCAGTCAGTTGGGCATCTCTCAAATGCAGCCTTCAGTGGCAACGGGGGCTGGGAGAGGAAAATGGGTAGATTACCGCAGGTCCATCAGCACTTTGTGAAAACATCTGTGTGCTCATGTAGTGTGGAGGGCATGTCAGTTTCATAAATATGGGGAGCAGCATTGTGTACACATGTACCCCATAGGCAGCATGTGACCCACTCAAGAAAGGACTGTCAGAAACTGGCCATTGTGTCTGGGTTCTTTCATAGGTGCAGGTTGCCTTTGCCCAGCAGTGGTGGCAGCTTTTTTAGGACTTGTCTGTATTCCTAGATTGTCCCTTTCTGTCTTTACACTCGAGGAGTTGGTAGCTGTGCAGCTGTGTGAAAGCTGCTTAGCTTCTCTGAGTGCCTGGTCTGAGTTTCCTGGTCTATCACTTGTAGATAATATTTTTATTCCATGGTTATTGAGATTAAATGAGATAAAGTATGTGAAAATGCCTAAAAGAATTAAGTACTAAAGACTTTTTTTTTTCCTGCCTCAAAAATGGCTCAATTTCTTCTGTTAACAGTCAAGGGAAATTTTTGTAAAATTTGTAAATAAGAATCTTGTTATACTTTATAAAGGTCTTACATTTAATTCAGTGTTTCTAAAGCTCTTGTTTAAAACTGTTGTGTGATTAGTTTACGTCACCTGATGTCAGTTTCTTTTTGCCTTCACCACTTTCCAGTGTAGACTGTCATCCTTATGGGTTTTAGATTGAATTTTGATCTAGTTTTCAAAGATATTATGAAAGGAATACAATGCCAACGGTAAAAGTTCCATTGGTCCCACTCTCCAGAAGGAATCTCCACTGTCAGTTTCTAGTCTATCCTCACAAGGCAGAATCTGTGTAGCTCTTTGGGAGCTGATTTGAAACTGCCTTGTTGTTGCAGAAGTACAGATGTGGTAGGGAAAGTTCTGTCGGGCTTGCCAGCTCCCTGTGCAGCTCGGTCCCTCCCTGCAATTCCGTGGCACAGTGTCTGGAATGTCTGGAGCTCCCTTGATGGGAACCGCCTGCACAGCTGGGTTGTGTCACCAAGAGCCGAATGTGCTTGACAGGTCTAGCTCCAGCCATGCTGCTGTGGGACATGTGATTAACCCAGAGTTCCTGTAGGAGAGCGAAGAGCTTGCCTCGTAGCAGAGGGCTGGTCTGAATCCACTCTGGAATCCTGTCCTGAAGTCCTGAGGAGACAGAGCCTGCTTTGGGTTCCAGCTGGGATTTTAGTCATTGTTTAGCTGGCCGGAGGCTGTGGTTCAGTTGGCCCTTTGGTCTATTGTTATATTTGGCTTTTTGTCATGAATATCTTTGGGTGGAGGTAGAGTAGAAGGTGCTGAATATGGAGTTGGAAGATGTAGGCTCAACTTCCGGCCTTGTTGTTTACCAGCTATGACTTTGGGTAAGACTTCCTTGGTCCTCAGTTTCTTTACTTGCAAGATGGGACTATTGTGAGGATGAAACAAAATAACTATGGGAAAGTGCTAGATGGACTGCAGAGTGCTCTGTGGATTTTTTGGTTTGTTTATCTTATTGGATGTTCAAAGGACAGTGGCTTATTCCTCTTACCTGTTGAGATAGACTGAACTGTTGATGCTTCGCAGGCCAAGGAACAGTTGTAGCTGTCTGGTGTTCTGGTGTCCTTGCACTTTGTCTCGCTTTTGTGGAGATCTTTTGTCCCCTCTGTTCTTGAATGCTCCTGGTATGCATAAGAACCTGTATTCAGAAGGGAGGGGGGGCAATAGAGTTTCTGTGCCCAGCATGTTCTTAAGGAAGCCACTCCCTTTTGTTGATTCAGCTGGTCCTTTATTGAGGCCCTGCTTTTTAGCAGGGGAACCTCTGTTGGTCCAACTCTGCTATTGATGGTGAGACTTGGGAAGAGTCGCGTCCTCTCATGACCCCTCAGTTTGCCCATCTGCAGAGGGGGTTGAGCTACAAGACCTTTTTGTGCATGGGGAGGAGAGATAGTGACTATCTTTCCTTTTCTACTTCTCCTTTACCTTGCTGTATTCACCGTCTTACTGGGCAATTTTTGCCTCCTTTTAAATAACTTACGACAATTGTCTTAGAAAACATAGGACAAGTGAGTAATGAGGCTGAACTTCTAGCTGAGATGCCATGTTGACTTCTGAGAACTAAATGAATGAAAATCTCTTAAGGGTGACAGGGTGTTAAGGATGAGTATCAAATTGTCTTGCCTATAATCTGCTGATCTTGACATCGCTTTGTTTTGTAATCATCCACAGCTGATCATCTTTGATCAGGGCTTCTGGGTCTCAGATCCATTGTTATAGGAGCTGTGAGTACCTGAAAGGAGCCAGGGAGAAAGGATGTCATGACAGCTGGTGGCTGAAATAGAGATGCCACCATGAGAAGACATGGAGAATGAATATCTTTCAGCGTGAGGCAACAATCCCTTTGGGACAGGGGAGGGGCCTTTGCCAGGCTATGTGGGAGATGTTTGCATTGCTGTGGTTCTGGTTTTCAATGCTTTTCATCCATCCTGGTTTTCTCAAGCTCTTTATTATCTGTATGTTGTTGAACAGAGAAGTACATCTATCCTGTGTGGACATTTTAGTCTAGCTTTCCCATGGCAAGACTGAATTCCTAGATGACAGTAATAGGATAACATTTGTATTTCTTCAGTATTTTGCTGCTGAAAAGATAAACAAGAAGAGTTAAATCTGTCTCTGCAGCTGATTAACCAGAAGGCTCATTAATAGCTCTAGTGGTGGGAAACAGTCACTGGCTGCTAGAACTTGTGCATCTAGCAAGTCCCTTGGGGAACTCATCGATTGGACCAAGGGTTGGAGACCCATGGAAGATGTGCTTCTGGTTGAAACAGTTTACCTTAGATATAAGGAGAAAAGTTTACCTTAGACATGAGGGAAGTCATAGTTTCAAAAGACAAGGTCAGTCAGTAAGAGGAAAGAATCCACCTCAGAGATTCATTGCAGAAGGTCACTTCCAATAGATGGCATGGCTGATAGTAGATTTGTAATTACTGTAGCGCCTCCGAATGATATCTGGCCTCATGGGAGCATGTAGCCTATGAATGCTGTTGCCATAGTTGTGAGTAGGAGGATAATGCCGATATTTCAGGTTTCTAGAAATGTAAATGATACCTAGTATAGACCTCGGCCAACATGTAAGAAGAGGCAGATGAAAAATATTGAAGTGCTGTTAGCATAAAAATAGCGGACCATTCAGCCGTAGTTTACATCTCGGCTGATATGAGCGACTGAAGAGAAGGCAGTTGAGGTGTCTGATGCATAGTGCATGGCCAAAAATAGTACTGTAATAATCTAGAGGGTTAGACAGGCACCAAGAAGTGAGCCGAAGTTTCATCATATAGAAATGATAGATGGTGTGGGAAGATCAATGAATGAGTAATTGTCTGTGATTGGAATTCTCTGTTTTAGACCCTTTCATTTGCAATGTAAGTGGAAATTCTGTTGATTTAGGACTTGGCACTTTTTACTAAATCCCTTTACCTTGCATAAGTTTTCTAACAAGTAGATGAATACCTATTTAGTTGCCAGGTGTATAAATGCTGCTTCGGGACTGGAGGCAGCGATATGGCCAACAGGTGTAGAAGATAAACCTAAGGGTGATCTAAGGTGATTTTGGCCTTGGATTTTCTGACATCTTGACCTTTGGAAGCAAATCTGTCTCATCTTGCATTACAGCTTTGAATTCATCATTGATTGACTTTGTGGAAATTGCATAGCTGAGCATTTCTTAAAAGCTTAAACATGAGGGAACCAAGAAGTATCCGCTTGAAATGTAGCCAAAGAATGGCAGTTGCCACATTTTTGTATGACAATAAACAACCTAGACCATAATCCCCACCGTCTCTGCATTCCGCCCCAACCTAGGGTGAGTTTACTGGTCATTCTGGGACTCCTCTGTGAGCAACAAGCCAGTGTTTTGATAGTAATTTCTTTCTTTAAAGGAGAAAAACATTTTTAGTAACAACAAAAATAGGCACCCACCACTACACATACATACAAGAATATTTCTAGAAGCACCCCTACATGAGAGAGAACATACAGCACTTAGATTTGAGCCGCAGTCTTATTAAGCGTTTAAAACTTAATCACCACTGCTACAAGCTGCTTCTCAGTTGCATGCCTGGCTTGGCTGCCTCTCCATGGGAGGTGGCCATTTCCTGAGTCAGCAGTATCTCTTCCTGTGGCACCCAGTTCTTCTTGGGAGGTCTCAGGGCCATGCAACCAGGGGACCAGCTCTGGCAAGAGGCTAAGAGATCCATCTGCAGATGCTAGGTTGCAGGCCAAGGGTGGGGTTGCCCTACGCAGTATGTATTCAGTATCAAAATCCATGTTTTGTTGGCTGGGGTAGAAGTCATATTTATGTTGTGTTGCGTTCAGTTTTAGGAAAACACATCTGAAGACTGTCTGATGTAACTGTACACCAACATGGTTAAACAGTGAATGCCTTCTTTTAGAGAAAGTTACTTCACTGTAAAGGAAGTAACAGGATTTAGGGATTTTTTTTTTTAACTCTCGAAAGCTTGTGTATCTTGTGATCAGTAGCTAGCCTTTTTGTGTTCTGATGCTGTTCTTTTCACCTGCTTTCTTGATGACACGTGTTCCTTCCCCTCTTTTCTTTCTCTTCCCTGCCTTTGCAGTCTGCTTTATCTTCAACATTCTTTGAGTTGTCATGGGTCTTTTTCTTCCCTGAATATTTAACCAGGCTCATGTCTCCCCGATTGTTTCTGCAGCCCACATCCTATCTTGCTGATTCTCACTAGCCATTCATGGAGGAGGACTTTAAGTTGTTATGCTGCTATGGCCATTGCACATCCAAGGCCAGCGTGACTCTGATCCCAGGGTAGCCTTGTGTTTGCGGGTGCCACAGAGGGTCACCAGAAAAGCATTGTGCTGGGAGTCAGGAGACTTTGGCTCTGGCCCCAGCTCTGTTTATATCTAAGTTCTTCATCTCTCTCTGAAGCTTTCTTTTACTTATCTGAAAAATTAGATTTGGTTAAATAATTCACATGGTGTATTCCACCTCTGAAAACTCATTACTTGACGGTACGAAATCATACTAATTCTGGCTCCTTAGATTAGTTATTTGTGACCAGTTAGGATCGTTTATTCAAAACAAATTGAAAACAACGAGGATACTGGGATTGGAGCAGGTAGAATATACCAAAAAAGTAGCAACAGTGTGCATAGCTTGCCCAGTGATTAAGGCAGAGCAAGGGGAGGGAGGGAGAGAGTGCTTTTGGCTGGTTTGCAGTCTTCCTGGGCTGCCTACACAGCTTGACGTTTTGCATTGTTCTTTCATGGAAGTAACATCCACTGGTTATCTTCACTCTGAGTTGACTGATGGGAGATATTTACTTTGAAACCCCAATTGCACCTTTTCCAGGAAGGGAAGCACCAGGACAGTAGGAGATCATACTGCAGTCTCTTTTCCTTGGCTCAAGTGACTGGTTGATGGTGCCTCTTCTCCATCCCTTTTCAGAGGGGCCTGGTTTCTCGCATGAAAGCAGAAGTGTGCGCCTCAGCAGCGGAAGTGAAACCAGCATGTAAGAGGTGAAAGGCAGTGTCGAGGCCAAATCGGGAATTTCTTGACTCTTGCTTATCCAGGACATGGGTATTGTAGGCACAAATTGAGGCGAATTTTTCTCCCTTTAGAGTTAAGGGAGCATGGGATTGGCAGGGTGGGGCCTGGGGTTTTCCTGGTACTTCACATGAGCTCTGTCTTTGGCTGTGTCACCTACCCGTTTCTGAGCTGACCTCATCTTTAAAATGAGGTTGTTGGGCCAAGCCAAACAATTTAGGGTTTTTTCCAGCACCAACCTGCCATAATCTGTAATTTCCCTCTTCATGAGCAAGACCCCTAGAGAGATGTGGCAAGTGAGGGCAAAGGGAGTTGAGACCAGTCGGTTTTGCCGGCGCCTCCCGTGCATCCTGCAACTTCTATCCAGGCAGAGGCCGTCTTTTAATTTCTGCACAGCACTAAGTCCAGGTTACCACAAGATGTTTGAAAGTTGATTGTTACTTTTGGTCAGTGTACTGATTTGTTGGCATTTGTTGATCATTTGTCAGCAGTCCGTGACCCTCTCTGCCAGGAATACAACCTCCCAGAGACATTCATGGCTTCCTGGTGTGAGTTTCCCCAGGAGTAGCAGTAGAACCTTCGAACCCCTGTACCTTCACAAGGAACATGTTTCCCTGCAGGGCGTGGTAGAAACTGTTCTATCGTTAGTTTCCGCCCCCTACGTTTCTGTTCATCTGATTTTTCTTCAAAAGCCTCAAGGACATTCGTAGCCCCACAGCCTCTGTTAAATGTTGGCATTCAGGTTGAAGGGCCTACTTGTGCCCTTGAGCCTTGGAGTGAGGTTTAGCAGGGAATATCACTGTTTCTCTAGAGAAATATTTACCTTTGCCTTCTTGGTAATGATATCACAATCAAAACATTTGTATTGCTACTGATACGGTCAAACACATGCGTTAAATGGCTTATTAAGAATGTTTTTTGATCATGAGGGAATCTGCAAATCTTTCTTCTATCTCTCTTTCTTTTGCTTCCACAGGGTAACTTTATAGTCAAATTGATAAGCATTTAATATACATCCCATCTCTACAAAGAATACCAGTCTAGTCACTCCCAGAGAGTGGAATGCTTTCGCTAGGCTCATACCATTGATTTAGGCGAACAGTATTGAGTGGAGATTATTACAAATGCATTTAATTATTCATGCTATTGGTCAAGAAATATAAAGGATTTCATTTAGATGTGTTTATTTTCTTCCAAACAGTAACTTCAGTATTCTTTCCCATAAAATCCTGAGACTAAGTGACCAGTTTGAGTTCCCTTCTTCCGCCATTTATTTTAATTTTTTTTGTAGAGGTGGGGTCTTGCTATGTTGTTCTGGCTGGTCTCCAACGACCGGCCTCAAATGATCCTCCTGCTTTGCCCTCTCAAAGTGTTGGGATTACAGGTGCGAGCCACCACACCCACCCTCTTCTGCTATTTCTAATTGATGCTGCAGTAGGCCTGTGAAACTCCTGCTGTCAGCAGCAGGGAGGGAGAAGAGGGAGTGAAAGAGGTCCAGCGGCCCTCATGGGTGTGGCTGACACTGCCCACAGTGTTGGTGGGGGCCGCCCCAGAGCACTCTCAGTGTGGACGCACCTGTCTTCCGAATGCCGTGCTATGCACCTGGAAGTGACGAGTGAAGGACTGATGAGGGAGTTGCCACCCTGCTTATGTCAGTAAGTCTGAGAATGCAGACAGGACCATGTGAGTGGGACAGTGCAGCCGCCAAAGGCCTAGGGGACCCCATCCACTCCAGGAGACGCAGGGTTTCTTCAGCTCACTACTGAGATGACAGCCGTTCCTCTCGCCATCCTCTTCAAAGTCATATCTATGATCAATACCCTTTAACTCATAAATTACCTATAATTTATGCTGCCAGCTTCTTGGAGTAACAGAATCTCAAATCAGAATGGTAGTAATGAAATATTCTTTTTACTTTCAAAGCAATATTCTAATAGACAAGATACCATATTTTTACCTCATGTTTTTCCTTTAGAATATACTTATCCTCAAGTTAAAATTTTATCCCCTTTACATAACAAGATTTTAGAAAATCTAGGCCAGTTTGAACTCCCATGACGTGCTTTGAGCCATCCATGGCTGTACATTCCCAGATTTTAGTGCAAAGCCTTTCCCACCAATTTGGAATGAACTGATCATTGTAACCAGCTTTGTATGAAAC
This sequence comes from Homo sapiens, assembly GCF_000001405.40. NCBI lineage: Eukaryota > Metazoa > Chordata > Mammalia > Primates > Hominidae > Homo > Homo sapiens. The sequence goes on along the minus strand of NC_000008.11, from coordinate 18,844,899 downwards.
ACTTGTTTCGGATCCCAGCGCTGTAGTGATGTCATTTTCTTTATACCCAAAGTAAATGCTATGCAGAGTAGCTTATTCTGGAATTTGGCTGTACGATTCTTCTCTTGGTTAAAATCTTCCATAGCAGAGGAGCCCTGCTAAGTGAACAGTCTCTCTTACACATTGGTTTTTGTGCTTCTAACTAACTTTTCTAATAATCTTATTTTTCCCTGAGAAAGCAATCCATCCTATTTAATGTGGAGTAGGGGTTGTGGTTGGAAATGAAAACAAATCCAGTATGTTCTAGTCTGATTTTTTTTTCTTTTTTAGCATCAGTGTGTTTTCAGTAGAAGTGATTCAATCTTAATGTGGTTTGGGCTCAAGGGTAGAGAACAATAAGAGCTATAAATATAGTAGACAAGAGGGGGATCATGTTTAGTCAAGATAAAGTCTACTTTAAGTTGTTTCCATGTAAGACCTTGAACTAAAAAGAGGAAAGGTGTTAGATCTCCTAGGACTCATTATTAGAGTTTTAAAGTTTCTGATGGAAGGTATAAGTGTCTATCTTAAATTATTTATATATTAATGAAATACAACAGGGAAAAGATCAATTTGTAAAAAATTTCACCATCTTTAGAATTCTCAGGGGACCCAAGGGAGAAGGGGAACTTTATTTTCTTTCTTTCCATGGTACCTTCGTATTTGAAGACTAATTATCAGAACTCTTGGAGTTTTTAATCCTGGGGAGATACAGCTCTTAGATAATTATAGGTAATTTATGAGTTAAAGGGTATTGATGGGAGTCTTCCCATAATTATGTTAAAATTTGGAACCCCATAGAGCCAGCTGCTGGACATCTGTCTTGTGGGACCAGAACTCAAAACCCAATGGACAGAACCTTGTGTAGGGTTAACCTTGTTTTTTTAAATCAGGATATTTGTCTTCATAGCCCAGCTTGCCCATTTCCTGACAGTATTGCCTTGGGTAAAAAAAAAAAAAAAAAAATAGTCTATCTTATAAAGTGGTTATAGAAGACCTACTTCCTGGAGATATTGTCAGGATCAATTGAGATAATGCTTGTGAAGTGCTTGACATGGTACCTGGAACCAGTAAGTGCACAATAAATATTGTCAACTGTCATTCATCACCATCACCACCATCATCAGTACTGGAATATACCTCTATTTTACCATGCTTTTGATATTAGTTCCCTTAATCACAAAGCCCAGATTAGCAACAAATAACAGTATGGCACACTCATTACTTCTCTACTTCTCTATTCTTTGTACCGTTTTTGATGCCCTTGGGTCAGGGGTGTTAGGTGAGGACTGAAATTGTATCTCAAAGCTGTTATTAGAAGAGGAGAACGCATTATAAACCCAGAATACAGAGTGCTCTGAAGTATCTTTCCATGGAGGAGGGGTTTTCCTAATACCTCTTATATTACTTCGTTATATGAAGGGAAAGGGAAGAAAATGGAGAAATTAAAATATTCTTTGAATTTTGCTCAGATGTTTAGGTATGGTGATTCTAATTCCTCATGCTGCAACTTGTCTACCTAGAGCAATAACTCTTTTTTTTTTTTTTTGAGACGGAGTCTCGTGCGATCTCGGCTCACTGCAAGCTCCGCCTCCCGGGTTCACGCCATTCTCCTGCCTCAGCCTCCCGAATAGCTGGGACTACAGGCGCCTGCCACCGCACCTGGCTAATTTTTTTGTATTTTTAGTAGAGATGGGGTTTCACCGTGGTAGCCAGGATGGTCTCGATCGCCTGACCTCGTGATCCGCCCGTCTCGGCCTCCCAAAGAGAGCAATAACTCTTGCTACTGGGTTCCTCTAATACTACTGATGGTTTTATGTTTTTATTAACAGCTATAGCAAAGGCAGCCTTTTTGAGTGGCATATTGACTGTGGAAAAAATAACATGGAAAATGAATTTATCTTTATAAAAGAATGATATGAAAATGTATGGGTTTTTGCTCAAGGAAAGTCCATGCCTGGTTCCATGTGTTCTGGCAAGAGGGAACTTCTGAGGAAGGCTTCTTCTGTACCTTAACATTGCATGAGGCTTCATTTAATCAGTGCATTCATCCCTGATAGATGTTTGTCTAAAACCTTTGCTGAAGAGCTCTTCTTCACTGAATATTAATAGTCTGTATACTAGTAAAGCCATACAATTTTTTTTTTTTTAGACGGAGTCTCGCTTTGTCGCCCAGGCTGGAGTGCGGTGGCGCTATCTCGGCTCACTGCAAACTCCGCATCCCGGGTTCACGCCATTCTCCTGCCTCAGCCTCCCGAGTAGCTGGGACTACAGGTGCCTCCCACCACGCCCGGCTAATTTTTTGTATTTTTAGTAGACACGGGGTTTCACCGTGTTAGCCAGGATGGTCTCGATCTCCTGACCTTGTGATCCGCCCGCCTCGGACTCCCCGAGTGCTGGGATTACAGGCGTGAGCCACCGCGCCCGGCCAAAGCCATACAATTTTGTGAGAGCTATTTATCTTAAATTATCCAGATTGCTCTCAAAGAGAACCAAAATTGTTTTTCCCATGTAAATCCCTTATGAGAGCATTTTTATGTCCTACTTCTAAGTAGTCTCTACAGCGCAAAAGGGTTATAAAATGCCATGTAGACTTTGGAACTGTGCAGTCTTCAGCTGCCTTGGGTTTATGGGAATTCACATAGTGATGTCGCATAGAGTAGCTGTGGCTTTGGTCTAAGCTGCTCTGGCTGTGGGCCAAATGCTAGTTGGTGTAATCCTCTGTCAGCAGATGCCAGGCTCATTATGGACCCAGCAGTAGGTACTTTTTGCTTCTTGGTATTCCAAGACTTTGGAAATCCTGGTTAACATGGGAAGATGGTGAGGTCTTACTGGGTTTTTGGCCTTGGAAACAGCAGAGGAGAGCCATCCACTGCCTTTCTGCTCCTGTGACACGTGGGCAGGGTTTCTGGCAGCTCTTCCTTCCCTACCTCTCCACTGGTCTGAAGTATTGTTTAGAAATAGAGTAGGTTTTATATCAAAAGTCTAGTTTTTTTTAAAGTCTTTAATGAAGGGATTAGGGTCTCTTTACTAGCTAATGTGTTTAGATTCATTTTGTCATCCTCATGTGTTTAGGGCTTCTCCCCCAGGTGGAATGGTGTAGAAGAATCTTTCTATGCCTGTCTTTCAGAGACTTCCTGAAGATGGTTCATTCATGTTAGCGCCAGATGGAGGTCTCTTGAAAACTCAAAGAATTTTGGCTATCTTCATTATACTTGAGTCGCCTAGGCATGACTGGTTGATACTAGCTGGGCACAGACCAGAGAAGCCCACACATTCACCAGTGTCCTGCCTCTTACCCACTTCAAACAATGCCTGCTCTTCCACATGAGACCTAGAGAGCCCCGTCTGCTCTCTCCATGCTAGTGAGTGTTTAAATTCAGTGTGTGTGTGTGTGTGTGTGTGTGTGTGTGTTTAAATAGCAGACACTCTTAAAAATAAAGATTTACTAAGAACTTTAAGTTTTATCAGCTGTTTGAAAGTAGAGCTGCTTTGTTGAGAGCCTGAATGGGAGCTGCTGAGCTCCACTCTCTGGGCCTCCCCAGCACTCCCAAGGTGCTGTGTTTTAGTGGGCTGCCCTCGCTGAGAATACACAACAGACTTTTTTTCCACGCAGTGCCTGAGCATGCATGAATATTGGCATACACACTAGCCAGCCATAACAAACACAGCAGTCTGCTAAGCCATCCAATTAGTGTGGTTACTACCTAGCTGCCTTAGGCCTGAGTTGTCAATGCTGGCAGCAGGCTTAGTAGGTGGTTTGGGTTGTAAACTTGATTTTTACCCAACTGAAATCATGGGACTTTCTTCTGCTTTCTATCCTCTACTTAGGTTCTTGTTTTAGTACTTTTAAAATAGAGCATGATATTCTAATAACCTTACCAAGTGTAGTAGACTGTAGTAGAATTTTAGAGGGGCAAGGTGCATTCATCTATCTCGAGACACACACACACCCAGATGAATGTACTGATCTCGAGGAAGTAAGACAACTTGCCCAATGTCACACCGTTAATAGTGAAATTGGAACTAGAATTCCCTTTATATATTCTGTATTCCAGAATATTATCATCATGTGCCTCTCCAATCTGACTGCTGTCTGTGAATCTGCTGTCCCACACTGGCCTGACAGACCTCTCCCAGAGAGGCAGGATAAGCTGTAGTTCAGGGTGTGGTCTCTAAAGTCAGACTGCCTGGATACACATTCCAGCTCTGCCACTGGCCTGCCGTGTTATGGGAAACCTAGCACCTGTGCTTTGTTTTCCTCATCTGCCAGGTGGACATACTAATAATACCTACTTCGCAGGATTGTTGTGAAGATTAAATGTGTTAATGCCTGTAAACGTCTTAGACCAACCTGGAATATCGGAAGTGCTTAGTACACACTAACTATCGTTTTTGTCTGAATGCTTTGAATGACAGTGGGGACAAATGAAAGCTCATGATAGATCCCACTGAAATGTTTTTCTCAGCTTGAGTAGACCAACTAGGGTTCATTTAAGGACAGCAGAATGTCTGTACCAACCCTACCAACCCCCTTCAGGTCATCTTTGGGAGGCCAACATGTTCATCACAAGTGTTTGAGACATTTTGGTTTAATGCACCCCACACAACTTCCCCACCTATTACTCAGAGTGATTGAGGGTTTGAGGCTTAGCTGCTGAGAATGATGTGGGGGGGACATTTGCAGGTGGGTGGTAGTTCTCATTAAACTCTTCTGGCTTTATTCACTTGGCATTCACATTCCTTTGATTTACTGTGGAGTGATTTTGCTCAAGACCTAGAGAACAACAGGATCAGCATTAGGATTCTTAAAGGTCCATGGAATGACTACTTTCTACTAAGCACAAGCCAGTATTTTGTTCCTCCATGTAATAATGTAAGTTATTATGTAGAATTCAACAGTTTGTGGGAGGGGAGAAGTTTTTATGGAAGGGTGGCACTGTCTGTCTCTGTGAATGATGTGGGTGAGATAACCACAAAGTATTGCTAAGTAACTACCACATTTGTCAGTCCACTGCCATCGACTGTGTGGGAGGCAGGGAAGACACAGTGTGGAGCTAATTTGTGTCATCCCTGTGTCATGGGAGAGTTATAGCCAAGCCCAAGTGTTGCTTTGCGTGATGAGTAAGATACTTGGAGGAGAACTCTGATCTTACTTGAGTTCCACGTGGAGTTGACTTACAGTGGTGATGCTGGTGGTGAGTGGTGTGTTCTATAACTACTGGAGCTGCAAAACCTTCTGAGGAAACGTGTTTTTCTCTGGGTGAGTAAACCTGGTTCCTGCTTACATTTGCAGAAGTGTTTCTCCTTAAAGTAGGCCGCCTCTGTGACTGCCCGGAACCATCATTCCCCTTGGCTTTGCTGCAGCAAACAGACTCCACCTTTAAAGAGCTGAGGAGTTGTGGGAGGAAAAGCAAATGGGAGGTGTTCTCATGTCGCAAGAGATGCCAGGGAAATTCACCTTTGGACAATAGATCTTTTACAAGGCAAACTTGGCCCCACTGTTTTTGGTGTTTATCCTGTTTCATGCTTAAGAAAATATTTTCCTATAAAAACATAGAAACATTCAGCTGAGTTTGTGTCTAAAAGTTCGATGGAGAAAATTTGGACTTGAAATGTCTCTTCTGTCCATGCTCTGTATTGGTAATGCCAGAAACTGATGAACTCACCACATTTACACTTGTAAATGGTATGTCTGTGCTCAAGTTAGGATCCTGGGAAGCAATTGCGGCTCTTCTGGGTAAGATGAGCTGCAAGCAGCCTGGCTGTTTGGGAGAGAGCTCAGTGCAGGAAGTAGTGTTGGAGCTTTAGTTCCCTTTTTAAAGGCCTCTCCCTTCTGCTTGTTTTAAAGTTGGTTTTGAGTTGTCTGTCATCCCATTTGTATGATAAGCCTTTTCCTCAGGCTTTTCATCTATAGGATATTCAGAGACCAATTAAGATGATTGAGAAACAAATAAGACCTAGTGGCAAAACCTTTTGAAATGCAGTTTACTAGCTTGTGAGCCACTGAAGTCTTACTTTTTTCTTGAACATTATTATTATTATTATTATTATTATTATTATTATTATTATTATTATTTGAGACGGAGTCTCGCTCTGTCACCCAGGCTGGAGTGCAGTGGCGCTGTCGCGGCTCACTGCAAGCTCTGCCTCCCGGGTTCACGCCATTCTCCTGCCTCAGCCTCCCGAAGTAGCTGGGACTACAGGTGCCCGCCACCACGCCCGGCTAATTTTTTGTATTTTTAGTAGAGATGGGGTTTCACCATGTGAACCAGGATGGTCTTGAGCTCCTGACCTCATGATCCGCCCGCCTCGGCCTCCCAAAGTGCTGGGATTACAGGCATGAGCCACCACGCTCAGCCGGAACATTATTTTTAAAAACAGAACTTTGGTTTGCACATACTCAGTTGCCCCAACTTCATTTATTTATTTTTAAAGAGGACAGGATACATTTACTGAATAATATTTACATTTATGAAGCGCAGAAATGCTTTTGTAAAGCAGAAGACACAAAGGAGGGTCAGACGATTTCCTTTCATGGAAACCCGTTTTGTTCACTTTCCAAGCATGGTGAGGCATTGCTGACCTTTAGGTAATTTTTCGTACTTAATGTTTCTTGATCACATAAAGCCATCGCTCTACATGAAATCAGAACTGAAGCGCTACTGTCATTGGCAGAATATTGTTTTAGAAATTAAAAGTCCCACTCAGGGTTGTAAGGTGAATACAGTATGAGCTGTGTCAGATGGCATTATATGATTTCACAAATTATTAATGAGTTAAGCCATATGATTCATTTGATCAATGAGATAACTTAAAACCTTTCATAATTATGTTCTTTAGTAGAGAAATTAGGGAGCTGTGTCTGTACACGACAGGTATTTACAACAGTCCTCTATCATTTCATCCCAGAGTGACTCTCCCCTTACCTACTAGCCATCTGCCTGATAGACAACTGGCATCTTCAAGATCAAACAAATCATGGGTCTGATTGAGATTAGTGAACAGCCATCCTTGTTCTTAATTCAAGTGGAGAATTACTTGAACATCTCAGAGATGACTAGTGCTTTTATTTTTTTAAATATGTTTAAATTTTAATTAAATATATAGGGACGGGGTCTTGTCATCTTGCCCAGGCTGGTTTGGAACTCCTGGGCTCAAGTGATTCTCCTGTTTCAGCCTCCCAAAGTGCTGAGATTACAGACGGAGCCACCATGCCTGGCCTAGAGTACTTTTAGAGTTTAGTCTCATTTCAGTTACTATCTACATTTATCATCTTTTGCCAGTGAGTATTAAAACATCAAGAACTAAATGGTTTGACCTAAAACCTCCACTTAATCCCAGTTACCTATGAGGAATACACTATTAGAACAGAGAGCAGAAGCATGATTAGTTTCTTTTAGAGCCCCCTCTGATTTTTATTGAACTTGCTCCTACTCCTCTTGAGCTTGGCGTATGCATAGGAATGTTTATTTTACCTGTTTTAAGTGACGTTTACTTGGAAGCATTTGAGTAGTTTATAAATACATGGTGTCATAGTATTGGCTTGTGTCAGGAAGACTTGCTTACCACAAAGCAGTGAAGTCTCAGTGGAGAGCTGGCCCCTGGTCTACAGAGTGACCCAGAGCTGGGTCATGGCTGGTTCAAGAGCGTCTCACATTCGCTGTCTATCTTATACTGTCTGGATCTTGAGTTTTTGCATGTGATAAGCCATCCACTTTTTGGGAATATATATGCTGTCTCTGTCACTGCTATCTGGGATTCAGTTTCTAGTTTCTGACCATAGCTCCTCACTCCTACCTTGTAGGCTCCTAGCTCAGTCCCTTTCTCTCCTTCTGGATATTTAGTTAAAAGCCTTGCCATCAGATCAAACCGGAAACAAAACTTGATTTGAGCAAGGTCTGCATGTGTATTAAAAAAAAAAAAAAACACGTAAGAAACTTGAATTTTTTTTAGAAGCAAAGTACAGTCAGCCCTGGTATCTGTGAGTTCCACATCGCATTAAACCAACTGTGGATCAAAAATATTGGGCGGGTCAGGGGAGGATGGTTACCTCTGTCCTAAACATGCACAGACCTTTTTTTTTCTTGTCATTATTTCCTAAACAAGGCAGAAAAACAATTATTGTCATAGCATTTGCATTGTATTCAGTATTATCAGTAATCTAGAGATGATTTAAAGTGTACCAGACGGTGTGTGTAGGCTATATGCAAATACTACACCATTTTATATAAAGGTCTGGAGCGTCCATAAATTGTGGTATCCAGAAAGGACCCTGGAACTAATCCCTCATGGATATGGCGGGACAAATGTATATATTCACTGAAAACAACTTGAAAAGCACAAAGAAGCAAATAAATCTATTAGTCCACTATTAAAAAATTAGTATTGTTACCATTTTAGTATTAATATATGCATTTCCAACCTCTGTGTGTTTGTGTTTGAGTTTGCATGTGCACAGATAAATAAAATCCACATAAGTTAATGTCCTTTTGGTATTCTATGGTGTAAAGGTAATCTGATTTATTTAAAATAACTGATTCCGAAAGTATGTTGCAGGAACCATTGATGATATTTGAGATAACTGTAGGGAACACCTGAGCATGTTTGCTTTTTAATAATTATATTTTTATTTTATGTGTATTTGAAATTCTAACTGCTGCATCAAACGTGAGTTCAGGGTTACGGTTACTTTGAAAGCCCATTAAATGCGGGAGTCTCCAGCACCTTTTTGGCATCTCACTCAGGTGATTTCGCTAGGTCTCCAGTATTCAGCATGTCAGCAATTTGGTCAGCTCTACCTTCAAAATACATTCATATCTCAACTGTGTTACCACTCTGAATGCTACTCTCATTCAAGTGATCCAGGTGAGCACGGTTTATTCCCATATCTTTGCAACTAACACCCTGCTTTAGTCTTTTCTCAATTTGTTGACTTATCTCAGAGTCAAAGCCAGAGCCTTTACCATGACCTCCAAGTCCCTACACGATCCGCCCCCCCATCTACACCGCATACACCGCTCTGTGGCCTCATCTCCTCCCACTCTTGTTGCTCACTCTGCTTCAGTTGCATTGGCCTCTTTGGCCATTTCTGAGCACGCCGGGCATGCTTCCACCTCGGGGCCTTTGCCTTTGCTTTTCTTTCTCCTTGAAGTGTTCATCCCCAGAGCCCTGCTCTCCCACTTCACATTTTTAATGATTCTCTTCTGTTGGGCACTTACCTGCCTGCCTTTTCTAAAATTATAACTCTTTTCCTCTCACGGTTTCATATTCTCCTTGCCTGCTTCCCCACGGCCCCTTGGCTGTATTACCAACGTACTACGTATTTTACTTATCACTTCTCTGTCCTCTAAAATGTAAGTTCCACGAGGGCAGGGATTTTTGTCTTGTTTTGGTCACTCCTGAATCTAGAAAAGTTCCTGGAATGTAGTATGTAGTAGGCACTCAATAAATACTAGTTGGAAGACTAAGTTAAATAAAAATCATGACCTGACTTAATAATAGTAAATCAATACATGAGGTATAAGGATCTGTAAAAGTCAAAAAGGTGATGAGTAATGCGTGAAAAACAGTGATATGTTGTAAATTTGTTTCTTTTGTGGTCTTATTATAATTATCACTGCAGTAAATACCCTTAAGTAATTTTTGGGTATGTTTATGATTCTTTTCTTAAAATAAATGCTTAGACATATAATTGCTGGTTCTTAGGATATGCATATTTTAAGAGTTGTTAGACCTAGTCCAATATATATCAGATTGTACTTCTGCCTTTAATGTATGAGTGCCTGTATTTCTTCGCATACTTGACTGTCCTTTGTCTAAGTGCTTTTTTATCTTAACCAATTTAATGGCTGAAAAAGCTATCTGAATACCTTAATTTGTATGTCTTTGACATGGATGAGCTTTATTTCCACATGTCTAATTCTTATCTGCTTACCCTTTTTTTACGAATTGCTTGCTCACATCTGTTTTGGTCTAGACTCTGGTTGCAGTGGACTGTAAACCTACTTGAATTAATTGTATTGGATGGATGTCACAGGCGTTGGGTTTATATCCAAGAACAGGATGCAAGGAACAGTGAGACCTCCCAGACACAAGAACTGAAGGGTCTGCTTCTCTCTGCCATCTCTACTCTCCCTTTTTTTCATGGCGTCTTTGTTCCTCTATATAACTCTTCATTCTACCTGGCTTTGGTGTGCCATGCCACTTAGTTCAGCCCCTACTTTATGTGACCTTTCAGTTCACGTACCCAGTCATAGTTTAAGTGCATGGGTATCCGCGGCCCAGATTTCTAGGGTGAGCAGTCTGTTGGATCAGTTTTATCAGCTGGTCACTCCTGTTCCAGTCAGCTGAGGTCAGCATAGAGAGCTGAGGCTCTTGGGGCCTGTTGCCAGGGGCTGTGGATGAATTGACTTCTCTAGCCCTGACACAAGGATGCAGTGATTAGAATGCTCAGTACAATGTATTTTGCCGATTTTTTGATTTGTTGTATTAATCTTTCTCTTATGGGTACCCAAAAGCCCTTTCCATTTGAAGGATAGTATTGCCTTTTGTATAATGGGTGTTTTTCTATCCATTTATCATTTTAATTTTGCTTAGTGGTGTTGCCATGTAATCAAGGCTCAATTAAATCATGATTTCTGCTAGTTTCTAGGTTAGAAATACCTTCTTTATGAGGAAATTATACATTCAAATATATTTTCTTCAAGTTCTCTACATTCTTATCTTTCATGTGCTCTTTGAATTGGATTACATTTTAGAGGGATTAGTGAGAGAAACATCTTTACAATGTTTATTGCAGGAGCATAGTGTTTATTTAACTGTAATTCACTTCTCTCAGCAAAATTTTGTACTTTCCTTATTTTAGTTTTCTTAAGTTTATTCCTAGCTACTTCATAAATTTTATTCTTGGTAGAATTTTTTTCAGTTATGTTTTCTAACTGGTCCCTCATGATTTATTAAAGCTATTGTTTTTATATTTTTGTAACTGACTATCTTACTAGTTGTAATTTTTTGCTTAATATTTTTGGGCTTTACATGTCAACAGTTATATGCAAGTAATTATTTTATTTCTACCTTTTTCTATTTTTTCTTTCATTTCTTTTTCTCAATTTATTGTGCTAGATCTTTTAAAATGAGGATAATAATTGTAATGGCAGGTAGCACATGTCTTACACTGTTGTATTTTTTAGTGATAATTATTCTGACTAGATAACTAAATGCTGTCTAGATAACTGGAATGCTCTGGTAACTTACACAGCAAATACAGGAATGAAACTAGTGGAAAACTCATTTTAACCCCAAAGATTTTCTCCACTGGCTTGTCTTGGAGCCTTAAAATTTCACTCATTTATCAGTCTTTCTGGTCAAAGCACTGCCTCCACAAAGTTCCTGTTAAAATGTATTATACCTGCTAAGATGGCATGTCACATATTTAGTTATCTGATTATTTTCTAATAAATGGTACTGGCCTATTGGGAAAGTGCAAGATGGACCTCAAGCAAAGGGAAAAGTGTTTTGATGGTGCTGTCAGTGTGAGCCTTCATAATGAAGCAGCTGCTCACCTCCACCTTCATCTTCTGCCTGCTCTGTGTTCTTCACACTGTCTCACCTCCGTCCCACAAGCTTCAACCTGAGTGAATGTCCCTTGCTTTTTAAAATATGTCTTGTTATCTTGCCTGGGGCTTTCCTGCTCCTGGTCCTCAGTGTCAGTTTCGCTGTCACTTTCTCCAGGAAGGCTGATGTCCTTAGACTAGGCTATGTGTTCTATTGCATTGCTCCTTTAAAGTAACATTTTAAATCTTTAAAAATAACATTCATCTTTAACATAGTTGCTTTTTAAAAATCATCTCTCATGGCTGCTCAATTATAACCTCAAACTGCCATGCCAGAGAGCATATCTGCCTTGTTTACTGATATGGTTTGGCTGTGTCCCCACCCAAATCTCATCTTTAATTGTAGTTCCCATAATCCCCGTGTGTCATGGGAGGCACCTGGTGGGAGGTAATTGAATCATGGGAGCTATGCTGTTCTAGTGATAATGAATAGGTCTCACCAGGTCTGATGGTTTTATAAAGGGCAGTTCCCCTGCACCTGCTCTTTTGCCTGCCACCATGTAAGACATGCCTTTGCTCCTCCTCTGCCTTCCACCATGACGATGAGGCCTCTCCAGCCATGTGGAAGTGTGAGCCCACTAAACGGCTTTCCTTTATAAATTGCCCAGTCTTGGGTGTGTCTTTATTAGCGCTGTGAGAATGGACTAATATGTTGACCATTATGTCTGACACACAATAGTCACTCAGTGTTTCCTAAGTTAACAGTTAAAAGGGGGTTGGAGGATAATGCTTGACATGTTATTGGTGAACTTGAGCAACCACAGTGAGCTGTACTGGTTGGCAGAAGTAGCGGCGTAGGGAAATTGGAGTTGAAAGGAGTGTGGCCAATAAGCCTGTGCCCAAAACGTTTGAGTTTTATCCTGATGTGAATCTATGCAGAACTGAAGGGAAAGCCTGCCTTCTGTTTACTGGAGTTGTGCACAGTTTTGAGGAATTTGAAAAAAAAAAGCAGTTTTATACATAGATGACCTCTGTGCATCCTTGGACGTGAAGCAAGATATAACCCTATACTTTATACTTTTATCCTTTAATTTCCTTACTCTTTAGGGTTGCAGTGATACATCCACTGGGCTTTTACAGCATCTAAAATGGCAGGCTGGCTCATAAAGTATGAGAACTCCACCTATAATAAAGACCATATTTCAAGAGCTAGAGTGAAAAAGGCAGTTGGAGGAAAACACAGGAATGTACATAAAAGTATTTGGTGCTGTTTTGTTGGCAACAGAAAGGAAGGTTTTTGCTTTTGTGAGCCTGGATGGTTCCAGTTTATGAAAATGTTTTCAGAAGTTAATACAAAGACATTGTTTCAACTTTTCTCAAGTTATAGTAAACTTACCTTTCTTCCCATACTTTTTCTATTTTTTTTTTGTTATATTTATTCTGTTACTATAAATTACACACTGAACTCAGAACTGAATATGAATAGCAAGACCAAATCCTTTTTTGGCTATTTTCTATAGCTTATTTATTTGCAACATGTCTTCATGAGGGAACCTGTTTGATGTCGTGTTTGTTTGTTTATTTTATTTCATTTGTTTATTTTTTGAGATGGAGTCTCACTTTGTTGCCCAGGCTGGAGTGCAATGGTGCCATCTCAGCTTACTGCAACTTCCGCCTCCCAAGTTCAAGCAATTCTCCTTCCTCAGCCTCCTGACTAGCTGGGACTATAGGCGCCCGCCACCACTCCTGGCTAATTTTTGTATTTTTAGTAGAGACTGGGTTTCACCATGTTGGCCAGGCTGCTCTCAAACTCCGGACCTCGGGTGATCTGCCTGCCTCGGCCTCCCAAAGTGCTGGGATTACAGGCATGAGCCACGGCATCTGGCCTGATGTCATGTTGAACTGAGGGTTGACCTTGGAGAACTGGAACTAAAAATACGGTGATCAAACTGATTTTATGTGAAATTACTATATGACTAATAAAATTAAGCAAGTTGAGACTGCTAATCCTGGTACATTGAGTTAGGTGGTACTATACTTAAGTTCAGAGCCATTCTAGAGCTGCAGAAGGGTGTGTATTTAATACTTTCACTTTACAGATGAGGAAGCTGAGATGTTAAGTGACTTGATTGAGGTCATGCAGGCGTTTAGCTTCAGAACCAGATTAATAGTAGCTGCCCTATTTTATGCACTTAGGTGCACTCCTACCCCATTTTATAGATGGGCAAACTGAGGCACAGAAGCAAACGTCAGAGTCAGGATTTGAACCAAGGTGGTCGGTGTCACAAGTCCTTGCTTTTAACCTCTAAGTTGTTTTGCCTCTGCCTCGCTTTCTGGATAGGCAGTCCATTATTCTCTGCCCTTAACAATGTTGCCTCCTAGAATGAATGGTTTCAGGGAAGCTCCTTCCCCAGTAAATGGCTCTTGTAGGTATTTTCCATAGCTGAAAATGGTATTGGCCTTTCCCCAAGATGCTCTGTTCTCATAGATGGTTTAGGTTGAAAGAATCCAGTCTGTGATTAGAGAACCCTGAAACGGGAAGCAGATACTTCCATGTCTACACTGCAGTGGGAGCAGTGCAGCCAAAGGACAGCTACGCCTTCCGAAGGGGTGGAGTTCGGGTTATGCTGCAGTCTTTTTATCTCCTTTCGCGACCATGTTGTTCTTTAGGTAACTCATTTTTTAAAAAAGTTTGCCCAAAAGCCAACAAATGAAAGTGATTGATTGGATAACCAAAGTGTACTTTGATACCTGATATCTGCTCCTCTGCTTTGAATGACAGAAGATAATTTCTGTTGTTCTTTTAAACAAGTTGCATTGTGCCTGTGTTCTGTGTCCTCCTGGGAAATGACTAAAAGAGATGCCCAGAAGTTTTGGTGTATAAAACTTGTTGTAAGGCAAGAGTCACCCACAATGAGTCTGGTTTAGGTGTGGTCTATTGGAGTTTAATTGGGAACACCAAATATAACTTGAGCACATTTCAGCAACAGCACTTGTAGGACCTAAAGGCTTTAATATAGCAAGGTCCTTGGAGCTTGAGGACTCAGTGGGATCTGGAGCCTATTTCATTCAGTAGAAAATTACTGGCTGGGTGCGGTGGCTCACACCTGTAATCCCAGCACTTTGGGAGACCAAGGTGGGTGGATCACTTGAGGACAGTAGTTCAAGACCAGCCTGACCAACATGGTAAAACCTTGTAGGAGTTGTGGCACGTGCCTGTAGTCCCAGCTACTCGGGAGGCTGACACAGGAGAATTGCTTGAACCCAGGAAGCAGAGGTTACAGTGAGCTGAGATTGTACCGCTGCGCTCCAGGCTCGCTGACAAAGCACTCCATCTCAAAAAAATAAAATAAAATAAAATAAAGTTATTAAGATTTGGTATCTTCAGAGCTTTTTGGGGAAGAAGGTATGGTTGTGATTATTATTTTTTATTTTTATTTATTATTTTTTACTATCAGGCCCTGTGAAACGGTTGTCTTTTAAAAATGTCTTTTTACAAAATTGTAGTAAAAATTCTCTCAAACGGTAGAGTATCCTTTAATTCATCTCATGTATTTTATTTCAAGACAGTTAAAGAAGTGCCCTATTAGAGGCTTAACAACAGTGCTACGAGATTGTGAAGTCATGTCAGTCGAGGGTTTCCGCAGGCTTCATAGAGACATCTGATTTGAGCCTTGCAGGAGGAGTAGATGTGTGTGCTAGAAGGGAGAGGACACCTGAAGCTTAGGAAACAATAACATGAGCCAAAGACCACATAGTGTACAAGGGAAAAATTTAGTGGGAAATGAGGCTCAAGACTTGGTCAGCCAAACGCAGCAAATCTGGAACAGCATGCTAGGGCGTTGATGGACGGGATTCTATAGGCACTAGAACGTTTTAGATAAAGGGAATGACATCCATTCTAATTGCTGGGGAACTATGGAAGAATTTGGATGTATCTCAAGATTCTTGGGTTACTAGATAACCTTAAAACTTTCTCCCTTGTGTGTGTTTTTTAAATGAGTTTTTAGTTTTTCTATGGTATAGAGAACATACTTTTCAAATTCTAAATGTTAGATAATTTGCCCGTTTTTTAAAAAATTTTCTTGGAGACAGGGTCTCTCTCACTGTTACCCAGGCTGTACAGTGGCATGATCACAGCTTACTACAGCCTGTGCCTTCAGTTGATCCACCTGTCTCAGCCTCGTTAGGAGCTGAGACCATAGACACATGCCACCATGCCCAACTAATTTTTAAATTTTCAGTATTTTTTTTTTAACGGAGTCTCACTCTGTCGCCCAGGCTGGAGTGCAGTAGCAGCAACCTCTGTTCACTGCAATCTCTGCCTCCCAGGCTCAAGCCGTCCGCCCACCTCAGCCTCTTAGTAACTGAATTTTATATTTTCATTTTTAGTAAAGACAGGGTTTCACCATGTTGGCCAGCCTGATCTTGAACTCATGGCCTCATGTGATCTGCTTGCCTCAGCCTCCCAAAGTGCTGGGATTACAGGTATGTGCCCCGATGCCCAATTTTTTGTTTGTTTGTTTATAATAGAGACAGGGTTTTGCCATGTTGGCCAGGCTGATCTCAAACTTCTGGCCTCATGTGATCTGCTTGCCTCAGCCTCCCAAAATGCTGGGATTTCAGGCATGAGCCACCTCGCCCAGCCCCAGCTAACTTTTGTATTTCTTTGTATTGATTGATTGATTGGTAGAGATGGGAGTCCACCATGTTGCCCAGGCTGGTCTTGAACTCCCGGGCTCGAGCAGTCTGCCTGCCTTGGCCTCCCAGGGTGCTGGGATTACAGACATGAGCCACCATGCCTGGCCAGTAGTTTGACTTTTCATCGTAAAAAATACCTTTTGTCAAGAGAATTAAAAAAAAAATTGTGAGTAAGATGGCTTTCTTGTATCGAAGCTTGAATGTGGTCACTTGGTTGTTGCTGTAACGTATAAATGAACTTGAGTCTTGAATGTTTGTGGGTATTTCCCATTACTAATAAGGAGGTACAACAAAGCCTTCAATGGAAGAACCAGCAACTATAAAACTAAAGTCATTTTTTGGGTGGATTTTTGGCTGCTTTCTATAGTTGGCTTAGGAGAAAAAGTAGAAAGCTGGAGTATGAGGATGATATGTTTCCTTTGGCAAATCTGTGACATGGAAATTACCATGAGCCAAGGAGCCAGAGGACATAGCTTGTAGCTCTGCTGCCTGCAACTTTTAATTATGCAATTCAGGGAATAGCTCATTAACCTCATTTTTTTTGTAAAAAAAAAAAAATATATATATATATATATATACATATATATATTATATATATGTATATGTATATATAAATTGTCTACCTTGTATGGAGTTTATGAGACCCAAATGATTTAAGTGTTGTGAAATACTAGCTTTTGCTTCTTTTTTTTTTTTTTAATCTGCTGCCTTCCTAAAAGTCTGGCTTATCTTTGTGTTGCTTAAAGGTTGGCTAAAGGCACTATGATTCACCAAGGTGTTCAAGTCAGAAACCTTGAAGTCTACCTTGAGTCCTCCCTCTTCTTCATCTCTCATATATAATTGGCCTCAAATTCAACCGGTTTTACTTTTTTACTCACAATCCTGCTCCATCCACCCTGTATTGATTACTTTACATGGAATCCTTCTCATCTGTCACCTCGACCCTTGCAGGAGTCTGCTAACTGGACCTACCCCCATCTTCAGTCTCACCCTCTTAAAAAACACTCTCATAGCACTTACTTGCCAGATACTGCTTTAAGCACTTTATAAATTCCAATTCATTTAATCTATCTATTTAATCCAGTCACCTTCCATAATACCACCTAGTTACCGCTCTTGAATCTGGCCATTTTTCGTACCCACTTAAAGTCTTTTCCTAGCTCCCTTGCCTAAGCATTCCACGCCCCTCTCTGACTGCCCCATCTTCGCACCCTGTAGTCTAGTGACATTGGCTCTTGCACTGCTTTGGACAAGCCATTCAGTCTTACACGTCTCTGTCTTCTGTGACCTATCCCTGGTGCTGGGAAAACTTTTCTTTCCTTTCTCTCCACCTGGTAAATGCCACATTTTGGTTCAGGGTTGTGTGTGGTGTAACCTTTTCCCATTGAAGCACTAGTTGGTCCATTATTTCTGTCTTGCATATAGTTTTCTGTGCAGAGTTTGTGTTCACTCTCTAGACTATGAAGTTCTGGGTATAGGGAGCTGTATTTTGCTCTTTATTCATATGGTGCCCGGCAGGAGGTGTGGATGCATGCTTGGTAACTGATATCAGTGAGAGAACTTTGTTTTCCTCTTAAGCTGCTGCTCTTAACTGTGACATTAATATTGGTACGAAACAATGTCAGAACCATCATACCATTCATATCACTTTGGTATGAGCTGATACTATTATCATACCATTCATATCACTTTGGTGTGAGCTGATAATATTATCATACCATTGATATCACTTTGGTATGAGCTGGTACTAATTATATTATAGCACTTAAGGCCCAGGACTTACAGTACATTTGAAAGGTAGAAAGTACACTGCCTCTGGCTTTAGAAATATTCATCTCAGTGTTGAGTACAAAATGAAAGTTGATCCTGGGTGTTTATAGCCATAATTAGATTTTTAAAAATCAAAAACAAAACCTTCAAGCCTTTCCAAAGGGCCTTTGCCAAACTTATGGAGGCTGACATGCATTCTTCAAACTTCAAAGATAACACAGTAGATGTTCCAAAATCAGCTGTAGGTAATATGACTCTTTCCTTCTTTGATGGTAACATTTCAATTTATATTCCCAAGGGAAAGATACAAAAGATCTTGAGGAATAATCTTATTTACATCACAGGGAATATAAGGTAATAATAAAGTAATAAGATGTGCTGTTTGATGAGCCATATAGTAAGTTGGACTAGGCAAGTTAGAAGGGAAATTGCTACTGATACAATTCTCTTTGGGTCCAGTTCATGTAGAGAGTAGTGTAATTGTAACAGGATTCTCCAGAGAAATTGAATCAATAGGTGCTATCTATCTATCATGAGATTCATTATAGGGAATTGGTTCACGTGATTACGGAGGCCAAGAAGTCCCACGATCGGCCATCTGCGAGCTGGAGACCCAGGGAAGCCTCTGGTGTTGTTGGAAGGCCTGAGCGACAGAGAGCTGATAATTTAGATTGTAGTCTGAGTATGAAAGCCTGAGAACCAGGAGCTCTGAGGGCAGAAAAGAGAAATGTCCCAGTTTAGCAGTCAGGAAGAGATTGAATTCAGACTTTGTCTACCCTTTTATTCATTTAGGCCTTTGGGCTTTGGATGATACCCACCTACATTGGGGAGGGCCATCCGCTTTACTCAGTCCACCACTCAAACGCTCATCTCTTCTAGAAGCAGCCTCACAAACACACCCAGAAACAATGTTTAACCAGGTGTCTAGATATCCTGTGGCCCAGTCAAGTTGACACGTAAAATTAACCATCCCAGGACCTTTTTGCTGTAGGGGGAAATACGGAAGAACTTGATTCTGATCAAATGAAGAGACTGTGAATCGACTACATAGATCCCTGTGGGATGTGCTGATTTTGCTAATGCTTTTAAAGCCAGCAATGAGTTGCGTGTGGAGGTTAGGGAAGAGATCAGATTTTCACAGGTTGTTCTCAGTCCATTGAAAATATTGATCAGTTAAAACAGTAATGTTCAAAGTATGAATCATAATTTCTTAAATCATCCTCTCCTTTGAGCTGGGACTGGAAAAAGAAGAAATCATCTTCATTCAAAATACTGAAACCCTCTGAGTTAATTTGTACCAGTGAATAGGATTCTCTTCCCCTCAACACTCATATCCCTAATTATTATTTATCCTCTAATAAAATACAAGGTAGTTACGGTGAGGATGCTTATAGCCAGTGGACACTGAATGCCTAGTTAGACCATTTGTGATTCTCAAACCGGGTTGCACCCCAGAACCTGTGAATCTGACTCTTGGGGGTGGTACCTGGCCATGTGTGTTTTTAACAAGCTTCCCAGGTGACTCTTACAGACACTGAATTTGGAGAGTCTGGTGGTCTTCACAACTGACAACTCTAAAAACCTACTGGTGCAGTAGTTTTCTAAATTTGTTTAGAACTTAGGATGCCTTTTGAAATATAACTAACTTTTGGGTTCTCAAACTTTAGGTCTGAGATGGGACCTAAAGTTGCCTCTAACAATTTCCCATGTAGTTCTAATACACACATAAGTTTCAGGGACTGCACTAGTATATTGTAGTATTGCAGAAAGGCAGGGTTTTTCAAATTCTGTTTAGGTACAAAATGATTCATAGTCAAATAAATCTGAGAAATGCTGGAAAGTTAAAACATTGTATGTGTGTATTTTTTTATAGCTTTGATTTTTCAGAGCCTAGAGCACACTAGGGTTTTATAGAATACTGTTTTGGGGGGACTTATGGAAAGAGGGCAATTCTTGTCCTCTTGTTTGTTCAAATACTTGACTAAAAGGATGATGCTGGACTCGTGTATGCCCTGGCACGCTGGCTGAAGTACTGTGTGTTATTGATACTCTGCCTAGGGATCTAATTTGACTCTTCTAGTTATCTGTATCGCAGTCAGGTGTTGACAAAGCCATCTTGATCTCTGTTCTTATTCACTGCTTCCCCCAAACACTACACATTTCTTTGTAGCATTTACCATAGATAATAAAGTGTATGCCTTAGCCAGTGATAGATGGCCCCTGAATTTATTCTGGGAATTGCGCAGAATTTAATTTTTCTATTTCTATTTTGTAAAATCAAGAATTCTGGGAAGCAGAAACCATTAAAGTCTTAAATATCTTAAGACTAATACCTAATTTTGAGTTACTGATTTTGTTTAATCCCCACAGTAACCCTGTAAGGCAGGTGTTCTGATCCTTAGTATTTACAGATGAGGAAACTAAGGATGAGAAAGGTGACATAATTTAGAGCTGAGACCTGAACTTTGGTCGGCTTGAGCCTCCAAATTTATCATTTCTTTTCTCTTCACCATGTTGCCTTCCTTTCAACTATATAAGGGCAGTGGAATGTTTACTGTGGAAGGTACTCTAGGACTGAAGACAGATACATGTGGTTAATTCTAACTTTATATCTAAGTATCTTTGTGTCTTTGGAAAATTGACATAGCCTGGGTCTCACTTTAAAAAAGTTACTGATTTTCTTAGAGACACGGCCATGTCTGTCACCCAGGCTAGAGTGCAGTGGCATGATCATACCTGATTGTAGCCTCAAAGTCCTGGGCTCACGTGCTCTTCCCGCCTCAGCCTCCCAAGTAGGCAGGACCACAGACATGTACAGATAAGCCTGGAAATTTGTTTTATTTAGGCAAGGTCTCACGGTGTTGTCCAGGCTGGTCTCGAACTCCTAGGCTTGAGCAATCCTCCCGCCTCAGCCACCCAAAGTGCAGGGATTACAGGCTTGAGCTACCATGCCTGACCTCACTTTTTCTCCACTAAGTTTATAGTGCTTTCTAGGCCGCCTTGTCAGCGTATTAGGAAACACTTGTGAACATGGAATGGGGTGTGTGTGTGTGTGTGTGTGTGTGTGTGTGTGTGAGTGTGTTTAAGATAAAGCACCATGTGTAATTGTAAGGAGAGAGGAGGTATGGTGTCCTCATTTTCCCAAAAACTTAGGCAAGTTTTAAATGGTATCAATGAGAGTTACATCTGCAAGTATTTTAGTTGCTATGGAGTGACTAGCATGTGACAGTACTGTGTGACAAGGTGTAGAAACGTCATCTCTTGGGTGACTTGCAGCTGGTGACATTGCAGAATTCAATGATAAGTTGCGGAATTCAGGATCTCTTGTGGCAGGACCCAGAAGGCGGTTTGATCATCAATAGGGCAGGACTTTTCATACCTCTAGTGAATAAAGGGGAGGGGAGAATTCACGCCTTTGCTATTATTGCCACTTTACTTGTATTTTGTTCTTATTTTGAGTGGCTAGGGTAAAGATCTTTTAACTGATTTAAAGGATGTTTAGTTTTTATTTTATCAGCCCTAGTTCCAATGATAGGAATTCAAAATGTAAAACTTAGACTGTCTAGATGACTTGATTATAGTTGAAGGAGAAATTTTAAAGCGAGCTTGAAGAATGGTGCCAAAGTGCATCTTATTTTCTGCAGACTCCGAAGAAAGGAGTGTATCCTCTGAGGGGAAGTTCCAGACTGGCAGGTCTATTTTGGCTTCAGGTATGCTTTTCTAGTTATTGAAGTGATAAGGTTTTTTTTTTTTTTTTCCTGTCTCTCCATTCTCCCTTTTCCTCCTTCTTTATAAAACCAGATTAATATTATCTATTATATGCTTTAGAAATAATATTAAAGAATGGAGCTTAAATTGAAACTTCAAGAGCTGATTGATTGGATCGGCTTGCCATTTTTGGAGTGAGCACATGTGCTGGATGGGAGTGAGGTAGTGCCAGGACCTAGGAGAAGCACATTTAAGCAAATATTCTTGTGCTGTAAACTTTAAAATACCTGAACCTGGTCATCTGACATGGATTTTTTTATTTGAGAAGATGAGATGTACATGGGGTTAATATACTAGGGAGGTCAGCATATGACTTTTCCGTGGTGAATTTCATTCTGAAATGTCAGTGTTCTCTGAAAGTCATAAAACATGAGTGCAAGCTGTTTTCTGAGTTCATCTCTGATATGCAGCTTCTTGAGGCAGATAGTTGGGAATTGCTTAGTGGTTCACACTGATAGCTTATGTCATTTAGGTCAGGAGGCAGAGACTGTCGCTAGGGAGATATTGGCGTAGGAGGGACAGTTTGACACAGGACATCACAGCCAGGTCACAGACTTTTGCCATTTTAAGAGTTGAATTTGAGGATGATTCTACTTTATTCTCGCACCAGGTGGAGTATTGCTCTTAAGAGTATGTTTGTCCAGCTTAGGGGGTGGTGAAGGGGTACTTGGAACACACTCCCGGGGATGGACTGTACTACTACTAAAGGAACAACACAGGTTGGTTCTGCTGTCAAGTGATGCCTGAATGATGTCCTTTGGAGAACTGGATGGGACACAGGACAGACTTTATTTAGGGCTATGCATCATACTTCTTCTTAGGATATTTCTTTGTATCATGTACAAGACCTTCCCATGGCCCCTTCTCAACCAAAGTTTCTGTGTAGAAAAAAACCTTATTGTGTAAATCTAATAGCTTAGCAAAAGTTGGAATGCCTGTTTCACAAAGAGTGTGTTGCATGTAGAAAAGATAGAAAGTAAATAGGAAGTAAACAAAAAATTATCAAGGTGGTGAAACAAAGAAAATTTTTTTTCTTTTCTGAAGGACTTTTACGTCTTTATTGTCTTTGCTAAGGGTACTAAGGTGCATTGTGACTCTGCAGTCGGGGGCTTAGAAGTTAAAGAACTCGATTACTTGCCAGTCTTATTTTTTCTTAGGATGGAGGTTGTCCTCTAAGCAACCATTTGTGTGTGTGTGTGTGTGTGTGTGTGTGTGGTGTGTGTGCATGTGTGTGCATGTGTGTGTGGGTATTCCCTTCTCAAAACACTTGAAGTGAGAGGCTAAATTATGACTTAAAATCAAAATTATTATTTGAAGCCATGGGTATAGAAGTTTAAGAGCCACCTGGAATTGGAGCTTTGTTATTGGGGTGTGTGTGTGTGTGTGTGTGTGTGTGTGTGTGTTGTGGGGGTCAAAATTTTGGAATTAAAATGACATTGCTATTTAATATTATCTGCAGCAGTGTTTGAATTAGCTGGAATATTGTTCATTTCCATAGAAACTGGTCACAAATGAGAAACAATATTATTCAGTTTTGTTAGGAAAAACTCAAGAGCTTGTAATTTTGTTAGGCCTTGATTATAAATACTGGTCTTAACTAATTCACGCAAATTTCATCCAACCTGTAATTTTTTTTCATGAGGAATAGTTACCTATAATCTCAAGGTGCAGCTTTTTGGAACCTGGTATTATTTTTTTTGGAAAATGAAAAAGTAAAATTCTAATAATAATCTCAAATGTATTCTTAGTCTCTAATAATAGCAGTGCTTACAAAATATCATTCTCATTTAGCTACACTGAAAAATAGCATTTTAAAAGGCGTTGAATAGAGAGAATTTCTGTAGCTTTTTGAATGGTCTTGTTTGAGGAATTGGCCATAAAACTTTAGAATTAAATGTCAAAAAAAAAAAAGAATTTCAAAATACCTTGTTTTGCCCAAAGCAGAAGGAATTTTTATGCCGTCATTGTTTGAATGTCATGACCTATAAATGAAAATAAACAGAATAAAATCTTGTTTTTAAACATTAAACGTTAGGCTGGGTGCAGTGACTCCATGCCTTTTATAATCTCAGCATTTGGGGAGGCTGGGGTAGGAGAATTACTTAAGTCCAGGAGTTCGAGACTAGCTTGGGCAACATCATGAGCCCCTGTGTCTACAAACATTTTAAAAATTAGCTGAGCATTGTGACTCACGCCTGTGGTCCCAGTTAGGAGGCTGAAGAGGGAGGATTGCCTGTGCCCAGGAGGCTGAGGCTGCAGTTCCGCCACTGCACTCCAGCCTGGGTGATAGAGCAGGATGCTGTCTCAAAAGAGAAAAGAAAACCAGAATTAAATGTTACTGAGTTTTAAGGCAACTGCATACAGCAGACTGTTGTATTTGTGGGTTCCACATTGGCAGTTTCCACCAACTGGAGATGGAAAATAGATTTAAAAAAAAAGAAATGGTTGCATCTCTACTGAGAATGTTCGTATTTTTTTCTTGTCATTATTCCCCAAACAATAAAGTATAACAACTATTAACATAGCATTTACATTGTCTAGGTATTAAAAGTAGCTTAGAGATGACTTAAGGTATACAGCAGAGTGTATATAGGTTATATTTAAATACTGAGTGCCAGTTTATATCAGGGACTTGAACATCCATGGATTTTGGTATTTTGTAGGGGAGTGTTCTAGAACCAGTACCCCACAGATACCAAGGGATGACAGTACTAGTGAAAACAAACAACATCAAATTTTTTGAATCTAAGATACTATTGATTGGGAGATAAGTCAGTATCTTAATTTA
Organism: Homo sapiens; assembly: GCF_000001405.40. Taxonomy (NCBI): domain Eukaryota; kingdom Metazoa; phylum Chordata; class Mammalia; order Primates; family Hominidae; genus Homo; species Homo sapiens. The sequence continues at coordinate 18,820,299 of NC_000008.11, read as the reverse complement.
TTATATTTTATATTTTACATATTTAAAAGTATATTTTCATATATTTTCTGCTACTGCCAGAAAAGAATATGCCATTTCACTTGGAGAAAATGGTGTTAAATACAAAATCAAGAAAAAAAAAAAAAAAAGGAAAAAAATGCCAGCAATTAACTATGACACAGTGCTTTCTCTTGGAGTTTCTAATAATTCTTAAACTTACAGATTTTTACATACAAATGACTTTGGCATATTCTCGATGCTTGCCTGCATAAATAATACTTTTGTCTCAGTACCTTTTATAGCATCTTTTTGAAGACACTGTAAACATCAATTAAATCAAGATTAAACCAACAGTATAATTTTGCGTTGTGCACAGGTAATAAAAGTCTGACAGCCACCTGGCTGCCAGGGTTCACACTGGTTGATGCATGAGAAAACCATTCTGGCTGGGTGCGGAGGCTCACGCCTGTAAACCCAGCACTTTGGGAGGCCGAGGCTGGCAGATCACGAGGTCAGGAGATCAAGATCATCCTGGCCAACACGGTGAAACCCCATCTCTACTAAACAGACAAAAATTAGCTGGGCGTGGTGGTGGGCGCCTGCAGTCCTAGCTACTCAGGAGGCTGAGGTGGGCGAATCACATGAACCCTGGAGGCGGAGGTTGCAGTGAGCCAAGATTGCGCCACTGCACTCCAGCCTGAGCGACAGAGTGAGACTCCATCTCAAAAAAAAAAAAAAAAAAAAATCCATTCTAATTTTAAAGAATTTGAAATATTTAAAAAATGTGTCTAGGAACTAATGAAATATGAATTTGTATTTACATAGTTTTGCCAAAAACAGCACTTTTGCCTTATCCCTCTGGAGAGGTTCAGGGGAAGAGTTTGGGGAGGGCTTTTTTTGTTTCTATTGAGTAGCATCTCTGGCTGCTTCTGTCCTCATCCCCTCCCTTCATGAAGGCTCATGATCTGGTTCTGAAGGATTCTTTTTGGTGATTCAAGCTGGTTTGTGCTGCCTGTTACTTTATCCTCTCCTTTAGACTCTGTCTTTTTTAGTTTCCTTGAAAAATACTTGTCAAAGTATTTGTTGACTAAACCTACCCTCTGGAAAGCCTGGCTTTGTCAACAGCTGTTTACCTTGTCATCTCTGCTGTATACAATGGTGCAGTGGACAAAAAGTGTTGGATTTGGAGTCAGGAGTTCTGTCTCTGGGTACCAGTTGTTTTGATATGAACAGTCGTTAGGTAGTCTTGCCGGGAAGTTCTCCAGTTCACTTTCTTAAGTCCTTGTGGCCTAGAGGTAGGTGCTTGTCCAGATTACTCCACAATTCCTCTGGATCACATCAAGGGTCTCTGATGTAACAGGCAGACATGCCCTGAATTCTGCTTGTTTACCTGTGAGCCCTGGCAGGGATGACTTTTCCCCCCAACCCACCTGCCCCCATTTATCAGTCCAAGGGGATTCCTATTTAAATTTACTCTAACAATCTGTTAGGAGGTTCTGACTGTCACTAATATAAGATTATAAATGTAAAGGCCTTGTCACATTTTAGAAAGCCAGAAAATGCAATGTTTTTCTTCCCAACTGATTTTAAAGACTCTTCATTCTTTCTTTCCTTTTTTTGCTGGTTGTTGGGGGGGGTATGGAGAGGACATTATTCACTAAATTTGTTGTCTACTGGGTCTCTTTAATTCTCAGTTTATTTGCAGAGCAGATTGTCCTGTCTTGTGCCCAATAACTGAATCTGTTCCAGCTTATGTCACTAACCTCTTTTTACCTCCAAAATGCCATGATTTCAGTCTTAAAATACCAAACACTTTGAGATTGAGTTAGATGGCAGATAACATCTAATTCACATTAAAGAACACAGCGCTCACCCTCCTCGCCTTACAGGTAGTTTGGTTCTAGGAGGCGCTAGTGTGAAATCAAAGGGCAAAGTAAGATCATGTATAGCTCCCTAAAAAAAAAAAGTAGCTCCCTACTTTAAAATATAATAAATGAAGGGAAGGAAAAACTAGTTTAAAAGCGTAGAAACTGACAACAATAGTTGTCTTTCATAAAGGTAACGTAGGCTGGACACGGTGGCTCACGTCTGTAATCCAAGCACTTTGGGAGGCCGAGGCGGATGGATCACCAGAGGTCAGGAGTTTGAGACCAGCCTGGCCAACATGGCAAAACCCCTTCTCTACTAAAAATGAAAAAAATTAGCCAAGCGTAGTGGCAGGTGCCTGTAGTCCCAGCTGCTAGGGAGGCTGAGGTGGGAGAATCGCTTGAACCGGGGAGGCAGAGGTTGCAGTGAGCCGAGATCGCGCCACTGCACTCCAGCCTGGGCGACAGAGTGAGACTCCGTCTCAAAAAAACCAAAACCAAAAACAAAAAACGTAATGCATATAATCTATTTAGTAATCATGGTTTTAGTTTTCTTAGGTTAGATATTAAGAGCTGAAGACCTTCCCCTCTTCACCGCTGCATTCTGTCCACTTTGCTTTTGCCACTTTTTCACGTTGCTCCCCATTTGGCAACAATAAGGGATAAGCATTAAAAGATCTGCAACATAGAGAGAGCTCATTGGCAGATGATTTCCGCTGATCAGAGTCTCTAGATTCCGTAATAAGGAAATTGCTTACAATAAAACTCAGAAACTTTCAGCTTTGTATACAGATTCATGAAAGAAAACATTTGAATTACTGCTTTTGGGCATCTTCTACTCAAGTTGATAGCTGCATTGAGACGAGTACACAGTTGTTTGACTTTTCCTTTAAGCTTCTTGCAATTTGATTTAGGACAGTTGTACTGAGCGTATGTTAAAGCCCAGCCATTATCCAAGGTGCTGTGTTAGAAATTTCATTAAGATAAGGATTCAGCCTTAGAAAAATCACAGACTAGCCCTCGGGGCACAGTGCTGGGGAGAGTATGCTCTGAATCCATGACCTACAGGGTGAATTAGGTGATTGATAAGAGTCTGGACCCTTAGATGATGTGATGGTCATGGAGAGGTACTGCAGAATTACAGGGGGAACTGCGAAACAGCCCACGAACTTTGGAAGCTAACATGTGTCTAAAGTACATATATGATACTAATAACCTTTTGTAAATTGTTGTACCTTCTCCGATTGTGGAAGTTGGAGAATCGGCAGTTAATTTTGAAGCTTCCAAGTGATTGACTACTTTGAAATTGTAAGTGAATTCAGGCCTTCCTTGGGACTCTTTAACTCCTCTTCCCCTTGCTCACTCCTCTCCAGCCATGGAGGCTCCTCTGGGCCATCACTTAAAACTTACCAAACGCCATCTTGCCCAGGCCTGCATTTGTTTGAAATGATCTGAAGATAGCTTGCAAAGCCACATCCTCAGTTCCTTCTATTTTCTACTCACATGGTACTTTCTGAGTGCTGTGAATAAAATAGCAACCCCTCCCTCTCCTCTTGCATACCTAGCTATATTTATCTCCAAGGCACTTATGAATGTCACTGTCTGAGTGTAAACTCCTTGAAAGCAAGGACTTTCATCTGTTGATGCTTTATTAGACCTAATATTTACCTGGAACAGTGTGTGAGTCGTAACATGTTCAGATATTTGTGGGAGGGTGAAAGGCAGGAACAGAGGGAAAACTCTTCATGTATTTTATTGTTTCTCTCTCTTATTAGAAGGTAAAAGTCCACAAGGGCAAGGCTGCACCCCTAGCACTTAGAAATGTGCTGGCACATAGTCAATGTTTAAATAAATAATTGGAGTGAAAATTTGTGCAGGTTTGGTTGTGTATACTTAATTATGCAACCATAGTAAACACATATACAGATGTCCTTTAAAAAGTAGAAATGTTTGTTCCTATATACACCAAAGTTATGCGTGCAGTATAACCTGTAGTAATATCGGTTAGAAAGCCACATAGCTTATTAGTTAAGAGGCTGAATGCACAACTGCAGCCGCCATTGCTGAGCCCCAATCCCAGCTTTACCTCCTGCTGGCAGAATGGTCATGGCAAAGTTATTTAACTGCACCATACCTCAGTTTCCTTTTTTGTAAAATGGGAATGATGGAAGTACCTATCGTAAGGTCAAGGGCATTAAGTGAGTTAGTATAAAGTGCTTAAAATAGTGTATTAAACAGAGTAAACATTCTGGAATTCTTCATAAAAATATGTTAAGACAAAATATTTATTGATATTATTACTAATTCATTCATATTGGGTACTAAAGAGTGGAAACGTCCCCTGTTAATCCCATAGCCCCAGATGAAGATGACCCTTTGGATCTGTCTCCAGGGGAGCTGGAATATTTTAAAGAGATGAAAGCAGGAAGTGACAGAGATAGGATTTTATTTCCTAAGGGGAGGGTCTTACTCCTTGTATTCTTGCCAGGGTACTAATTCTTTCCTCTTTTTTAACATTGCACACAAAATTAAGTGAATCCAAGAAACCTTCCCTATATCGCATAGAGCAGCTTTCAGTGTAGTTGTAGTAGGTAGCACTTAGGGGAAACTCAGTGTAGAGAGGATATGTTGTCAGGCTGCTGCTGTAGAAACTGCCTGTAGCGTGCATAAAGAGAAAGTGAAGTTATGTGCAAGGTGAGACCGTACGGCCATGTCGTCAGTGGGTGTGTCAGCAGGAGAGGGACACTGCAGAACAGATACGCAGTTCCAAACACGCCAAAGAGAAACACAGCAACGCCTGTGCTATAGGACACTGGAAAAGGTGTCGTAAGAATTTGAAGAAAGGGGCTGGACGCAGTGGCTCCCTCTCATAATCCCAGCACTTTGGGAGGCCGAGGTGGAGAGATCACTTGAGGCCAGGAGTTCGAGACCAGCCTGGCCAACATGGTGAAACCCCATCTCTACTAAAAATACAAAAAAATTAGCCAGGCATGGGGGCATGCGCCTGTGATCCCAGCTACTCGGGAGTCTGAGGCAGGAGAATCGCTTGAACCCTGGAGGTGGAGATTGCAGTGAGCCGAAATCATGCCACTACACTCCAGCCTGGGCAACAGAGCGAGACTCCATCCCCCACACCTCCAACCCCACAAAAAAAAGAATTTGAAGAAAGGGCAGAATATACCAATAGAGATGGTAAAATTTGGACATTATATAACCATAGAAAATATTTGTTCAGCCTCTTGTATCCCAGAAGATGGAAGAGTTAGAAGAGAAAAGGGGGTGGGAGCAATGGGAGGCCAGAACTTCTCTAATATTCCCTGGCTAGATTGTAGCATTTATTACCTAATCAAGAAAGGAGAGTATTTGATCAAACTAAATTCATATTTATAAGTATATTTTACCTGTGCACTAGACAGGAAGTGAGTATTCTAAGGACTGGTGGTGGTGTGGGTACCCAGCTCTTTAACATAAACACTAAACAAACTGTTTAAGATATGAAAATTGTAGTTCTTATCCACATAAGGCATGTCTACTTTGTGCTTTGTGCCGCCTTTTGCTGCCCAGCTTCTGATGTCCAGTGCATATACACTGATACTAATTCAACCTGACAGAAATTCAGACAGAAGAGAATGTCCAATGGCATCTTAAGAAGACTCCAGAAAAATGAGTTGGTCAGACTGTAAGTGAGTCACTCTTCCTGTCTTGTCCACCGGAAATGGGGCTCACTGATCCTACCTTGCCCAAAGAAGCTTCTATGCAAACAATGAGCATATACATTTGTTTGCATCTAAATGTATTTCTATTTCTAAAGCTGGATATCCAGTAAGAGTTTCTTTGCAAATTATTCATTTGAAATGATTGTAATATGGGTTTATTAACATTGACTTGCACATATTACATTCTCATGTGAGAGCTATCCCACAAGAGCAGCAACTTAGTATAGGAAAATAAATAAATAAGTAAATAAAACAAAAAGTGAAAACCTGCATCATGCCCCTAGAAACGTTTGAACCCCTACATGGGTGAAAAGTACAGTTGTTATGTTGGAAGCCAGTGCCTCAGGAGCAAATGCAGACTCCCCGACTCATACAGTGAGTTTGGGTCATTTTCCATGGCACTGCCTTGCATGTGGGTGCCCTCTTCTGGAATAGTGAAAGCAAGGCTGAGAAAAAGGACTGAGATTTGGAAGGTATGCGGCGGGTGGGGCTGGGGGCAGAATCTGTATGTGATGCTTACTAAAATTTTTTATTGGTGAAGACTGAATTTTGTCTTCTGTGCTGAACAGAGAAATAGCTCTTAGGAATTCTGCTAATTAGGTTTTGTGTGTTTCCTTTATAAAGAGTCTTAAATCATAAGAGGCTGTCCCTTCCAGGGAATGTATTCTATGTAACTGTTGAAAACAGGTTCATTTGAGACGTTTGTCCTAAGTATTCCTACTGAGCGCTAACTAACATTTGTATGGAGATTTATATTTAATAAAGTGCTGTCATGTATTATCTCACGTCATCATAACCTTAATGATGCTGGTGGTGTTGGTGACGAAGATGGATCTGGTGATAGGAGCAGACGTTTTTTGTTTACCGTATGCCAGACATCTTACATGCCAAGCATCATACATGGATCTTCTCATCTCATCTTCACAACAGCTTGTGAATATGATACTATTATCTGTTTTATAGCTAAAAACCTTAAGGGTTACAGACAATGATGACCTTACCTACCTAAGGTCCCAGAACTGGTGACCACTGGAGCCAGTGTTTGAACTTGGGTGGTCTAACTGGAGTTCTCCAGCAGATAATTGCTTTTGGCATCTTCTAAATTAATAATCATTGCTTGCTGGCAAACTGAACACTCACAGGTAGAATTTCCTGAACAAATGAAGGGAGACCCCTGAATTCTTCTGTTGTAACAGAATTCAAATGAATACACTACTGCTAGACATATTTCTTTGGCGCACTTTGGTGTTCTTTGGTCATGTTGAGTGCTCTAGCCTCTCCCAGGTGATTCCCTCCACCAACATAAGGGTGACTAGTTCACATCTACTGAATTCTTGCAGACAGGGGATGGTTGCCATTGCTACCAGACAGCTCTGCCTGGTTAACCTGTGTGTACCTTGTACCTATCGTTTCTTCGAACCAAACTCCTGGTCTTCCACGAGTGCTTGTTTCTTTCCATGTGTGCACACTGTTACCCATTCCCTCTTCTTCCTCTTGTGTTCATTGTCTTGTTTGGTGGCATCACCTTCCACCAGCTTTTAAGTCAGGGTTAGTCTTGTACCCACCCTTGAACATAGCTCCATGCACATCTCAAGCCACTCATCCCGTTCTTCCATTTTACCTTCTAAATAGCTTTCGGAGGAGGCTTTTCCTTCATATTCACACAGACACGCAATTTAGTTTCTCATCTCTTGACTGTACTATTCTGATACCTTTTGTAGCTGGTTTTTCTGTCTCAATTTTGAGTCCCTGCAGTTTTCCCTCCACACCACAAGCAAAACTGATCTTACCAAAACCCAAGTCTGATTGTTGTTCCTCTCTTTAGACCTATAGTGACTTCCTGTGTGTTAGAGGGGTAACTCAAAGCTCTGACAGTGCATCAGGATCATCTTGGTCCTTAAACAGAAGAATGCCAGGGCCCACCGCAGGCCAGCGACTGAGAATTCCCTGCAGTGCACCCTGGCACGTGTCTTTCCTGAAATCTCCACGTGTCCTCACATCCTACTTGGATAGCCAATGGACATCTCAAGGTGAACACATCAAAAATGGAACTTCTTTTTCTCACAACCTGTGTTAACTTTGGTCTTTCATGTCTTGGTCGATGGTAACCCCACCCTTGAAGTTGCTCAGGACTAAAACTTAACTACTATTCTCTCAGCCCTCCCAAAGGACCAGTTGGCAGGTCCTCCGGGACCTATAGCCCCTACTGCCACCCAAGCCAGCTCCTCCCTGGCACATGCATTACCCCCTGACTGGTCACCCTGCTTCTCCAGTCTATTTTCAAAGCAATACTTAGAGTGATCCTTTAAAAATATAAATTAATGTTAGATCTTTACTCAGAACCCTTCAATATTAACCATTTCACTAGGAGTAAAAACCAGTCTCCATAGTGGCCCCCAAGGCCTTTAAACAACAAAGTCGTTCCCCAACTCTGCAGAGGTGTTCTGGGGCATTGCAGTGAGCTCACAGGTGTTTCTCAGGATATTTAAATTGTCAAGGGAAACACAGCTCTCCTCATCATCTGTCAAACATCATGTGAACAGCTAGTTCAGCGTCAACATCAGATTGTGCTATATTCCTTTTGACGTCATAGCTTTGAGCTGGATTTTCACCAGTTGTTGTGATAAAAATTAAGTGCTATGAGAAAACAAATGAGTGGCGGTGTTCAGTCTGATCCGAGATTTAGGAAGTCATATGGCCCAGAGGCACACACATCTATTAGTAAGCAATCGTTATTTAATAATAAAAATGATTTTTCTTTCAATTTGTATGTATTGTTTTTTCAAATGACTGTAAATTGTTGGGTCCAAACTTAATAAGCATTTATACACTATTATTCTGTTACTAAATGGAATATATTTCCTTTGGCCTTGGAGTGTCATAAAAAACTTACATATTAAAGACTCTGAGTCGAGAAAATGTGGGAACCTCCATCCCACAAGCCCATTTGCTCTCTGGGTATTCTCCGTTCACTGCCTCTGCCCCAGCCACTCTGGCTTTCTTGCTTGCCCTCACACATCTAACATGCTGCAGCCTTTGGGCCTTCTCTGGGCTTGGAATGCTGTTATTTTATCATATTTGCAAGGCTTATCTCCTTTACATCTTGCTCAAATGTTGCCTTCTCCATGAGGCCTACCATGACCACTTCGTAGAAAAATGTTTCCACCCTCATCCCCAAATTAGGGTTCCTCTTCTATCTTTGCTCTATTTTTTTCCAGAGCAAACGTCACCTTCTAATATGTAGAATTTACTTATTTATTAAATTCTTTATTTTTAGCTCCCCTCCCCACCCAGGGTAGAAGTTTTTAATTCTGTTTTGCTTACTGTAGTCTACCAAGCACCTAAAATATGTGGCACAGTATAGGGAATTAAATACGTATTCATTGAATCATTGAAGACAGACATACCAGAAGATGACTGGCAGGAGCAAAATGGATAGTAGTAAAGCTTATAAAAGTAGTAAAGCATTGGAGTCTCACTGACCATGTCCAGCTCCTTGCCTCAGTTTTCCCATCTGTAAAATGGGTTATACTATTGCCTGTTTCATAAGACTGACAATTCAATCCCTAGGAAGAAGCCCAGAGGCTGGCACATAGTAAATGCCTAACCATTGTTAACCTATTAGGTTTATGGTACCATGGTGGGTGCTATGGCTCTTCTGAATAACTTCTCATTTACATTTCTTTGGGAATTAGATGATGTGCTCTCTACAATGCCTAGGAAATAAATGCCATAGATAATGATGGACAAAATTATTTTCTTTTCCCTTTTCAGAGGCAATTTATGATTTAGGGTTTTACTTATTTTTTGCTGATGGTGTACTTACTTCTGACTTGTATTTCAGCCCTGGAAGCTGTGCGTTTGTACCCGCCCTCTTGTCTGTTGGTTCCAGTCTTCTGTGTTTCTATGTCATCAGCCTGAAGAATGGCAAAGGAGTCATGTTGTTCCCACTGGTCTTTTTATTCCACTTGCAGCTGAAGTCATTTCTTCTCACTCCTTGAGATTCTTCTAATTTGCCTTTGCCTAAGTTATGTATAAAATTCAACTCGACTAGGTGGCTGTTATTATTTTCTATGTACAACCCTTGGGGTACACTTTATAAATACAGGGTCATACAGGGAGCTTTGACACCTTAACCTAACTTCTTTTTGGTCCTAGTTTTATTACCACAATTACATAAAAATTTAAAGAAATTTTAAATTTAAATTCAAAGTATACTATTGCCTGTATGAAACGGGCAATAGTATACTGTTTATTAAAGTTCTGGGAAAAATTGAAAGTAAAACAGTACACTATTGAGTATATTGTTTTATACAGGCAATAGTATTCTACTGATGTCAGTTTTTTTCCAGGATTAGCTACAGTGAATTGGAAAATTAGTGCCACATACCATTATTGATAGCATAGCATGGAAGACAGTGGAGGAAGTAGACATGGCAGATGGCTGTGTTCTTGCATTCTCTTAGCAGATGGCTGTTGAGTACCTTCAGCCGCCCCTTGTGTTGAGGATTCAAACCAGAATTCAAGACAGTGGTAGGTGAAAGCGATGAGATTTTAAAAGATAGCACTAAGAGTTCACAGAATTTGGCATGGTAGGGCTGGGGGTGATGAGTGTGGCAAAGGGAACAACATACGTAAAAGGCATGGGAGCACAGCTTGTATTTGTGTGGTTCAAGTAGGAGGGAAATGGTAGAGGACAGGTTGAAAAAAGAAATTGGGGTCAGCTTGGAAAAGGCCTTAGGACATGCTACAGAATATGGATCTTGTGTAGGATTTGTGTAAAGTGGCTACATTATCACATTTGTGGTGGTAGCATGCAGGTCAAGAGAGAAGGATGAAAACACAGAGGAGGGTTTTTGTGTTTTTGTTTTTGTTTTGTTTTTTTTGTATTTAGAGGACGTTAGAGAAGAATCAGTAGATTATAGGCAACAAAGTCTTGATAAAACTGTAGAAAAACAGTAGGAATAAAATCGCAGAAACAAGTGAAAAAATCCAGAAGGATTCTAATTGTGAATAAGCTACCAGTTGGCAATCATGGAACACCATTATTGGAATTCTTGAAATAAAGTTTAGAAAAAAACATTTCAGGAAGTTTTGCCAGATAAAATATAAGATGCCTAGTTAAACTTGAATTTCAGAAAAACGATGAATAATATTTTTGTATAAGTATGTCCTGTGCAGTATTTGGGACGTACTTACACTAGACACTGTTTTTTGATGTGAAATTCAAATTTTATTGGGTACCCTATTTTTATTTGGAAAATCTGCCAATCTTAGTATGATTCAAAAGGTTGTGAGAAGGCATGGTGATCAGAGTCAATGATCTGGTCCTTCATTTGATGATGCAGTGTTTTGATGAGAGAATTATTACCATGTTTACTTGGAGGTCAGAAATAAAGGCCCCAGGGAAGCATTTTCTAGAACACAGGGAGAACCTTTTGGGAAGTCTCTTACACATTTAAGTGACTGGTAGGGATTTATTTATTTGCAACCTTACTAGGCTGTAAAGTGATTTGATCAAGAAAAAGAGGGAAAATAAAACAACCATAGAAAAGAGAAAATCCAAACTACAGAACGCATCTAATGCTCAGCAGACTAGAGCTGCAATGTCTTGTGTATTCAAGAAAACAAAATGGGGTGTTATCCCCTCCGAGAGGGATCACTGAGTTGGCTTTATCAAGTGTGAACGAGGCTGGGCTCACTGTTTCTTACGTTCTCGATAGACAGTGGCCCTTGTGTTCTGGCTGCTGTTTTTATTAGAACTGCAGAAACATTACAGAAACCGCAACAATGAACACTCGGCTGAGAATGTGAGGTCATAGTAGTGTGACCTCACAGGGAGCCAGGTTCTTGGAAGGCTGTGAGGCTCGGCAGTCACTGAACTTGGGAGCTGAAGAATACTGGACGGGGCTTCGGAGAGGAAGGATGGTCCAGGCGCACCCCAGGGGTTGCGATGGGCTCTTCTTGGTGTCTGTATGGTTGCTGGTAAGTTTATATTGCCATCATATTGTCAAGCTTTCTGATTTAAAAGGAGCAATTCCGGTTCTTGTTCAAATAATCTCCTAAACTGTGAAATGGACAGAATGAAGCCATCTAGGGACATATTTATCCTTTGTGCTTTATTTTCTCCTTTTACTGAAACCTTTTTGAAGAAGATCCAGAAAGTCTGATGCACACAGATTTTGCAATTATATGGTTTTGGTGAATGTGAGGAAAATTAGGTGAAATCATCTGGACTGGGCAGCATAGTAGAAAAGGGGCAAATATGGAGAATGAGTAACATGAGGAATGGAATGATTTTGGGTAATAAATTTTTAAAATGTGTTCTCATTAGAATAAGCCTCTTGTATTTGAACAAAATTGGGCCAGTACTGTATATGTGGTATAATTACATTGTTTGCACAGAATGATTAAATAAATGCCATGAATTTTCCCTGGGAAATGAGCAGTGAGTAGTGGTTTAATTAAGAAGAAAATCCTTTCTTTGACATGTGTTTTTACTACATGATAGGAAAAGCACACATGGAAACACAACTCCAAGGGCTTTGTTTTGTGTTTTGTATAATTATAAAAAGTACTTGATTGTAATTAACGTAGTTCTTGGAATAAATATTTTACATTTCTGTCACTTGTATGGGAAAACACAAAGTAACCATGAATTGCCTAAAAGAAATTTCTACTGTGAGTTTTCTTATTATAGGTTATACTGTCGATAATGATTATTCAGTTTCCTGATGGGATAGATTTCACAAAACTGAATGGTAGTGTTAAGTCTCTTTTTAAAAAAATGTTTACATCATAGACAGGAGGGTCTCACCGTGTTGTCCAGGCTGGTCTCAAACTCCTGGGCTAAAGCAGTCCTCCCCTTGGCTTCCCAGTGTGCAGGGATTACAGGTTTCAGCCACCACACCCAGCCATGTAATGTTAAGTCTATAAAGGAAGATGTAGGATGAAAAAATCATGCATTTAAAAATGTATTTTCATGGAGATTTTATCATAATGAAGCAATTTATTTTAACTGGTAGGCATGTGTATTGGGAAACTGTTCAAGGTGTTGAGGGTTACCATACATGTTAGTTTGCCTGGGTCAGTTCCAGTTAATGCCTGCTGTTCTGCCATTGATATTGACTGTGGTTTGGTATTTGACTTAGAGTTTTAATAACTGAACTATTACCATTAATAGCTATGGCAAAATAAGCCAGCATGGGTTTGGTAGACCTAACTTCGTATTCCCAGCTTCTCCCATGGTATCATCTGGGAATGTGTGAGTTGACATTTTTACACAGTTGAGTCTAAAAAACTCTCTCTCTTTTCCCTATTCTTAGAGCTTCATTTCAAGGGCAGGATGTCAGGTGCTTGCCGATAAAGTGTGCTTGGAGAAGAGTTGCTAAGGACAGTTAACTCCTTCTAATCCTGTGGTGGTTGAGGGAGTATGAGACTTTGCAGCTACTTGTTATACCAGCTGGTTGTCCAGGAGCCCTGGCTGCTTTTTCAGTGACCTTGAAGCATAAGGCCAGTGCTTCCTTGGTAGAGCAGTGGGAAAAGGGAACTTGTAAATGAGGTAGAATAAGTGACAAGATGGAGCAGTTCTGCTTAGAAATGCATTTATTTTTACTACAATGGTTTTTGTCATTTCGTGATGTAAGTTTACAACCTATTTTTTAGGTTCAGATTTTTAAAAACATAACACCATTGAGATAATTGAAATACTGTATCACTTGCTTTATTAAAGTATAAAATCCGGTGGTTTGGGCATATTCAGAGTTGTTTAGTCGTTACCACTGTCTTAAGGATGCTTTCATCACCCCAAAAGAAACAATGCCCATTAGCAGTACTGCTTTTTTATTGATAATGCCTTCTTTATTTATTTTGTAATGATTATAATAGAATATTTAAGGATTTATTATCTCCGTTTCCCCTTTAGAGTGTCCTGGTTTAGACAGTAAATGGTTATTGTGCTTAATGCAAGCCAAGTTAAAGAACTATGGGATAGAGCAAGGGCAGATAAACTCCCATCCATGGGCCCAATTCAGCCCAGCTGGCATGGCTCTTAGGTTTTTTAAGGTTGTAACAAAACAACAACAACAAAGCAGCATGTGTGACAGGGGCCATATGTGGCCTGCACGCCTACGATATTTATTATTTCATCCATTATGGAAAAATTCTGACCGCCCTTGGTTTAGCATCTGTGGTAAGTGTGTTCGAAGGCCGTGTAAGCACATTTTATTATGAGCATGTCTTACTTCCAAGTTAAGATAAAGATTTGGAAATTAATGTATCCTCATTAGTTTCACTGTTATAAATACAAGAGAACCCTCTATACCTGACCACAGGCTGTAGTCTTTAAGCCCTTTCTAGGGCGGAGTTCTCAACGTGTTGCCTGTGGAGCTTTCTTCCTTCAGTTAGGTTTATGAGATCAAAATTGTTTTACACTAATTATTATAACACTATTTTTGTTTTTCACTGCGTTGATATCTTATGGTGCAAAAACAATAGTGGAGGTCTTAGTAGAACTTAAGGCAGCGGCACCAAACTCTTCTAGTCATCGTATTCTCCACTGTCATGCACTCAAAATAAAAATATAGGCCAGTTTCACCTTTAAAAAAATCCTTGATGAAACCAGTACAGTTTATTTCATTTCAGCGCTTGAGATCATGTCTTTTTAATTTTGTGTGTGATGAAATGGGAATAAAGCACTTCTGTTCCTGGTAGTCTCCAGGAAAAACATTCGTCTGTCATTTAAGTTGGGGCTAAAAACTAGTCACTTTTTTCATTGAATGTCATTTTTCCTTGAGAGAATGACTGACAAACTATGGTTATTGGCAAACATTTTCTTGAAAATGGAGTAAGCCTATTACTTTAAGGAAAACAGCTGATAATAATTTGTAGCAAATGATTACATTTGAGCTTTTGAACAAAAGTTAGGATTTTGGAAAACTTGTATCTGCCCGCAAAGGTTTGGCAGCTTCCCAATACTTAGACTTTTCATTAATGGTGACATTAGTGAATATGATTTTTTTAAGGTTATATAATGAAATGTGTCAACACATGTTTTGCAGATAACCAATGTGTGATGTTACAAAATCATGTAAGGGTTAAAAGATCCATTCAAAGTATAAGATAGATTTTAATATAAGAGTACAAAAAGTTAATCGACACAAATTTAGATTCCATATTGCAAGTAAGAATATCCTTTAAGAAACTACCACTTGTCTCACTTTGGTGTTGTATCAAAAAAGAATATCCACAATTATCTGAAAAGGATATTAAAATATTTCTTTTTTCCAATGAAATATGAGTGAGGGCACATTTTCTTAATGTGTTTCAACCAAAATAATATATTGTTACTGATTGAATGTAGAAATGGCTCTTAGAATTCAACTGTCTTGTAGTAAGCCAGCTGTTAAAGAAATTTGTGTTTTAAAAAAACAGTGAATTTTAGTTCTTCTGGAAAACAATAGTTGTATCTTTATAGTATTTGTTATGTAAAACAGATTTATTTTTAAGTGAGTGAATTTTTAAAATGTTTCTATTTTCATTACTACGAGGGTAAATATCGGTAGGTATAACCCACATAAGTGAAAGCCGTATGGAGTCCTTCTAAGAATGTAAAGGTCTAGAGACTGAAAAGTTTGGGAACTGCTTGCCTAAGATTTAGGCAATCTGTTCTTTAGTTCTTTAAAATATGGTAACTGAAAAAATTTTTATGAATATTTAAACATACAGTGATCTCATCTAAGTGTAGCTGAACTAAAAGAAAACTATCAATATTTCATCAGATATTTTCCTTTTTGCCATATAAGAAAAATCTATTATTTTCTCTCTTTATCAATTATCATAGCAATGCTGGGGTGAAAACAACACGGCTAGAAGCTCATTCTGAAATGGGGAGCACTGAAATTTTGGAAAAGGAGACCCCAGAAAATCTCAGTAATGGTACCAGCAGCAATGTGGAAGCAGCCAAAAGGTTGGCCAAACGCCTTTATCAGCTGGACAGATTCAAAAGATCAGATGTTGCAAAACACCTTGGCAAGAAGTACGTTCTGACCCATTGCTGGAGTCTGAATTCTCTCCTGTTTTGTGTGTGTTTTAAATAGTTTACCTTTCAATAACCAAGTCTATTCTGTTTTCTTATAGCAACGAATTTAGCAAACTAGTTGCAGAAGAATATCTGAAGTTTTTTGATTTTACAGGAATGACGCTGGATCAGTCACTCAGGTATGACTAAGCCTCCTTGCTGCTCGTCATTGCTTTCAAATGATTAGTTCTTAGAGAAGAAAGTAATGTCTTCTAGCTAGAATCTTATTTTTTTTTTTTAAACCTCCATGTATAGGTGGAGTATTCCTTCTCCAAAATGTTTGGGTCCATAAGTGTTGTGGATTTTGGATTTTGTCAGGTTTAGAGATGTTTGTGTTATACTTATCCAAGTGAACATCCCAAATCTGAAAATCTGAAATGCTTTAGGGAGCATTTCCTTTGAACCTTATTTCAGCACTGAAAAGTGTTGTAGATTTTGGAGCATCTCTGATTTGAAGCATTTTAGATTTCTTATTTTTGGGTTTGGGACGTTTAACCTGTAGTTTGTGAACTTAGCTCAAATTGTATTATAGATATTAAACACAGCAAAGAGTAAGAAAAACGTATTCATTTAACGAAATGACACATGAATTGATAGTCTACACCTACTGGTAAGCCTGAGTTCAGGTGGTAAACAATTGGTAGCAAAGCAAATCTGGATAAAAAATGCCATCTGTAGGAGTTTTTCTGTTTTTCGTTTTTTTATCGTGTTAGAATACAGATAGCATAAAATCTTTCATCTTAGCAATTTTTAGGTATACAATGAGTGGCATTAAAAACATTCATAATGTTGTCCAGCCGTCACCACCGTCCATCTCCATGATTCTCTTCTTGTAAAACTGAAGCTCCATACTCGTTAAACAATGACTTTTTTTTTCCTTCCCCTCCTTTCCCCCAGCCCCTGGCAAACACTATTCTACTTCTCTTCTCGATGATTTTGACTACTGTAATGTAAATTGATATATACATTATTTGCCTTTTTGTGATTCATTTAACTTAGCATAATGTCTTCAAGGTTCATTCTTGTAGCATATATCAGAATGTCTTCCCGTTCTAAGGCTGAGTAATACCCCATTATGGGGAATATATATACCACCGTCAGCTTCAGGACACGCTTGGGTTGCTTCCATGCTTTTGCTATTGTGATTAATGCTGCTGTGAACATGAGTGGACAAATATTTCTTCAAGACCCTGTTTTCAATTGTTTTGAGTAGGGAGTTTGGTTTTTGAATGATGAGTTTAACACACACACACACACACACACACACACACAGTTTATAGATTGTAGAATTAGAATTAGATTTTTTTCCTAAGTATTTGCTTATTATATTTGCTTACTATAGCCCAATAGCCTTTTTTTTTTTTTTTTTTTTTTGGAGACAGAGTCTCGCTCTGTCACCCAGGCTGGAGTGCAGTAGCACCATCTTGGCTCACTGCAACCTCCACCTCCCAGGTTCAAGCAGTTCTCCTGAATCAGCCTCCCGAATAACTGGGACTACAGGTACGCACCACCACACCTGGCTAATTATTTGTATTTTTAGTAGAGATGAGGTTTTGCCATATTGGCCAGGCTGGTCACGAACTCCTGACCTCAGGCAGTCCACCCGCCTCAGCCTCTCAAAGTGCTAGGATTACAGGCGTGAGCCACCGCACCTAGCCCCAATAGCCTTTTAAGGTGATACTTTGGAATTAACTCTTCAGTGGAATAAAAATGAATGTCAGCATAATCAGTAGAAAGTATCTATAAAACTGTTTGCAACAATATCCACTTTTTCTGACCTTTTCAAATGAAGGTGTCTAAAACTCACTGATTCTCACTTTTTACATTATATTGTATTACAAGTTTCTAAGTAGCTGAAGGTAAAACCTAGTCAGCATTTAATTTTCAACACTATTTATAAAATGTCCATGTCTGGAAGAATTCTGAGATCATCTAGTGTAACCCTTTAATTTTACAAATCAAGAAACTGAGGTCTGGGAGGTGAAGGGAGGATGTTTGGACTGGAGTGTAGTACTGCAGTGATTTATCGTGGGGCTCTTTTCATGCAGCAAAGGTACTCAGATTTTCTAACAAAAACAGTTATCAGTGGATGAAAGATCTGTATTTTTGCCTTGCATTCTGATGTAGTTTATTAAAGTTATGAAAAATTAAAGTTTTGTCAATATATAGTTTGTTAATCTTAATTATACCTATAATAAGGAAGAAGGCAAAATTTTCATAGAAATGAGGCTCATGGTATGTTTTTTACCATAGTAAGATTTCTTAGACATTTTGAATGATTTTTTTTTTCCTTCCCATCTCATGTTTAGGAAAATGAATCTACATTGTCAAGTGAGGGTCATCTGGATTCATCTCAAATAAACAGTGCTCTTAGTGACTCCGAGTAGATTAATGTGTGGTTTTTGATACACTTCCTATAATTTAAAGATATTTTTATACATAAACTAATTCCATTATGTAAGGAATAAATTACTTATATCTCCCAATTTCCTCCTCCTATAACAAATTAATATTAAAATGTGATAACAGACACAATTAACAGAAATCTCCTGTGCACAAAGCAATGCAATCCATAGTGGCTTTAATAGAGATGACAGTCATGTAACAAAATGACAGAAGCACCCTGATGCGTGTAGAGTTTTAAAACATAGCCTTTATGATGATGTATTGAGTCTTAAGCGGTCTTTGTTTTTTTTAAATCTGACCTTTTAAAATTGGCTACTTGACACTTGGTCATAATGAGGAAATTACCTACCTTCCCAAGGCTTTCTTGATGTACTGACCACTCTGTTATCACCCTGTCATCTTTTAAGTGGACATTTTTTTTTTCTTTTGAAACGGAGTCTCACTCTGTCGCCTAGGCTGGAGTGTAGTGGCGCGACCTCAGCTTACTGCAACCTCCGCCTCCTGGGTTCAAGCGATTCCTGCCTCAGCTTCCTGAGTAGCTGGGATTACAGGCGCCCACCACCATGCCCGGCTAATTTTTGTATTTTTAGTAGAGATGGGGTTTCGCCATGTTGGCCAGGCTGGTTTTGAACCCCTGACCTCAAGTGAACACCTGCCTTGGCCTCCCACAGTGCTTTTTATAGAATTTAAATACTAATACCAATTTATATTGAATGGCTGTCTAGTAAATGATTTTTTTGGGGGGAGATAACTTCATAATATCTTACTTTGTATAATTAATATCTTAGGTTTATATAAATTGACTTTTAACTATGAAAGAGTGTGATAGCATTTTCGAAAATTTCACTGTTTAAATTTTTAATTCTCTTGTAGGTATTTCTTTAAAGCATTCTCTCTTGTGGGAGAAACTCAAGAACGAGAGAGAGTTTTAATACACTTCTCCAATAGATATTTTTATTGTAACCCAGATACCATTGCTTCACAAGGTAATCTGATACAAATCCTTGAATTTCTTTTTTATATCAATGGTTATTTTCCTTATTATGAAAGTTAAATTTTATTGTGAGAAATTATGTATCTTCAGTTACCTAGTGATAACTATTAACACTTCTGTTTACTTCATTCTAGTCTATTTAATATTTAATGTCAAATTGGAATTAGAGTTTTGTTTTTAGCTGCCTTTTTATTTCATTGTGAGCATTTTCTCATGTCATTAAATATTCTTTAAAAGCATAATATTTAAGGACAGCATGATATCCTCTACTCTTACTTAAATTATTTTGTTTTCCACTTCTCTAGTGTGACAGCGTACTTTCTTTAAATTGTTCATGGTTTGTCACTCTGAGATTTTATGTAATGAATGAAATTTCAGTTTTCTTATTTCTTATACATTTGGTCTCTATGTTTCTTGATGAAAGCTCATGTATCCTGAGTGTTGGAGTTAGTTTTGGAAAAATTAACAAATCTCACTGGTGGTTGCGCTGTGTCTCTGGTGCTTTCGTTTGATATTAATTGTACTATACTGACCACAAACTTTTGTTGATGATTTTAATAAACTATGAGGTTATGCATATTACACTATTTTTACAAAGTAAGTGACTTAATGGTAAACTGTTTGTTTGTGGACCTACCTTGTGAAGAGAGATCTTTCCTCCATTTCAGTTCCTGCAATAAAGTACACTTTTCAGTGTTTGAAGTGAAGCACTTTGACTTGTGACTGGAAAATGTTTCATAAACTTACAGATGATGGAGTAAATCACTGAGACTAGATTCCCAAGAAATAGTAATTACCTCTTAGCTTCAGTATTGCCAGTTAACCTGGATAGTTTACTTGGTATTGGCCAAGGTGCTTGCCTCAACCTCCCCTCCATGTCCAAGGCTGCAGTCACAGTTAGTTTATCACCTGATTAAGGTCACATTCCTATCGGTAAACTGATGCTATTCAGACCAGTTATTCACTATCTCTGTCACCATTAGCCCTGACAAGAGAATGAAGGAGATAAAAGTGGGCCATTTTTATTAGAACCTTCTTCAAATCTAAGAATATGTTTACATTCTTGGATAAAATAAGAAATATGGATTCGTGACTTAATTGGCTGTTGATGAGGATATTTGAGAGTTGGCTGCTGAGTTCTTAAAATACTTTCGAGAATTTGTTTTAAATATATGTAGAACTTGTGATAATAAAGTGGTACTAGAATAAATATACTTTTAGCCATTTGGTAGTGTCTATTTAGAGACACTGATAACAGAAATCACCTACTATACTAAAGAACTTACTTTTGAAAATACCCTGGCTTTAATTTATGAGTGCAATAATTAGACCTTCTAATTTAGCGTAAATTGAAAAGATTTTTACTGCATCTGAAACTGCTATTGTCTACTGTACTTGTGTAGAGAATTAGCAGAGTGAGAGTAACGAGAACAACTAATTGTAGTGTTTGGAAAGGAGAATCTTAACTCTACTTGGAGAACATTTTTATATGACTTTAACCTAACAGTAATGTGTCTTTGGAGGCTCATATTTACTTGTCTCCCATTGTAAGCAATGCTTGTCTGGATATCCTTGTACTATGTATAGATCACTAATTATTGCTGTAGTGCAAAGCCCTAGAAGCCGATTTGTTGTATCAAAAGACATTGTTTGAAGGCTTTACATATCTACTACCAAACTGTCCTCCAGAGAGGTAAGAACAACTTATCAACAGTGGAGTCCAGTTCTGTGCATTGAGGTTCTTTCTATAAATTATTCTTATCCATTTTTTGTTTCTTAAAACAGGACTAATTGTACCTAGCACAGTACTGTTTTCATAGGTTCTGAGTGTATCCTATTAGTGATAATAAGGTGGAGTCCAACAGTGAAAAGCGAATTCATGCTTTTTTTTCTTGTATCTTTCTTTAGATGGAGTCCATTGCCTTACCTGTGCAATAATGCTTCTTAATACCGATCTACATGGCCACGTAAGTGTGGATTTGTGAAACTTAGATCCAAAACATGTCGGGCTTATCTCTGCTTTTATGTTCAAACACATTTATTTTCTGCCTCCCCGTTTCCCATTCTCTACATGGTTCCCATGGCAGGTGAATAAAAAGAAATCTTTGAAAAAAGAAATAATTTTTTTATTTCACATGCTAGCACAGAGTATGACTTTAAATCCATCGTCCTGGTGTCTGGAGTTGTTTTAGCAGTAATGTGTGTGTTCTGTGTCTTCTTTGTCCAGTAGATGGCAGACAGAGCTTTTACTTATTTTTGTTTTCTGGTTGAGAATTACAGTTGATAGATAATGATGGAGAGAATACAAATTAGATCTGAAAATGTGAATTGTGTTTTCCCTACATACCATAGTGAGTTGAATAACTCAGCCTTTCTTGTGCCCCTCAGCTTATCTAGTCTTTTACTAGTTGAAATAATAAAACAAACTAATTACCGTCTCATCATCTACTTAAGATACAAGATAAAGTGTTAAAATGTATAATTATATATAAATTTGCAAGTTTTGTAGAAGTAGAATTTTAGCATTTACTCGAACTCTTCATAATACTCTTTAAAATAAATGAACCTGGGACTATGAAGTAATTTTTGCTCTAAGTAAGTATAGATTAGTCCATATTTAACGAATTCTGATTGTATTTTGAAGAGAAAATCAGGTGTCTGTGTAGAGTATATTATCCCTTGATTTGCCGTAATATATCTTACAATTTAAAAATTACATATAAAAAATTGATATTTAGATATTCTGCTAGTCACATAATTTCCTTTTTTGGAAAATATAGTGTTCCCTTTTAAGAAAGGAACCATGGAGCTCTATGGGACCATTAAGTTGGACTAGCTGTTATAAGAGGAAGGGGTTCAGGGAGAAAGGGTTCCACCACCAGAAAGCAAACAGGAGATATAGTGATAGAATCCTAATTTTAACATCATTTTAACATATCTCAAAATACTCAGCTAGAAAGTTCCTTTTGCCATATATAAGAGGTGAATTTAGAATCACTTAGTGGCTTGTAAACATAGGTAGCACGTGTCCAGAGATAATACAGATGAAAAGAAAATACTTTCAGGAAGCATTCTTGGGCAGTATAGCACGGCTAATACACCATGTGGAAATGCAGGCATTTCACAGTGTGAATCTTGACATGACTACCGCAATCTAATGTTCATCCAGCTTGTTAAAGGGATGGCCAGTCAGTGGATTGTCATGACCACTTTTTTCGTGTTACTGGCCAAGCAAGTTTTCACTGCTTTGTCTGGCTGTTTGGTGATAACAGTTGCTCTTTGCACCCTTCTTTTCCTTAGCCTTTCTGGCCAAAGGAGAAAATTTTGAGTGCGTTTGGCCACATATAACATTGAATCAAGTCAGTGATCACCAGCGTGAAGAATTCCCTTCACACTAGATATTTTGAGGTTCCATCAACATAAAAGAGTTGTACGTTTAGCATCTGTTAACTGAGAAAAGTTTAATGGTGGGAGGAAAAAAATTCAGTAATATTGCAATTTCTCTTTAAAGGTTGCAGATCTCTTAGAGCTTTTGTCACATTTTTGATGATTTGTTTCTACTAAATCCTAGATTGCATTTTTAAAAAGCTAATATAGCTTTAATAATACTTTTACATAAGCATGTATCTGAATCATAAGAACTTGAAATGTAGCAACCAATAAAGATGTTATTTTTTATTAGATATCTCAGCATGCTTGATGTCTAGATGAGCTGTGGACACCCAGGTTTCAGTAGCTACAGGTTTAGAGCTGCAAATCTAGGACATTTGCTCTTCTTTAGACTTACAAGGAATTGTAAGGAGATTAGATGAAGCATCCTGCTTCTTCTTGGCAACTGGGATGGAAAAGAGTTTACATAAATTAACATTTTAATATTACCTTGAGTTAGGCCAATCATGGATAATTAATAATTGGCAGTCGTGGCAAAATTACTGATAGAAGAGGGAGAAAATTATCAATAACAGTGAATCTCTGTCATATTCAGGATCATGTGTTTGGTGATAAGTAGTTCTCTGTTTTAAAAATGTGTGCGATATACTTGGGATTGTCTATTTAGGTTTTATGTATTAGTTTTCCATAATGCATGCTGTTACAAGTCTGTTGAATATATAGTAGCTATCATAAGAACTAACCATGTAAATATGTTTCTTCTATCTTTCTCCTCTGGATTCATTTTAAAAATAAATTATTCTTCTAGGTGGTAAGTTTTTAATCCATAATTCTGGATGTAGCTTCTCTTGCATCATGATTGCCTGATTTTTTTGTTGTTGTTTTAGTGTCTGTTTGACTTGTCAGCATGGCCCCTATGAAATCGAATCATGCAGGAGATAAAATGAATTATTTCTACTGTTCTGCTCCTTTTCACCTTCTCCTTAATGCTATACTACCTAGAATATGACCACCCATTACTTGATCCGATGCCAGAATAATCTTCATGGGGAATACACTAATCAACCATTATTCTTTTTTTCCTTACCGTTGTGTCATAATAGCAATACTGCAGCATGATCTTTCTAAGAAGTGCCAAGACCAGCTTGTCCTCATATGCTTTCAGTAGGGGAGGGGTGACTCCCCTATGAGGAGGTCTGACTCCCCTCTTGGGAGATTAACTTGTTTTGGCTGCTCTTGGTGAACCTTTCCTTTACTCTGAGGAATGAGGCACTGAGAATGCATTAATATGGGCCTTGGTTTGGCCTGCTAATTTCCTTACTAATAAAATAATGGAATGTATACTAATATTTTACTTACATTTAGCTAATGTGACATGTTGAAATCCCTTTCTTTTTCTAACTTTCCCCTTCAACAAACATGTATATAGCATGCGTGTGCCTCCTCCTTTCCATACTCTTTGCCATTTGGGTAAGGATCAGAGGTGAATGAGACAATGTTCATGGAAGCCAAATAATCCTCTCTGATGGTATTGGCTAGGCTGACCTCATTAGTCAGGTTTCACTGAAGACATGGTAGCAGGTTGCTGAGGTGCTATGATGGGAAAACACTGGGGAGGTGTTTTAATTTCATGTTGGATCATGTTAAACTTCTCTAATTAGGCTAGATAAAAAACAATCTGAAGTATATACAATATTTGGGGGGAGAATTCAGTACCTGCTTTTAAAAAAATGTGACTGATATATCATTTTCCTAGCAAGAGTATCTACTTGTTTTTACTTGTCTGCAAGTAGTTTATTCCCTTAAATTAAATATTTTATAATTGTAGTCGTGTGGTGAATTTGCTATATAATTTGTTTTATTTTTGAAATGCCTCTTTATCTACAAAATACTTATGTAAATTAAACTTCTACACATACAGATACATTTCTCTTAAACTCTAGAGTTTCTTTCTTTGCTATATTGGAACTAAGTTTTATTGAATATTGTTTCAACTATCAACAAGGTAAGAGTTGAAAGTCTTTTTCTTCAACCTTGTTTGAAATGGTATGGATAAGATTTGATATGTCAGAATAAGTTTATACTTACTCCCTTTCTGGATGGATCTTCAAATGCGTTCTGTTTCCTACCACTAACTAGCTTGCTTGTACTTCAGTCACAGTTTAGTCAGGTTCCTACCGTCCTGGCAGGATTATCACCCAGGGCTGGTGTTCTAAGGTGGTAGGAGGGTTAAGTATAGAATTGCATAGCAGTGAGGAGTGAGATAGATCAGAGCATAGTCAGCTGGCCAGTTCCACAACTAGAAAGTCACAAGAGATACACAAGTCAGTGGCTGGCCAAGGTCAGGCCATGGTAAGAGGCAGTAGCCAGGGCATTGTTTTTAATCAAGATTTTTTGACAAAATGTACCTTTTAACATCAAGGCTTGAGATTTTCAGTAGCAGTTTTGTCCAGCATCCCTCTGTTCTCCAGTATTGGCAGAAGCCAGCCCACCATGTACAATTGGTATAAGAGCCTGGTTGTGGTTCTTAGAGGTAGCTCTCTTTCTCGGGCTGGGCCTCCTACATATACTTTACCCTTGACATACTCAGAGCATGTTGAGTATCATGCCCTGTGGTCTGAGTTTAATGATCAGGCACGACCTTACTAATGTTTTTAGTGTTGGGTTGTAAGTTTGGAAAGGGTTGAAACCATATCTAGTACAACTTACTGGTAGGGAGAAGAATATAATCAAGGAAGAAAGTATGTTTAGGTTTTGTCACAGAACAGTGTTAAAAAAATGTGGAGTTCAGTGTGAGATAGATTGTAAGAATTCATTATTTCTTTTCTAATCTATAAACTTAATTATTGCATTGGCTTTCTAGGAGCCTAGAATCTTAAATAGTGGATAAATATTTGGTTTATTAGTAGTGGAAAATGACTATTATAAAAATTATTTTAAAAATTTAATGCTTCATGTAGGGGTGGGTTGCCCCTACACACCTGTGGGTGTTTCTCGTAAGGTGGGACGCGAGATTTGGAAAAGAAAAAGACACAGAGACAAAGTATAGAGAAAGAAATAAGGGGACCCGGGGAACCAGCGTTCAGCATATGGAGGATCCCGCCAGCCTCTGAGTTCCCTTAGTATTTATTGATCATCTGTGGGTGTTTCTCAAAGAGGGGGATGTGTCAGGGTCACAAGACAATTGTGGGGAGAGGGTCAGCAGACAAACACGTGAACAAAGGTCTTGGCATCATAGACAATGTAAAGGATTAAGTGCTGTGCTTTTAGATATGCATACACATAAACATCTCAATGCTTTACAAAGCAGTATTGCTGCCCGCAGGTCCCACCTCCAGCCCTAAGGCGGTTTTTCCCTATCTCAGTAGATGGAGCATACAATCGGGTTTTATACCGAGACATTCCATTGCCCAGGGACAGGCAGGAGACAGATGCCTTCCTCTTGTCTCAACTGCAAGAGACATTCCTTCCTCTTTTACTAATCCTCCTCAGCACAGACCCTTTACGGGTGTCGGGCTGGGGGACGGTCAGGTCTTTCCCTTCCCACGAGGCCATATTTCAGACTATCACATGGGGAGAAACCTTGGACAATACCTGGCTTTCCTAGGCAGAGGTCCCTGCGGCCTTCCGCAGTTTTTGTGTCCCTGGGTACTTGAGATTAGGGAGTGGTGATGACTCTTAAGGAGCATGCTGCCTTCAAGCATCTGTTTAACAAAGCACATCCTGCACCGCCCTTAATCCATTCAACTCTGAGTTGACACAGCACACGTTTCAGAGAGCACAGGGTTGGGGGTAAGGTTATAGATTAACAGAATCTCAAGGCAGAAGAATTTTTCTTAGCACATAACAAAATGGAGTCTCCTATGTCTACTTCTTTCTACACAGACACAGTAACAATCTGATCTCTCTTGCTTTTCCCCACAGCTTCATATTGTGCTATTTTATATTTTCACTGTCAAAAACATCACAGACTTCCATGATATTGATGAACCTCATAGAGTTAATATCCTCAAGAACTCTCTGCATCTGTAATGATCACTATTGTAACTGGCAGCTGTTAAGTACATTTGCAGGCTATCCTCTCATCGTCCTGCAGGATAATATCTTCCCTGTGGATACCTCTTCTGTCTGTGCTTCTCTGTATCTGTGATGCCCTCTGCCTTGAAAGGTGATGCCATCTGCCATGAAAGCTATCGTTGGCATTCAGTTTTCTCTCTGAGCTTTCCCCTGCTGTAGATTCCATCCATGGTCATAATTTCTACTGTGCTAGCACTGCCTTCTCCTTTGGAGTCCTCTCTCCTATCTCCTTGGTGCCGTGTTTGTCTTGTCTTACCTGGCTTTTTTTCCTAAATTATTATTTGCAAAGATCTTTTGATTTCTAACTTTAAGGTCAGGGGTCTATGTGCAGGATGTGCAGGTTTGTTACATAGGTAAACAAATGCCAACGTGGTTTGCTGCACAGATCATCTCGTCACCCAGTTTTGTTTTGTTTTTTTTTTCTATTTTGATACCTTACAGAGTTATTTTTTTATTTTTTATTTTATTTTGTTATTATACTTTAAGTTCTAGGGTACATGTGCACAACGTGCAGGTTTGTTACATATGTATGTGTGTGCCATGTTGGTGTGCTGCACCTGTTAACTTGTCATTTACATTAGGTATATCTCCTAATGCTATCCCTCCTCCCTCTCCCCACCCCACGACAGGGGGTGTGCAATGTTCCCCACCCTGTGTCCAAGTGTTCTCATTGTTCAGTTCCCACCTATGAGTGAGAACATGCGGTGTTTGGTTTTCTGTCCTTGCGGTAGTTTGCTCAGAATGATAGTTTCCAGCTTCATCCATGTCCCTACAAAGCATATGAACTCATCATTTTTATGGCTGCATAGTATTCCATGGTGTATATGTGCCACATTTTCTTAATCCAGTCTATCATTGATGGACATTTGGACTGGTTCCAAGTCTTCGCTATTGTGAATAGTGCCGCAATAAACATAAGTGTGCATGTGTCTTTATAGCAGCATGATTTATAATCCTTTGGGTATATGCCCAGTAATGGGATGGCTGGGTCAAATGGTATTTCTAGTTCCAGATCCTTGAGGAATCTCCACAGTGTCTTCCACAATGGTTGAACTAGTTTACAGTCCCACCAACAGTGTAAAAGTGGTCCTATTTCTCCACATCCTCTCCAGCACCTGTTGTTTCCTGACTTTTTAATGATCACCATTCTAACTGGCCCATCACCCAGGTATTAAGCCTGGCATTCATTAGCTGTTCTTCCTGATGTTCTTACTCCTCCCACCCTCCACCCTCTGACAGGCCCCACTGTGAGCTGTTCTGCCCCATGTGTCCATGTGTTCTCATCATTCAGCTCCCACTTACAAGTGAGCACACATGGTAATTGGTTTTCTGTTCCTGCCTTAGTTTACTAAGGATAATGACCTCTGGCTCCATCCCTGTCCCTGTAAAGGACATGATCTCATTCTCTTTTTGTGGCTGCATGGCATTCCATGGTGTATATGTACTACATTTTCTTTATCCAGCCCTTGATGAGCATTTAGGTTGATTCCATGTCTTTCCTACTGTAAATAGTGCTGCAATTAACATATGCATGCATGTATCTTTATAACAGAATGATTTCTGTTCCTTTACATATATACCCAGTAATGGGATTGCTAGGTCAAATGGTATTTCTGGTTCTAGGTCTTTGAGGAATTACCATACTGTCTTCCACAATGATTAAACTAATTTACACTCCCACCAACAGCGTAAAAGCATTCCTTTTTCTTCACAACCTCGCCATCATCTGTTGTTTTTTGACTTTTTAATAATGTAGCCATTCTGACTGGTGTGAGATGGTATCTCATTGTGGTTTTGATTTGCGATATTGATCAGTGATATTAAGGTTGTTTTCATGTTTCTTGGCCGCATATATGTCTTTTGAGAAGTGTCTCTTTGTGTCCTTTGCCCACTTTTTAATGTGATTGTTTGTTTTTTCCTTATACATTTAAATTCCTTGTAGGTGCCGGGTATTAGACCATTGTCAGATGGATAAATTACAAAATTTTTCTCGCATTCTGTAGGTTGTCTGTTGACTCTGATACTTTCTTTTGCTCTGCAGAAGCTGTTCAGTTTGATTGGATCCCGTTTGTCAATTTTTGCTTTTATTCCAATTGCTTTTGACATCTTAATCATGAAATTTTTGCCCATGTCTGTGTGCAGAATGGTATTGCCTATGTTTTCTGTTAGGGTTTTATTGGTTTTGGGTTTCACATTTAAGTCTTAAATCCATCTTGAGTCGATTTTTGTATATGGTGTAAGGAAGGGATCCAGTTTCAGTTTTCTGCGTATGGCTACCCAGTTTTTCTAGCACCATGTATTAAATAAGGAATCCTTTCCCCATTGCTTGTTTTTGTCAGGTTTGCTGAAGATCAGATGGTTGTAGGCATGCAGTCTTATTTCTGGGTTCTCTATTCTGTTCCATTGATCTGTGTGTTCATTCTTGTACCAGTACCATGTTGTTTGGGTTACTGTAGCCCTGTAGTACAGTTTGAAGTCAGACAGCACGATGCCTCCAGCTTGCCTCTTTTTGCCTAGCATTGCTTTGACTGTCTGGGTGGTTCTTTGCTTCCATATGAATTTTAAAATAGTTTTTTTCTAATTAAATGAAGAAGGTCAATGGTAGTTTAATGGGGATAGCATTGAATCTATAAATTGCTTTGGATAGTATGGCCATTTTCGTGATACTGACTCTTCCAGTCTTCTGTAAGCATGGAATGTTTTTCCATTTGTTAGTGTCATCTCTGATTTTTTTGAGCAGTGGTTTGTAGCTCTTCTTGAAGAGGTCCTTCATTTCCCTTGTTAGCTGTATTCCTAGGTATGTTATTCTTTTGTTGGCAGTTATAAACGGGAGTTCATTCATGATTTGGCTGTCGGCTTGACTTTTGGTGTGTAGGAATGCTAGTGATTTTTGCACATTGATCTTTGTATCCTGAGACTTCGCCAAGGTTGCTTATCACCTTGAGAAGCTTTTGGTCTATGTTTTTACCTGACTTGGAGCTTCCCAGACACAGTGGCCCCAAGGCCGTCATCCCTGCAGCTTCTCGGTGGTCCTAAGAGAAGGATCAGGGCTAGATCTCACAGTTGCAGAGGGTTTCTAGTGGGGCCTGGCGTTCATTTTCACCAATACTCTTTCTGTCTCCACAATAAGGATATAGAGAATAGCCTGAGAACCTAACCATTAGGTGTTGAAATGTTTTTATAGAAGAATGTTGGCCAGGCGTAGTGGCTCACGCCTGTAATCCCAGCACTTTGGGAGGCCAAGGTGGGCAGATCACGAGGTCAGGAGATAGAGACCATCCTGGCTAACATGGTGAAACCCCATCTCTACTAAAAATACAAAAAATTAGCCAGGCATGGTGGCGGGAGCCTGTAGTCCCAGCTACTTGGGAGGCTGAGGCAGGAGAATGGCATGAACCTTGGAAGCAGAGCTTGCAGTGAGCCGAGATCACTCCACTGCACTCCAGCTTGGGCAGCGAGCAAGACTCCGTCTCAAAAAAAAAAAAAAAAGAAAAGAAAAAAGAAAAATGTTATGATCTAAAAATGATGAATTGTAAATTGAAATTGAGAATATAATTTACTATCATATTGCCAATGGTCTAGACTTTAATAGGAATCCTTATCTAAGTATGCCATAGTTTAATCATGCACTGGTCAATTTTGTTGGATTCTATGACCTCTTAGAATGAAAGCCTTCTTTCCTTTTTTCCATCCTCTGTTCCTTCACCTGTCCCCTTTCCCCACCCTCTAGCCTCCCACTTTTGGTAGTTTTGCTTTTTTAAGAACAGGTTTATATATGGAAAATACCTCAGGGTAGCTTTAATCAGTTGTGTCAGTGGGGCTTATTGAGGGACCTCATATTATCTAACTTACACATTATTCAGTCTTCTTATCACTGTAAGCTTTTTACATTGGCACAGTTCTGTTATAGAACGTGATCAAGGAAAGCAGGTCAAATTCTAAGTCAGTTTCGCTCTTTCTTACTTTCTGCAAATTGATTGTGGAGGAAGGAGGGAGGAATGAGGATGATGGTGGCTGAAACCCCTGACTCTTGTTTCCAATCCTGTTGCTTACTTTAATGCCAGTCCTGCTACAGCAATCAAGTTAAAAATTGTTTGGTTAGTCCTTGTAATTTGACAGTGAGTTAGGTGTGTTTATCTTTTCAAATTTTAGGGGAAGTGCTTTCCATGAAATATCAATAGAAGTCTGATATTTCAGTATTCTAAAACTTTTTGGTCCCAGGATAGCTTTATACTCTTAAAATTTTTGAGAAGCCCCAAAATCTTTTGTTTACATATTAATATTTATCTGGAACTGAAACTGATAAGATTTTTAAATTGCATTAAATCATTAAAAACCCATTAAGTGAATAACACATTTATGAATAATAGTCATACTTTCCTAAGTGAGAAATATATTAAAGAATAGCACTTAAAATTGTTGCTAGTCTTTTTATATTTGGCTTAGTAAAAGATGGCTAGATTCTCATATCTGTTTGTGTTTATAGTCGGTTGCAGTGTATCAGAAGTCATGCATCTTCTAGAAAACTCTACTGTATATTTGAGAGAATGAAAAAAATGTTTTTAGTGTTACTATAAAAATAGGGTTGACCTCATGGACATCTGGAACAGTATCTCTGAAACGCTTTGAGAACCACTGTGCTGTGGTACTATTTTTAGTTCCTTTTTTTCTTTTTACCACTCTGATTCCTTTTTCAAAGGCAGGATATTATAGGACAGGTGGGAGAAGTCCCAGTGACATATCAGATATTCCTAAATGTTGAGCTTTTAGCACTTAAATGAGCTCTGTGATTAGGGTTTGTGAGAGAGCACATTGAATATCCACTGTAGTCCTGGTTTTAAAATTTACAAAGGGTCCTCCTTTGCCCCCCAGTCATACATTTAAAAAGGAATGGACACCTGAGGGCAGCATGACATAATCAAACTTATTTGATAGCAAAGCATGCAAAATAAAAGCAAAACAGGAGCTTTCAGCAGAGCCACATAACTGAAGTAATTACCAAATCAGTAGTATGCCTTTCCACCATTTATTGTAACATGTTGGAGGAGGTGGAATTGTCATATGGGAGAGTATGCCTGCTGTGTTTTTAATATCCTGAGATTTATGAAGCCAGATTTTACCAATGGATGATGAGGGCTTTTAGTTTCTCCAAAAGCACGTTTTCCGCAAAGCTTCCAGACCTGACACTATCAAAAATGAAGAATTTTAGAATCATTATGCTTAATTCTTCAACCTCTGAATCAGAGTATATGCTGTTGTCAGCTTTCCTAGTGAATACCTGATTGACACAGCTGCCCTATTCGCAGCTCTCCTAGGGCTGATTTTAAGTTAGGCGATGGTCAGAGCTTTGTAGGTTACATTCCCCAGATTGCCAGGGATGGCACGCTCAAAGATTTGGTCACCCGCTTGCTGAGTTTGGTGCCGAAGCTTGTATACGGTTTCTGGCTGCTCCTGATATGAATGAAATTCTCCATCTTCATTTTCCCCTTTGCTCTCGTTATTGCAACAGAAGTTGGGAGCTGCTTCTCTGTTATGGTCAGGGGAAAGTGCCCTTTATTTTAACAAAGCGAAAACCTGCATTTGGAGAATAGAATACATCAGGATGCCTAACCTGTTTGCTTGCTCGCTCACGATGTTGTCCTCAGTACCAATACCACTTCCTTCTGGTTTTCTTTAAGACAAGGGGTAGACAAGTTATGACTCATAGGCAAAATCCATCTGGGGCTTGTTTCTGTAAATCAGTGTTATCGTAAATAGCCAAACCCAGTTGTTTACATCTTCACACCAATTATAGTGTTGAATAACTGTAACAGAATATATGACTTGCAAAGCCTAAAATATTTACTCTCTGGTCCTTTACAGAAATTTACAGAATTTGTCTGTTTTGGAGTCTTGCCCTTAGTTCACGAAACCTGCTAGAGCTTGGACACTTGTTTCCCCAAATTCTTTACTAAAAATTGTTTATGGGAATGTATTAAACATATTGAGGATAAGTTCTTCCAGAAATGATAAATTTATCAAGGAACTTTGCTCTAAAGGGCATTTAATGTATCTTTAAACGAACACAAACAGAGAAAACATCTTTTTATCATAAGAAAGCATTTGAAAATGGTAATATTGTCGCTGCAGAGAGTAGCCTTAAATTGTTGCGGGATGACGTAGGCCTCCGATATAGAGAGTATTTTGACTTTTGATTAATATTTGCTCCCATAAAGGATGATACCTTGATTAGCCAAATATTTAAGAATTGGGCCTGCCTGGAATTTTGGGGTTCCAAATAGAATTTTTTTTTAAACTTTCCACTTTGTCATCTATTTTGTTATTTGATATTTTTTAAGTTTGATTAAAATGCCTACTGATTTTAAAGGTAATGATCCAGAGCTTCATCTTTAGTTGCATCTGTTTTGATAGAAAATATATTGATTTCAAGGTACCATTTCTGTACCTCTCAATGCATCAGGAGGCATTTTCAAATCTCCATGCTTTATTGATTTAATGGGAAGAAATTTAAAATATGAAAAAGTATTATTAAAGTACTTTATTGGCATGCAACTGGTCAACATTTGTTTCAGAGCAGAACTACTTTTATGCAAAGTTATCCAAAACTAATTTGGGAAGAAAATGAATGGAACTGTGATAGTGTATGAGCTTCTCTTGGATACTTATGAAGCCTTGAGCCACAAAATCACTGATTAGAATTTGCTTTATTCGTTGAGTAGTGTTTGCCTGAATAATAGTATTTTAAAATAATTGAGACAGCCTGGTACATGACAAGGAGAAAAAAATCCAGACATCGTGAGGAGTATTTCTTGATGACAAAGACTTCATTTTACTTTTATTCCCTTTGGA
Source organism: Homo sapiens (assembly GCF_000001405.40). NCBI lineage: Eukaryota > Metazoa > Chordata > Mammalia > Primates > Hominidae > Homo > Homo sapiens. The sequence goes on along the minus strand of NC_000008.11, from coordinate 18,786,945 downwards.
AATGGTATAAACGCCTGAGTGGAAGGAATGTGTTTAAATATGTGCCAGTAAGCAGCAAAATGGACTGATCTGACTCCTCACCTTTTGTTCCTAATAATTCTTGCCTAGAAGAATGATCAGTGAGTCAGAGGAGTACAATCAACAGATAAAAGCAACTTCAGCTAGTCAAGCATTCGAGAAGTTGTTGGACATTTTTAACACATAGAAAACCACATTATCTTTATTCTCTGAACCAGTAAAGAAAATTAAGGTACAGTCTATTGGATGATTGTACTAATACTTGCTTACTGCGTAGGACTCCAAGTATTTGAATTGGCTTTTGTTGGTCTGAATCTATATATCCATCTTGCCCACCTAACTGCTATTTTTCCTAATGGCTGTTTCAAAGTCCACGTGAGTCAAATTGGTATCTTTGTGCTGACATAGATAATGGTATGGTCACTGTTGAAATTGGACAGAAGGCACTGCCAAATAAGCAGTTAAAGTAAATCTGAATTTAGGATGAGGTATGATTTCATAGACCAAAATAGCTTCATAGACTTTACTGTTTTAAAATGTTATGAATTATGACAATTATTACTTAAATGATGTTTTTAATAATTCCTTAAAGTAGAAATTAATGGTGTCCTGAAAAAACACTTTTGACTCTGTAGCCTTTAAATATCTTGTTCATGAATCTCCCAAAAGAATTTTTTTTAAATAGTATCTCTTCTTCAAGTTTAAATTGGAAAACTTTTTGTTTGAAACGGAGTCTCGCTGTGTCACCCAGGCTGGAGTGCAGTGGCGCAATCTCGACTCACTGCAAGCTCCACCTCCCGGGTTCACGTCATTCTCCTGCCTCAGCCTCCCGAGCAGCTGGGACCACAGGGAAACTTTTTATTGTAAGTTTAAGTATAGGCGTATCTCATTTTATTGTCCTTTGCTTTATTACACTTTGCAGTCACTGAACATTTTTCCTAACAAAGTGAAGGTTGATGGAACCCTGCGTCAAGCGAGTCTTATCAGTGCCATTTTTCAATGAACCATTCCCATATAAGACAGCAGACTTAATTGATAAATATATATGTTTTGACTGCGCCAAAGGCTGGCCATTCCCCCATCTCTGTCTCCTCAGGCCTCCCTATTCCCTGAGACACAACAGTATTGAAATTAGGCCAATTAATAGCCTTAGAATGGCCTCTAAGTGTTCAAGTGAAAGGAAGAGTTTCATACGTCTCGCTTTGAATCAAAACCTAGAAATGATTAAGTTTAGTGAGGCTGAGATAGGCCAGAAGCTAGGCCTCTTGCACCAGACAGTTAATAAAGTTGTAATGTAAAGGAAAAGTTCTTGAAGGAAATTAAAAGTGCCATTCCGGTGATCACAAGAATAAGAAAGCAAAACAGCCTTATTACTGATACAGAGCAAGTTTTGGTGGTGTAGATAGGGTATCCAACCAGCCACAGTATTCCCTTACACCAAAACCTAATCCAGAGCAAGGCCCTGAGTCTCTTCAATTCTATGAAGGTCGAGAGAGGTGAGGAAGCTGCAGAAGAAAAGTTGGAAGCTAGGAGAACTTGGTTCATGAAGTTTTAGGAAAGAAAGTGTCTTCATAACCTAAAATGCTTGGTGGAGCAGCAAGTGCTAATGTAGAATCTGAGGCAAGCTATCCAGAAGGTCTAGGTAAGATATTTTTTCCTAGAAACAAGGAAGAACATTTTATAATAAGGGTCATTTCATCAAGGTGATAAAACACTTCCAATCAATATAAGCCCCAGTGATACTATGACAAATAAGAAATACAGATTTGGTCTCTGCTCCTGGTTCTTGAAATGGACCTCCTGAGTGACAGCAGTTCTGACACAGGGTTCCTAGATGCCTTGGATGAATGATAGGAGCATTGTTTATTCTAATGAGGCAAGCCTTGGTGAGCTCCTAGATAAGCTCAGCAAGGGGACAGGTTGTTAGGGGAAATAACCATGTGATTAGAGGGTTGGAATTTTCAGCCTCCCCTCCTTCCGCACACACCCCACCTCCAGGGAGCAAGAATAGGGTGAAGGTTTAGTTAATACCACTGACCATTGATTTAATCAGCCATGTCTGTGTTATAAAGCCTCTGTAAAAACCCAAAGTATGGGGTTTGGAGAGCTTTGAGGTTGGCAAGTACATCTATGTGCTTGGAAGGTGGGCATCCCAACATCACAGGGACAGAAGCCCCAACACTTAGGACCTTTTCAGACCTCACTCTGTGTATCTCTTTATCTCACTGTTTATCTATATCCTTTGCAATATCTTTGATATTAAAGGGATAAATGTTTCCCTGAGTTCTGTGAGCCCTCCTAGTAAATTAAACCCAGATAGATGATCCTGCAAACCCCCATTTATAGCTGATTGGTCAGAAGTATAACTGACAACCCACTGCTACCAATTGACACCCGAAACTTGGGGTGATCTTGTAGGGCTGAGCCCTTAACCTGTATGAGCTCATGAAATCAGCAGATACATAGTATTATAATTGAATTATAAAACACCCAACTGGTGTCTCCTGGAGAATTGGTTGTGAATGTGGAGAAACCCCCACATACTTCAGTGACTATTGTGTTGAGTGGTGTATGAGTGTAGGGAAAAAGTCTTATTCCTTCTGAACACATAATAAGCCGTGAAAGAACAATGGACAGAATTGGAGGGAGAAATTGTTTTATTGAGAAATTAGCACCGTATATTAAATAATGCTTAGAATCACCACGCACGATATCAACAAGGAAATAGACTTGAACAACATAAAAACCAACTAGATCTAACAGATACCTGATGACAGGAGAGTAATCTTTAAAGTGTACATGAAAAATGCTCAAGGATAGGACAAAATTCGCAAAAAGGGATTGAAAACATACAAAACATGTTTCTGGACATAATAGAATGATATTAGAAATCAATTAAAGGACATTTATGTAGTCATACAATATACTCCTAAATAACCAATAGGTCCAAAAAAAATTTACAAGAGGAACTAAAAGATAGTGATGAAAATAAAAATATGTTGGCCGGTTGCAGTGGCTCATGCCAGCAGTCTGGGAGGCCGAGGCAGGCAAATCACTTTGAGGTCAGGAGTTCGAGACCAGCCTGGCCAACATGGTGAAATGCCATCTCTACTTCAGAATACAAAAAATTTGCCAGGCATGGTGGCATGCACCTATCATCCCAGTTACTCGAGTGGCTGATGTGAGAGAATCACTTGACCCAGGAGACGGAGGTTGCAGTGAGCTGAGATTGTGCCACTGCACTCCAGCCTGGGCAACAGAGCAAGACTACGTCTCAACAACAACAAAAAAAGCAAAATGAAAATACAACATAAAAAACTTATGGTATACAGCTGATGAATTGCCAAATTGCAAATTATTGCTCTAAATTGCTGTATTTTAGAAAAATGTCAAATTTACAGTCTAACCTAATGAAAGAAACAAAAGCAAACTCAGTCCAAAGAAGGGAAAGAATAATCAGAGCAAAGATGAATTAAACAGAGAATAGAAGAGTAATAGAGAAAAAGCAATGAAATCAGAAGCTTGTTTTTTGAAAAGATCAACAACTGACAAAAGTTGAATTAGACTGACCATGAGTAAAAGAACTCTCAAATTACTAAAATCAGTAATGAAGAGGGCATTACTATTGGCCTTATGGAAGTAACTACTGTAAGTGAATATTGTCAACAGCTAGATAACCTAGATGAAATGAACAAATTCTTAGAAAGATAAAAACTACTGAAACTCAAAAGGAAACAAAACCTGAATAGATCCTTAGCAAGTGAAGAGTTTAGTAATCAGAAAACTTCCTACAAAGAAAAGCCTAAGATCAAATGGCTTTACTTGTGAATTGCATCGACATTTAAAGAAGTTTTAACATCAGTTTTTTTACACCCTTCAGAAAAAAAGAGTAACACTTTTTAAGTAATTCTATGAGAGCACTATTACCCTGATACCAAAATGAGACAAGTCATGATAAAGATATCCCTTATGAATATTTCTTGCATTCTAAAACAAACCTAATTCAACAAAATATAAAAAGGATTATATAGCATGACCAAGTGAGACTGCCACTGCCCTGCCTACGGCCATGTGCCACCCAGCTGCGTGCCACTTGGATGCTCGGTGATGGCCACTAGGCCCTTTGTACCCCTAACTGCTGGCACCCAAAGCTGTAGCTTGGGGCCCCAAGTTAGCCCTCTGCTGCTGTTGCAGCCGCAGACATTATGCATACCATCTAAGGGCCTGAGGACCCATTCACTCAGCCCATTGTTGCCACTGCTAGCACACAGACAATCCACTTGAAGACCAAGGATTCGTCCTCCTGACCTGCTTTTACCAATATCCACGTGTGTTGACCGAGATCCTGCATATCCATCCCAGAGTTGCCATCACTGTTGCCTAAGAACTGGCCTGCCTGATGTCCCTTTCACTAGCAAAGCCTCACTACAGCCGTTACTAAAAGCCACAGCTTTATCCACTGAGGAACTCATAGACACCACTGATGCTAAAGATAGTCAAAGAAGTCATATGGAGACTGCACTGCTTCTCCCACCCAGAATCAAAGCCAAAACGCCTTACCCAAACAACTCTATAGATAGCTCTATAGAAAAAAATGTCTTTCCCTTCGAAACCCAATCCATAGAGTTGGATGAAGCAAATGTTACACCAGATGCATAGATATAAATGTAAGGACACAAGAAACATGAGAAATCAAGGAAGCATGAAACCATCAAAGGAACACAATAATTCTCCAGCAACAGATGCCAATATTAAAAAAAATCTATGAAATACCTGAAAATGAATTCAAAATATTTCTGAAAACCCAGGTACTACAGAAAACAGATGAACAATGCAAAGAAACATTTCACCATCTGTATGAGAAATTCAACAAAGATGTCAGAAAGAAGTTAAATAGAAATCCTGAAACTGAAGAATTCAAAGAGTAAAATAAAAAATATAATCATCAGTTTCAATAACAGACTCTAGATCAAGCAGAAGAATTTGTAAACTTGAAGACAGGTCTTTTGAAATAACCTGAGCAGATAACATTTTTAAAAAAAATAAAAACGAAGAAAGCTTATGTAACACATACAATGACGAAATAGTGGAATTTTCAGTTTTCCTGGAAGAGAACAGATGGGTAATGGCATAGAAAACCCATTTAACGAAATAATAGGTAAAAACTTCTCAAGTCTTGGAAGAGATACAGACATCTAGATATAGGAAGCTCGAAGATCTTCAAATATATTCTACCCTGAAAGGCCTTCTCCATGCCACTTCATAGTCGAACTGTTAAAAGTCCAAGAAAAAGAGAATTCTAAATACAGCAAAGGGGTCAAGTCACAGAGAAGAGTATCCCTATCACACTAATAGCAAATTTCTTAGCAGAAACCTTCCAGGCCATGTTCCACGGTGGAAAAGTCTATACAACCCTACCCCCAAAGTTCAAGGAATATGAGAGGCCAAAGAAAGAGGCTGACAAATTCAGTTTCTTAGAAACATTTAATAGGGACTTAGGAACATTTAATAGGGATTGTGTCTTGGGAGGTACTTCAAGAGACAAAGATGGTGGATCCCTGTGCCTTTACTCCCAAGACCTAGGGCTTATATGCCATAGAAAAAGGATATGCATGCATCAGAAGGGCTGTGTAGGATAACTGCTTAAGGGCATTGATTATAGCAAGTACAATAACATTTACATTGTTTTGACCTAGGAATGGGATTTATGGTAAGTACATGCTCTTAAGTAAAAATAAACTGGAAATCTTAGAGGCCTTCTTGGAACTGGGGTTAATAAGAAATCAACGTGGTGGATGGAATTACTTTGGCCACTGCAGTCCAGGAGTAAATGAAATGATAACTCCAAAGTGGTGAAAAGCAGAACAAACAAAAAAACACAACTGTCAGCCAAAAATATTATACCTGGGGAAGATATAAAAAATGAAGGAGAATAAATGCTTTCCAAAGCAAGGAAAAATTGAAGTTAATCACCACTCTACTGGCCCTACAAGAAGAGGTCAAGGGAGCCCTGCATTTAGAAGATAAAGGACAATATCTGTCATAATCAAAACACATAAAAGTATAAAACTCTGGGCCAGGCGCGGTGGCTCACGCCTGTAATACCAGCACTTTGGGAGGCCAAGGCAGGCGGATCATGAGGTCAGGAGATTGAGACCATCCTGGCTAACACAGTGAAACCCCGTCTCTACTAAAAATACAAAAAAATTAGCCAGGCTTGGTGGCAGGCACCTGTAGTCCCAGCTACTCAGGAGGCTGAGGTAGGAGAATGGCGTGAACCCAAGACGCAGAGCTTACAGTGAGCCAAGGTCGCACCACTGCACACTCCAGCCTGGGCAACAGAGTGAGTGTCGGTCTCACAAAAAAATAAATAAATAAATAGAGGAGGCAAGTGTTACTACTACAGAAAACCAGCAAACCACAATGATAAGAGGAGAACAGGATGAGAGGATACACAAAACCAAAAAATAATTCACAAAATGACAGGAATTAAGTACTGAATAATAACCTTGAATGTAAACAGTTTAAATTCCCCCCTTAAAAAATATAGATTGGCTGAATAGAAAAACAAAAAAAAAATGACTTAACTATATACTGCCTATAAAAAACTGACTTTACTGGTAAAGACACGTAGACTCAAAGTGAAGGGATGGAAAAAGATAATCCATGCAAACAGAAACCAAAAGCAAGCATGAGTAGCTACACTAGTATCAGATAAAATAGACTTTAAGCCAAAAAGCGGCAAAGAAGGTAATTCTATAATGGTAGAGGGACCATTTCAGCAAGAAGATTAAACAATTCTAAATATTTGTGCGCCCAACACTGGAGCATGCAGATATAGAAAGCAAACATTATTGAATCTAAAGGGAGAGACTGAGTCCAATAAAATCAGATTAGGTGTCTTCAACAACTGACTCTCAGCCTTGGACTGATCATCTAGCCAAGTCATCAACAAAGAGGTATTGGATTTAAACTTCGTTTTAGATCAAATGCGCTTGATAGACATTTACAGAACATATTGTCCAACAGCTACAGAACAAGTATTCTTATCACATGGGACATTCTTGAGGCTAGACTATTTGTTATACAACAAAAGTAGTCTCAACGATTAAAAAAATAGAAATAATATCACGTATCTTCTCAGACCACGATGGAATAAAACTAGAAATCAACAATGAGAACTTTGGAAATTGTACAAATACAAGGAAATTAAGCCACAATTATGAGCCATCACTGGATTTAAGGAGAAATAAGAAACAAAAAGTTTCTTGAAACAAATCAAAATGGGAACACAACATATCAAAATATGTGGGATACAGCAAAAGCCATGATAAAAGGATGTTTAATAGCAACAAATACTTACATGAAGAAAGTAGAAAGATTTTAAAGAACCTATTGATGCACCTCAAGGAACTAGAAAAGCAAGAACAAACCAGATACAAAATTAACAGCAGGAAATAATAAAGTCAGAGCAGAACTAAATTAGAGGTGAAAAAAAGGCTATACAGAGGATCAGTGAAATGAAGAGTTGGGTTTTTTTTTTGAGAGAATAAACAACATTCATAAATTGCTGGATAGACTAACCAAGATTAAAAAAGAAGACACAAATAAAATCCCAACCAAAAAAGGAGACAGTAAAACTTATATCCCACAAAAATAGAAGATTGTTAGAGACTATCGTGAACAACTGTCTGAACAAATTGGAACCTACGGGAAACAGATTCATTCCTGGACATGAGGAAACTACCAATATTTGGCCATGAAGAAATAGAACACCTGAACAGATCAATAATGAGTAATGAAACTGATTCAGTAATAAAATGTCTTCTAACAGAGAAAAGCTTGAGCCCAGGAGATTTTTACTGCTGAATGCTACAAACTTACAAAGAAGATCTAACATCAGTTCTCCTCAAACTATTCCGAAAAATTGGAGAGGAGGGATTTTTTCCTAGCTTGTTCCATGAGGCCAGAATTACCTTGATGCCAGAACCAGATAAGGATACAATAAGAAAACACTATAGGCCAGTATTCCTGACGAACTTAGATGCAAAATTCCTCAGCAAAATACCAGCACACCAAATCTAACAAATCAATAAAAAGATCATTCACGATGATCAAGTGGGTTTTATTCCAGGGATGGTAGGATGGTTTATTATATGTAAATCAATAAACATGATACGTCACAAAAAGGTCAAAAATTATATTTTTAATATAATTATATATTTTTGCATCTCAAATGCAAAAAAAGGGTTTCATAAAATTCAACATCCCTTCATAATAAAAAAACTCAATAAATTAGACATAGAAAGAACACATCATAGTAAACGCCATGTATGACAAAGCTGCAGCTAACTACATACTGAGGCAGAACTGAAATCCTTTCTTCTAAGAACTAAAACAAGATAAGGATGCTCACCTTCACCACTCATATTCAATATAGTACTGGAAGTCCTAGCCAGAGTAACCAGGCAAAAGAAATGCATCCACGTTTGAAAAGGGGAATTCAAATTGTCCTTTCTTCAGATAACATGATCTTATATATAGAAGAACCTAAAGACTCTACCTGAAACTCTTAGATCTGATAGATGAACTCAGTAAAGTTTCAAGGTAAAAAATCAGTGTACACAACTCAGCAGTGTGTCTATTCTCTAATAATGAACTAGTTGAAAAAGAAATCAGGAAAGTAATCCCATTTATAACAGCTACAAAAGAAAAAACCTGGGAATAAATTTAACCCAGGAGTAATTTCATTCGATCCAGCAACCCCACTACTATGTTTTTATCCAAATGGAAGGAAATTAATGTCAGAGTTATAGGGCATCCCTGTACTTACTACAGTACTATTCTTGATAGCCAAGATATGGAATTAATCTGTGTCCATCAACTTATGAATACACAAAGAAAATGTAACATATATACATAATAGAATATTACTCTTCCATTAAAATGAAATCTTGGCATTTACGGTAACGTGGATAAAATTACATTTCATTATATTGAGTGAAGTAAGTCAGGCATTGAAAGACACATATTGTATGCTCTCCCTCATGAGGGAGTTTAAAAAGTTGATATCATGGACATAGAGAGTAAAATGATATTTACCAGAGGCTGTGGATAGTGGTGGTGGTGGGATTAAAGGGAGGCGAATGGAAACATATAGTTAGAAGGAATAAGTCCTATTCTTTCATAGCACCGGAGGATGAATATAGTTTATAATTGTTGAATATTTCAAAATAGCTGGAAGATTTGAAATGATCCCAACACAGAGATGTAGTAAATGTTTGAAGTGATGGGTATCCAAAATATCCTGATTTGATTATTACACATTACATGCATATTTCAAAATATCACATGTACCCCATAAATATGTATAGTTATTATGTGTTAATGTTTTCTTAAACTTAGATTTCAGATAAACAATCTAATGAAACACTGTAAAGAACTAGAAAAGCATGGGAAAAAAACTCAACATTAGTGGAAGGAAACAATAAAGGTCAGAGCATAAAAAGTGAAGTTCAGATTTTAAGAAACAATTTAAAAGGTCAACAGAAATGAAAAGTTGGGTTTTTTAAAACATTGGCAAAATTGGCAAGGCACAGTGGCTCACACTTGTAATCCCAGCACTTTGGGAGGCCGAGGTGGGTGGATCAGGAGGTCAGGAGATCGAGACCATCCTGGCCAACATGGTGAAACCCTGTCTCTACTAAAAATAGAAAAATTAGCTGGGCGTGGTGGTGCATGCCTGTAGTCCCAGCTACACGGGAGGCTGAGGCACAAGAATTGCTTGAACCCAGGAGGCAGAGGTTTCAGTGAGCCAAGATCGTTCCACTGCACTCCAGTCTGGGCAATAGAGGTAGACTCCGTCTCAAAAAAACAAAAGGCAAAATTGACAAACTTTTTGCTAGTCTAAGAAAAAAGACCAAAATCAATAAAATCAGAAACAAAAAAAGAGACATAACTACTGATACCGCAGAAATACAAAGAAACACAAAATCATTAGAGACTCTTATGAAGAAGTATTCCCCAACTACTTGGAAAAACGAGAAGTGGAGGTATTTTTAGAAACATACAAACTACCAAGAAGATTCAAGAACCACGAAGTTCATCGGGAACTTTGAAGAAAGAAAAAACTTGAACAGACCAGTAATGAGTAACGAGATCAAAGCACTAATAAAATGGTCTCCCATCAAAGGGAAGCTCATGATCTGACAGTTTCACTGCTCAGTTCTGTCAGACATTTAAAGAAGAACCAGGCCAGATGCGGTGACTCACACCTGCAATCCTAGCACTTGAGGAGGCCAAAGCTAGCAGATCACGAGGTCAGAAGTTCGAGACCAGCCTGGCCAATATGGTGAAACCCTGTCTCTACTAAAAATAGAAAAAGTAGCCAGGTGTGGTGGCCTGTAGTCCCAGCAACTCGGGAAGCTGAGGCAGACGAATCACTTGAACCTAGGAGGTATAGGTTGCAGTCAGCCGAGGTTGTGCCACTGCACTCCAGCCTGGGCAAGAGATCGAGACTCCGTCTCAAAAACAAAAAAAAAAAATTATATATATACATATATTTAGATATATATATTTTTATACTATATATATTTATATAGTTTATATATATTTTATACTATATATATTTATACATTATATATATATTTATACATTATATATATATAGAGAGAGAGAGAGAGCCATGGTAACCAATATAGTATGGTACTGGCATGGAAATAGACACATTGGTCAGTGGAACAGAATAGAGAAACCTAGAAATCCATGCATTTATAGCCAACTTAGTTTTGACAAAGGCTCCAAGAACATACTTTGAGGAATGGGGAGTTTCTTCAATAAATGGTGCTCAGAAAACTGGATATGCTTATGAAGAAGAATCAAACTAGACTCTTAACTTTCACAATTTACAAAAATCACCTCAACTTGGATTAAAGAGTTAAATGTAAGAACTAAAAATATGAAACTACTAGAAGAAAAGATTGGGGAAACACTACAATGGTGGGATGAGTAAAGATTTTGCAGGGGGTCGGCGGGGGAGGGGAAGACCTCTAAATTATGAGCAACAAATGCTAAAATATTTAGATGTGGTGTCCCATCAAGCTAAAACCCTTCTGCCCAGTAAAGGAAATAATCAACAAAGTGAAGATACAAGCTACAGAATGGTAGAAGATATTTTTGAGCTATCCATTTGAAAAGGGATTAATAACCAGAATATATAAGTAACTCAACAGCAAATGGTCAAATAACTCGATTTTAAAATGGGCAAAATTTTTGATTGAATAGGTATTTCTCAAAAGAAGACATAGAAATGGCCAACAGATACATGAATAGATGTTCAGTGTTACAGGGAAATGCAAATCAAAACCACAGGAGATATCATTTTACCCGAGTTAAAATGGTTTTTATCAAAAAGACAATAAACAATGAGTGCTGGCCAGAATGAAAAGAAAGGGAAACTCATACACTCTCTGAAAAAGACAGTATGAAAAAGAGTGTGAATGCTCATTGAAAAACTATAGAACTACCATATGACTCTCCATTCCCACTGCTTGGTATATATTTAAAAGAAACGAAGTCAGTATATTCAAGAAATGTCTGCACTCCCATGTTTATTGTAGTACTATTCACGTTAGCCAAGATATGGAATTCACCTAAATGTTAATTTATAGATGAATGGATATAGAAAATGTGGTACATAAATATAAGTGGAATATTACTCGGCCATAGAAAATGATGAAATTATGTTATTGGTAGCAATGTGGATGGAACACAGAGGTCATTATGTTAAGTGAAGTAAACTGGCACAGAGCGACAAATACCACATGTTCTTTCTCAAACTTGGGGGGGCTTAAAAAGTAGATTTCATGAAGGTAGAGAGTAGATTGGTGGTTACCAGAAGGTAGGAGGAGGAGGGGCACAGGGGATTTAGAAAGGGTTTTGAAAGGTTGATTAATGGGCACTTTTCTCTTTCCCTCGGGGCATTTGGCAGCGGTGGTGGCTTTTGCAGCCGTAGCCAAGATTAAGGCTCAGGATCTTTGAGGCAAGAAGGAAGAGGAGCTGCTAAGACAGCTGGACAACCTGAAGGTAGACCTGTCCCAGATGTATGTCGCCGAAGTGACAGGTGCCCGACATTCCAGTTCTCTTAGATTGTAGTCATTTCCAAATCTGTTGCCTGTGTTCTCACCGTCATTAGCCAAACTCAGAAAACAAACCTCAGGAAGTTCTACAAGGGCAAGAAATACTAGCCCCCAGATCTGTGGCCCAAGAATACTTGTATCATGTGCCACTGGCTGAACAAGCATAGGGAGAACCTGAAGACCAAGAAGCAGCAGCAGCAGGAACAGGCTGTACCAACGACAGAAGTAAGAGGTCTAGGCATGAACATTGCTGAGTCAAAATTCAAACTGGAGGAAAAAAAAAGGTGTTAGGTTAATGGGCACAAAAATACAGTTAGAAGGAACACGATGTATTGTTCAGTACTGCAGTAGAGTGACTATAGTTAACAATAATTTGTATATCTTAAAATAACTGGTGGAGAGCAATTGAAATGTTCCCAACACAAAGAAGGGGTGAATTTTTGGGGAGATGGATGTCTCTTTTGCCCTGTTCTGATCATTATACGATATATACATATATCAAGATATCACATGTACTCTAAAAATATATGTAGCTATTATGTTTCAGTTTTTAAAAACTCTGTTTATATGTAGCATAATAAAATATTTTGTGTCTTTAAAACAAAATTAAAGGAATAACTAAAGGAATCTGTATGGGAGAACTGATCTTGTGTGTAGAGGATCTTCAGGACTATACAAAAGAAAAAACCTATTAGGACTAAAGACGTTCAGCAAGGCTGCAAAATACAAGTTGAGCATTTGCAAAACAATTGCATTGCTATATACTAGCAATGAACATTAAAAGTGAAATAATTTTACAGTAGCATCAAAAAATCAAGATATTAGAGAATAAATTTAACAAAATAAGTTCAAGTGAAACTACAAAATACTGAAGAAAGGAACTGTAAAAGTGGAAAGATCTTTTATAGTCATGTATTGGAACTTTATTGTTAAGACTGAAGTACTCTCCAAACTGATCTTCAGATTCCACAGAATCACTGTGAAAATCCAAGTTCACTTTGTATATGTATGTAAAGAAATGGACAGACAAATCCTGAAATTTATGTGGAAATGGAAAGGGCCCAGAATAGTCAAAATATAGAAAAAGAGGCAAAAAATTGGAGGACTCCTGATTTCTCCATTTCAAAACTTATCAAACCATGCTGCAGAATAATAAGATGCAAATAAAAGGGAAAATATTTCATGTTCATGGACTGGAAGACTTAATTTTTTTATATATTATACTATACAAAGTAATCTACAGATTCAACACGATTACTATCAAAATCTCAATAACATTTATCCCAGAGATGGAAAATGTTCTAAAAATCATATGAGAGTTCAAGGTACCCCAAATAATCATAACAGTTTTGAAAAAGAACAGAGTTAGAGTACTCGTATGTTATTTTAAACATATTACAAAGCTACAGTAGTCAAAATAGTGTGGAACTGGCATAAGGACAGGCTAATGGAATAGAATAGAGTGCACAAATCCTCAAATCTTCAACAAGAGTGCTAAGACCACTCATTGGGGAAATGTCAGACTTTTTAAAAAATGGTAGTGTGAATACAGTATCTTCATGCAAAAAAAAGAGAAGTAGGACCCTTATATCACACAGTGTATAAAAATTATCTCAATGTTTTAAAGACCTAAATGTAATCCTGAAACTATAAAATCCTGAGAAAAAACATAGGGGAAAAACATCACGTTATTGTATGTGCCGGCAATTTCTTCACTGTGACACCAAAAGCACAGGCAACAAAAACAAAAATGGGACTACATCAAACTGAAACGTTTGTGCCTTAAAAACAAAGGGGTGTGTAAAGGCAACCTACAGAATAGAATAAAATATTTACAAATCATATACCTATAAGGAGTTAATATCGGACTGTGTAAAGAACTCCTATATTTCCACATCTAAAAATCAAATATCCTGATTTTAAAAGGGGAAAAATACTTTAATAGATATTTATCCAAAGATGGTCTAGAAATGTTCACAAGGGCCGGGCGCAGTGGCTCATGCCTGTAATCCCAGCACTTTGGAAGGCCAAGGTGGGCAGATCACCTGAGGTCAAGGGTTCGAGACCAGCCTGTGCAACATGGTAAAACCCCATCTCTACTAAAAATACAAAAAATTAGCCGGGCATGATGGTGGGCACCTGTAATCCCAGCTACTTGGGAGGCCGAGTCAGGAGAAACACTTGAACTTGGGAGGCGGAGGTCACAGTGACCAGAGATTGTGCCACTGCACTCCAGCCTGGGCCACGAGAGCAAAACTCCATTTCAAAAAAAGAATAAAAGAAGTGTTCACAAGCATATGAAAACATACTCAACATTCTCTAATCTAGAAATGCAAATAAAAACTACAGTTGGGTATCACCTGATACCCACTACGATCATTGCTATCAAAAAAAATAGAAACTATTTTTGGCAAGGATGTAGACAAATTGGAAACGTACTGTTGTAGGAATTGTAAAATGGTGCAATCACTGTGGAAAATAGCTTGGAGGGTCCACAAAAAAATGAGAAATATAACTATCATGTGATACACCAATCTCATTTCTGCACGTATATATATAAAAAGTTTAAAGCTGGATTTTGAAGAGATACTTGCCCACCCATGTTCGTAGCCACACTTTTCACATTAACCAAGAAGTAGAAGCAGACCAAATGTTCATCCACAGATTTATGTATAAATAAAATGTTGTCTCTACATAAAATGGAAAATCGTTCAGCCTTAAAAAGGAAAGAAATCCTGTCACATGCTACAACATGGATGAACCTTGAGGACATTATGCTAAGTGAAATAAGCCAGTCACAAAAAGAAAAAATATGATTCCATTTGTTTGAGGTAAGTAAAGTTGTTAAATTCATATAAACAGAAAGTAGAACGTTGGTTACAAGTGGCTGGCATGAAGGGGAAAAGAGGAGCTCTTTAATGGGTATAGAGTTTGAGATTAGTGAGGTGAAAAAGTTTTGGAATTCTGTTCCACAACAGTGTGAATATACTAATGTGAAACAGTACTGAACTGAATGCTTAAAACTGTTAACATGGTAAACTCAGTGCAAAGCTTCAGTAATCAAGAGTTATGCTGATATAAAGCTCAACAGCTAGATCATTGCAGTATAATCAAGTGTCTAAAAATAATCCCATACATTTATGGTCTGTTGATTTCAAAAAGAGTTTCAAAACAATTTGGTGGGGGAAAAGTAGTCTTTCCAGTAAATGATGTCGTAACAACTGAATATCCACATGTAAAAGAATGAAGTTGAATCTCTGCTTTCTATCGTACAAAAATGAACTCAAAATGGGTCAAATATCTAAATATAAGAGCTAATGCTACAAAATTTTTTGGAGTAAATCTTTGTGATGTTGGATTAGGCAATGATTTCTTAGATATAAAATACACAAGTAAGAAAATAAAACACAGGTAAACTGGATTTCACCTAATTAAAACCTTTTGTGCTTCAAAGTGATAGGGACAAGAGGCAGGGAAATTCTGGGCAGAAGAGGATGGGTCCCCAGTGAGGGCTGCACCCTCAAGCTGAAAAGCCTGATGCGGTGGCCCAAAGTGAGAACTTACATCCCTGATTTCCTGTTCAAATGTTGCCTTTTCCAAAACCACCCATGGCCTGCTCTGCCCCCCATTCCTGTGCCCATAAAAGCCCCAGCCTCAGCCAGCAGAGAGAGGAGAAGCAGCTGGACATTGGAGACTACAGCTGGATGTCAGAGAGAAGTGGCTTGACTTCAGAGGGACAGTCTGACAGCATAACTTCTGAGAAGAATCTGGCCAGAGACAGCCAAACTTCAGTGGCATTTACCTTCCCACTCTGTCCCCTTTTCAGCTCCCCTTCCTGCTGAGAGCCACTTCCATCGGCAATAAAATTTCCTGCATTTACCATCCTCCAATTTGTTTGTGCAACCTCTTTTCTCCTGGATGCTGGTAAAGAGCTCAGGTGCCCCAAGTGTGGTTGCAAAAGGCTGTCACACTGACCCTTTGCCCTTGCTGGCAGAAGGCAGCCATCTCACCCAAAAAGGCAGAGGATCCACTGAGCTGTTAACACTTAAGCCATATGCAGACAGCCAAGCTAAAAGAGCACCCAAACACTTCCTCTGGGACTTCAGGGGTCACTGGCACCCCTCCCCAGATGTTGCTGCGGGACCAGTACAGAGTTCACTCCTGCTGGTGCCCGAAGGCATTTGCCCGAGCTGCCGTACCCACTCACCTGTTTGCTCCCTCCAGCAAGGGGTGGAACACAGCAGATTTGAGTGAGTGGAGTTGGCTGACTCCAGTGCTCATATACTCCCATATCTGCCCATGAAGGGGTCAGGGAAATATCCTGCTTCAAAAGGACATCATCAAGAAAGTGAAAGGAAAAAAATGAAAAGACCCACAGAATGGGAAAAGATATTTTTAAAGTACATATGTGATAAGAAAATTATATCTAGAATGTGTAAAGAAGTCTTACAACTGAATAATAAAAATATAAATATTCCAATAAGAAGGGAAAATAGGATTTTAACAGGCCTTTCTCTAAAGAAGACATGCAAATGGATAATTAGCACATGAAAAAAAGCTGAGGGTCATTAGTCATTAGGGAAATGCAAATCAAAACCATAGCATACCCGTTCATACCCATAACAATACCTAAAGTAAAAGGGACAGATGTTAGTGTCTGTGAGGTTGGAGGGAAACTGGAACCCTCATTCGCTGCTTGTGGGAATGTGAAATGGTGCAGCCACTTTGAAAATGAGTCTGGCAGTTCCTTAAATGAATAAACAAGATTACCATAGGACTCAATAATCCCACTCCTAAATATATGCCCAGGAGGAATGAAAACATGTTTACACAGAAACTTATACATGAATATTTATAGCAGCATTATTTATAATAGCCAAAAAAAGAAAATAGTCTAAACATTCATCAATTTATAAATGAAGAAACACAATTGGTATATCCATACAATGGAATGTTGTTTAGAAATAAAAGGACATTAAATACTGATTTATGCAACAACATGGATGAACTTGGAAAACATGTTAAGTAAAAGAAGCTAGTCATAAAAGGCTACATTTTATATGATTCCATTTATTTCACATGTCCTGAATAGGCAAATCTGTATAAAGAAAATGCAGATTTGTGCTTGCCAGGTGGTCCCTAGTGAGGGTGGTGGAAGAGATTTGGAGAATAACTGCTGGTGGGTATGGAGTTTCTTTAGGGAGTAAATGTTCTGAATGTAGATAGTGGTGGTGATTGCACACCTTTATTAAAAATCACTGAATTATATGGTTCGAAAGAATATACTGTGAATTGTATTTTAATAAAGATGATACTTTTTTAAAGTTATAGTAGTTGATGCTATCATCATGTAACAAAATTAACACACTTTTTTAAGAGAAAAATTTTCGTTTTTATACTCATATTTTAGTGTACTTTTACAAAGAAGTTTATTAATAACAATTTATTTAAAGCAGATAATGTTACAAGCAGTTGAATTTTGCAGATCACATATCAAAAAATAGTTTTGGTGATTAACTGATGACTAAATTAGACCTTCCTTTATTTTCATTTAAAGCAAAGAATTAAACACCACCTGACTTGGAAAAAGATTTGTTACCTAGTCATTATTTATTCATCTCCCCAGAACATATCTAAAAAGGTATTGCCAAGGTATATCATAATGACTGTTCATTGTATGTGTTATTTTTTTACCTTGAGACACCTTGTTTGACCTGATACAGTTGGAAAGGATTGGGAAAACTGAGTTATTGTCGTCTTCAGTATACTGTTGCAAAACAATATTTTTCATTAAAGTTCCTTTCTGTGCTTTAAACTAATTATCAACAAAATTTTTAAACTGCAGATTTAATTTATTTAACTTATGAGAAATATCTACTAAATAAGTTAGCTGACAAAGCCACTTCTGTCAAACCATTTTTTTCAGTGTTTCATACAAACTATGCATTCTTTGCTGATGAAAGAGGCAAGGTTTTTAACAACAACAACAAAAATGTCAGCACTGTCATTGTAACTATTTAGACAGCTTGAATGGGACGAATTGTTTTATTTTGTGAAACAGGAGAAGGGTGGCTGGGAAAGGGGAGGTGGGAAGTGATGACTCCTATGGCACACAGGTGTATGTTCTCAGGCAAATCTGTCTTTGAATTTGAGGTTGTGTATACATATTCCCTTAAAATGATGCCTGTGCGTCTTCTTGAAAGTCTTCCTCTGTTACCCGAGCTGGAATGCAGTGGCACAATTATGGCTCACTGTAACCTCAACATCCTGGGCTCAAGCGATCTTGCCCCTCAGCCTCCAGAGTAGCTGGGACTGCAAAGCACGTGCCTTCATACCCAGCTAATTTTCATATTGTTTCTAGAGAGGGATGTTACCCAGGCTAGTCTTGATCTCCCAGGCTCAAGTGATCCTCCTTCCTGGGCCTCCCAGGCAGTGTGGGATTATAGGCATGAGCCACCATGCCTGGCCTCCTTTATATTTATTTTTAATTATTTATTTATTTTTTGAACTGGACTCTCTCTCTGTCGCTCAGGCTGGAGTGCAGTGGCACAATCTTGGCTTACTGTAACCTCCACCTCCCGGGTTCAAGTGATTCTTCTGCCTCAGCCCCCTGAGTAGCTGGGATTACAGGCGCCCGCCATGACATCCGGCTATTTTTTTTTTTTTTTTTTTTTGTATTTTCAGTAGAGACAGGATTCTATTATGTTGGCCAGGCTGGTCTCAATCTCCTGACCTCAAGTGATCCGCCTGTCTCGGCCTCCCAAAGTGCTGGGATTATAGGTGTGAGCCACCGCGCCCGGCCTCTGCTACTTTTTAAAAGTCTATCTCCAGAAGTCTGCTTTCTCATTTTGAATACCGTAGGTATTCAAATGAATTCACTTTCAAATGAATTCACTAGGTGCTGTTCTACCCTTCTGTTAGCCTTTTACGAAAGAATAGCGTGACCTTGAAAAGCATACATTTATGCATAGTAGTAGTGTATGCAGGTATATTTATTTATTTGGTTGGTTGGTTTTTTTATTTTTTATTTATTTATCTGTTTTGAGACGGAGTCTTGCTCTTGTTTCCCAGGCTGGAGTGCAGTGGCACGATCTCTGCTCACTGCATCCTCCACCTCCCGGGTTCAAGCAGTTATTCTGCCTCAGCCTCCCAAGTAGCTGGAGTTACAGGCGGCCGCCACTGCACCCGGCTAATTTATGTATTTTTCAGTAGAGACGGGGTTTCACCATGTTGAGCAGGCTGGTCTAGAACTCCTGACCTCGTTATCTACCTGCCTCGGCCTCCGAAAGTGCTGGGATTACAGGCTTGAGCCACCGTGCCCGGTCACAGGTATATTACGATGTTGGTACACTTTGTATTCACTTGGACTACATTTTGCTAGAGATGATACCTGTGACACTTCTCTGTGCTCTGCGTTCCTCTCCTGCACTCGTAACAGATGTATCTTGCTGTCTATACGGAACCTAAAAATCCTCCACAGCTAGCAGCTTCTACTAGTTGTTTGGAACTAGAATAAGAGGTGATTCTCTGTGATAACAATTTTGTTAGTTTTCTTAGTTTGTTTATATCTTTGCTCTTTTTGTAGTTTGGATTTTCTAATTACTTTATTAATGCAATTTCCTTTTGTTAAACTTTATTGTCCTTAAACCAGCTTGGAGACGTGCTGGGAGATAATTTTCCATGGGTCTCACACTTTCCTGTACGTTTTGCGAACAGAGGCTGTGACTGCCTTTGTTCTTTTCTGTCTTTTCAAGATTATTTCTATATACAGTGAGTAGCTTTGGAAGATGCTGTAGTGACTTCACAGCAGCGGTCAGGTTTGCATATCTCCCTGGAAGGTAGAGCTGGTATCTCCCGCTAGTGCAAAGGGATAGGCGTATTTCCCATGATTAAAGATTCCAGCTCCTGAAGGTTAGGGTTTCTCTCCTATAATGCAACACACTGCATGTGCAGGTGGCCTGTGGCCCTATTCAGGTTGCTCTGTGACATTTGGGACTTGGGGAACTAGAGCCCAGTGGTCACAAGATAATGTTGATATTCTGGCTGCCCCTGTTAGTGTAAGTAATAAATACCTTGTCTCTCACCCAGGAGACTTCTTTCCTCTGCCAGCATTTTATTAGCTTGTGACAGGCTAACTTGTTAGTTTGAAAGTAGTGTAAATCTCAGATCCTTCACAGGTCTTGATAGTATGTAGGTAACACAAATAAATGCATAAACAGCTGAGTTCAGCTCAGAAATGTCCGTTTTTACCCATGTTTTTCATTAAAAACTGTATTATATATTGTATAAATGTAGCGTCGGTTTTTCAAGTTTTTTTCTACATTATAATAAGTTTTTGGTATAAGTTTGCTATTTATATTTAATGAGAATTTTAAAAGCATAATAAACCATGTTTTTAGTGCAGTAAAATTGTATGTATGTGTATATAAACCTGTGGTTGCTTTGTTTTTGTTTTTTGAGATACAGTTGCACTCTGTCACCCAGGCTGGAGTGTAGTAGTGCAGTCTCGACTCACTGCAACCTCTGCCTCCTGGGTTCAAGTGATTCTCATGCCTCAACCTCCCGAGTAGCTAGGACTACAGGCGCCTGCCACCACGCCTGGCTAAATTTTGTATTTTTAGTAGAGACAGCATTTTGCCATGTTGGCCAGGCTGGTCTCAAACTCTTGACCTCAAGTAATCCACGCACCTCAGCCTCCCAAAGTGCTGGGATTACAGACATGAGTCAGGAGCCACTGTGCCCAGCCCTGTATTTGTAAATAGATGTCTAGTTATGTTATTTGTTTGTTTGTTTGTCTGTTTTTTGTTTTTGGTTTTTTTTTTTGAGATGGAGTCTCGCTCTGTCACCCACGCTGGAGTGCAGTGGCACCATCTCCGCTCGCTGCAACCTCTGCCTCCCGGGTTCAAGCGATTCTCCTGCCTCAGCCTCCCGAGTAGCTGAGACTACAGGTGCATGCCACCATGCCAAACTAATTCTTTGTATTTTTAGTAGAGACGGGGTTTTTACTAAACATGTTAGTAGTGGACGGGCTTTCTGCTAAACATAGCCCGGTTAGCCAGGATGGTCTCTATCTCCTGACCTCGTGATCCACCCACCTCGGCCTCCCAAAGTGTGGAAGTTACAGGCGTGAGCCACCGCACCTGGCCTAGTTATGTTTTTAGAAACAAATTATTGGTCTGCCTCATCATATATTTATGAATCAGTCTTAATTCCATGAATGTCATAGTGATGTACTGTTTGCCTCTGTTTCAGAATATTGGAAAGAAGATGACCTGTCAGGAGTTCATTGCAAATCTGCAAGGGGTAAATGAGGGTGTTGATTTCTCCAAGGATCTGCTGAAAGTAAGCATGGAACTATTGGTTTTTAGTGTATGCTTGTATTTCTGTTTGCTGCTTACAGCTTAATCCTAAGTAGGCTAAGGATCACTTAAGTATTTTGCTTTTTGCTTTTGGTTTTATTGGTGATGTTTCTTTTAAGCCTTGTCCTTGATTTTTCGTGCTGCAAAGTACCTTAAGTTGATAATTTCTAGAAGTCTGCATTATAATCAATAATACTGAGGTAAGTAAATTTGGAATGGTTGGTGATACAAATAGTGAGTGGCAGTTTTTGTTCGATTTATTTGTAAATAGACTATCAGAATTTAAGAAAGATCCCAAAGGTATATGCACTACGGAAACAGAGTAGCATTTGCAGGCTATAATGGAAACAGTTCCAACTGTGTTCAATCCCTAGTCTCAGAGCCACTCATGTTGTCTCTGGAAATAGATTAAATTAAATTCTCAGTAATTGTAGAATGCCTGAATTATTTGCATTTGGCTTTATTATTGGTAACATCAGCATGATGTTTTTCCCCCTCATCAGATTGTTTTCAAGGAGACAACAAAATCAACTTTGGAATTCATGCATTCTCCAGCATTGTAAATGAGATGGGCATTTGATTGAGTACAAAATAATGATAATATGAGTATTTGGGGGGTTGTAGGGTAAGATTGTATACATTGAGAATGTGGTTTTTACAGTTGTCTTTTTGATTCTAGCCTTTTAAAAAACAGTACACGTATAGGTTTCTTTTGGAATCAATTTCTTTAAATGAATTTTCAAGAAAGGTGACATTTGAATCAGCTATGGTATGGAAATGTATGATATGATATGGAAATGTTGAAAGAGAAGTCCTTTGTTGTGTTTTATGTAACCTTTAAGCTACATAGAATAGAGTTCTGCCAGATTTGGAAAGACTTATCTACTATGGTAAATGAAAGAAGGCATTACGATGTGGTATTACGACATTCTTAGTCTTACTAACTTTATTTGCAGCACATTACAAGAAATTATGAAAAAAAAATCAGGAAGAAAAGTAGCTTTAATTTATGGAGTAAAGAAGGCATTTTCTTTAGGTCCTTTGTACAGCAAGTGCTGCCATTTCTAAAGGTATAAATCCAAATGGGAGCGGGAGATAAATGGTGCAGGATTGTGACGTGATAAAGATGTTTTACATCTTCCATTGAATCCGTATGGTGTTAACAAGACTTTTTTCAGTCTAGTGATATTTGCATGGAAAATTATGGAGTCTCTCTAAGAGAGGATTTGTGAGGCTTTTATCAACTTATGTCAGAAATGAAAGTTGACAGGAAAATTTTCATAGTGAAGCTTTTAGAATTTAGTGGTAGGCTTATGGTAACCTGCATGACGGTTGGCAAATTATTGGCTAATTTAGAGCATGTTTGGCGGAGCTGTATGAAACCGTGTATGGTTAATATACAGTCCAGAGGCTACTGTTCACCTTGAGTAAACGTGTTCTTTGACTTCCTCTACCAAGAATTTGCCAGATGATTTGTTGCTGTTGTGCAATGAGATTATGTTTATAAACCTCATGGGAAAGTATGTATTATTTGTTTTTTTGTTGTGAGAAGATGATAGTGAAATGATACCGAAAATGGTGGTGGTTAGCATGGTAATTGTCAAGTGAAGTATTGATTCTCTTCCATAACAAACCCCAGCCGCTCACCCACCCAAGATAGTTTTCCATTTCAGTAGGAATGGGTTTTACTGAAAATTTCAGTAAGAAAAGGTTTTCTTTAAACCACGTTGGTTTCATTCCTCTATTCTGTGTGCTGTTCGGTTTTCCTTCCCTTTCCTCCCTTTCTTCCTGCCTTCCTTTTCTCCTGGTTTCTTTTTATTTCTGTCTTTTACTTTCTCTTTGGCTTTCTATTTTTCTTTTGGTGTCTTTTTTTCTCATTCTCTTTCTCTTAGAATAGCTGTCGCTGGATTCCCTGCTGAGATAAATTATTGGGTGGAGTATATACTTGAATTCTGGGGGAAAATATTGTTACATATGTGCTACACAGATACATACATACATAGAAACTTTTCAAAATTTGGTGTCATCTTACAGGTTTTTAATATCATGGTCATTCTCTCTTTCTTTGCCACCTTTCCAATCTCCATGTTACAGGCATGTGTGACATTAAGTTTTTTTTGTGTGAAATAAAAGGAAAAATTATGACCTTTATTAGGTTTCCTCATAATCATATATAGAAACTGCTAGATTCAATATTAAAAAAGCTTAAAGTTACATAAACTGAGGCTTTTATTGTTACGTATTGACCTTGATACTTTTAGATTAATTTGGTTCAAAAGTAACATTTGGATTTATGTCTGTTCAGATTTCTTTGGCCCAGAAGTAACATTTGTACTTGAATGTCTGTTGTTCCATGTCATTTTGTAGCTGGAAACATTTATTAAAGGTCTGCTGTGTGTTTACTAGGTGTTGTGGGATTGGAGAAGATGCTGAAACCAAATGGGCACCTGTCCTCAGAGATCACAGACTACTGAGAAATATTGGAGGTGTCTTTCTCCATAAAATAAACAGTTATTCCATGTTGAAATAAAAGTATAAGCCAAATTCTGTTTTTTTGTTGTTGTAGTTGTTTTCTGAAGAGAAAGGGTTAAGAAAAAATAGACCTTGACATATTTAAATGTGTGAGAAATGAGAAGCTTGTGTACAGTCCTTCAATTCAGTTGATTTAATTAATATTTTGCTTCTGAATTTGCCTTATACTGTATTGAAGGGATAGATGATACATTGAGCCCTTTTTTTAGTTTAAAATTCCATTGCAGCTTTCGTTGTTTACTCAAATAACCTAAACCGATATTTGACATTTTTTCCCCTACAGGGTGTTTACAGTGTAAGATATGGATATGTGTAATAAAAGTGAAATAAGTTGGATATCAGAAGACAACCAGTGATAGCATATTACTTAGGTTCTTCAAAGCAGAAGGCTGGGAGGAGGTGATGTTTGAGATGGTGTATTAGTCCATTCTCCCACTGCTGCAAACAAATACCTGATACTGAGTAATTCATAAAGAACAGAGGTTTATTTTGATCATGGTTCTGCGGGCTGTACAGAAAGCCTGATGCTGGCATCTGCTTGGCTTCTAGGGAGGCCTCAGGAAACCTAAAATCGTGGCAGAAGGGGAGGCAGGCACATCTTAAGTGGCCGGAGCAGGAGGAAGAGAGGAAGGAAGGAGATGCTGCACACTGTTAAATAACCATAGCTCAGGAGAGCTCACTCGTCATCATGAGAACAGCACCAAGGGGACAGTGCTAACCCATTCATGAGAGCTCCGCCCTCCTGATCCAATCACCTCCCAACAGACCCCACATCCAGTACTACGGATTATTATTCAACATGAGTTTTGGTGGGGACACAAACCATGTCAGATGGCCTTTTGAAGTATAGGTAAAAGACTTGTTATCTTGGTTATTATTCCATTGCATTTCCTGCCCCTTCTTTCACCCAAAGACATTCTCATATTTACCCCTCTCAACTACATGACCAAATCAAGACAGTCATTCATATAACAAAATAGGCCAGATCATCTGGTATGATTCACATAGTACAGATAAACACAGAAAAATTTGCTACTGTCTTACAAGTTTCTGATTAACCCTGTGATCATGTTTCTACTGGCTCCACCCATCCCAGCGGTTGGATGTGGTTTGTATTCAAGCATCCTTGGGGACAATGGAAGAGAAAGGGGAGGTTCTGCTTTGGGTCTGATAGATTTTGTAAAACATTCGTAAGGCTCTAATAAGTATTACAGGTACTAACGACGTGAATAAAGAGGGATAAGAATGTAGAATGCAGGCTAGCTCTGTATTGTAGGCTGTGTTTTGAGAGACAGTACGGTATGAGGATTGAGATTATGATTTGAGAACTGTACTGACTGGGTTCTAATACCAGGTTCTGTCTCTTAATAGTCAGGGGACTACGTCAAGTAAATAGTGTATTTCAATATCCTCATCTATAAAATGGGAGATTTTAGAGTCCTCACATATAGTAAGTATTGTCTGTTAGCTATTAAAACTTTTTATTTTTGATATTATTTTACTTAGCCTAAAGTGGGCTGGAAGGACCCTATCCCTTCCTGCAGGTATCTGGTTTTAAGACTTTTTAGAGGCGAGTGAGATTAGCGGCAGTAGTCAAAACCTCTACCCACCATCCCTTTTTAGCTTGCTGCTTTCCAAAGATACATAGCCTCTGCTCTTTGAAAGGAAGCACCTGTGACGTTGACTGAAAATGAATCTTGCTTAACCCTTACCTTTTTACCTTGTTAACAGCCTCTTTCTCCTGGGCCTATCCTTCTTCCCACATTTTTAAACCTGACGTTTGATTTGCGTTTTTAGTGACTTCCCTCTTTGATGCTACAAGAGGGGAAGTACTAGGGTGCATTGGCTCTTGAACTGGTCCTGGAATCTTGAAGAACCTTTGAGGAAGCAAACTAGTTCATATTCTGCTAAGATCCCAAGATTATCCTGGAATATTGATGGAGATGTGAATTACTTGAAGTGATTAAAACATCCCTGGGGGAGACAAGGGTTGCTAGAGATGTGCCTTCCTAATGGAGAGGCGTTGGTCTGAAGGATCAGGTCCAGGAATTGTTGGGATTCTGCTTTGTCTCGGGGCAATTTTTATGGACTCTTGACTGTGTCAGCCTGGGGACTTCTTTCACCCAGTCTTATCAGCGGCTGATACCAACTAGTGAAGTGTTAGCTTTTGATTATGTGCATATTTCTGAAACTCTTCACTCTGTAGAATAACCTTTGAAAATTCATAACAGCCCAGATACGGAATCATCCTAAATGTTCATCAGCAGACGAATGGATAAAATGTGGTAGATATGCACAGTGGAATATTATTTGGCCTTAAAAAGGAGGAATTCTGTCATTTGTGACATCGATAAATCTGGAGGACGTTTCACTAAATGAAATAAGCCAGGCACAGAAAGACAAATACCGCATGATCTCACTTACAGTGGAATCTAAAAAAGTTGATCTCACAGATTCATGGAGTTAAATGGTGGTTACCAGGGGTCTGGGGATGGTGGGGATTTAAACAAAGGGTACAATTTCCTTTCGACTATATAAATAAATCATAGAGCTTTGTTGTATAGCATGGTGACTATAGTTAATAACATCATATTGTTTGTTTGAAAAATACTAGGAGAATAGATTTTGAATGTTCTCATCACAAAACAGTATGTGAGGTGAGAAATAGGTTAATTAGCTTTATTTAATCATTGTACAGTATGTATGTGTACTCAAAATACTGCATTGTGCACCACAAATATATACTTTTCATTTGTCAATTAAAACATTTAAAAATAAGAATTTTCTTGAAAGTTCCTCTATCTTAATGTTCAAAATGCAGTGTCTTGATCCTCTGCATTTCTGTTCCCTGAATTTTATTTCTACTGAGTTTCTTAGGAAACCCTTGTTCTTGTTTGTAACAGAAAAGCTGCGTTTCTATCTTCTATCGAATCTGCTCTGCATTTCTAACTCTGGTGGTTGATAATTGTCCATTTCTCATTATATACAGAAAAGACACAGGGCCTTTCAGTGATGGTCACCAGGTATTTATATATTTAGAGATGAATTGTCCATTTGAAAATGTATTTACATGAAAGAAGGGAAGAAACTGAGAAATAAATGACAAGAAGATCCTGGCAAATGGTCTAGGAACATAAAGGGTGGAAGGTCAGTTATTGGCCGTCCCATAATTTCATTCTGAAGAGACATCTAGACTGTAGATTTTGATATGACATGAACCCAATTGTTTTCTATCCCACTTTCCCATTGCCATCTACCATTTAATACTCTGATACTGCTCTCCTTAGTATTTTTATTCCAGTCATTGTTAGATCTTTATTTCTTTTTTGAGCAGCAGTTAAATTCAGTAAGTACCAAGGGAGAGTAGAAAGAAATTAGCTGAAACAGTCTCTCCTTTAAAAATTTTTATACCAACTTATTGATGGAAAGAACAGAAACAACAAAACAAAATGTTCCAAATATTTGTGATAAAACTGAACACAATTTGCAGAATGTTTAAAAACATACCTTGAATGTATTTAAATACACAAGTAGGTCTAAGAATAATTCTAGTTAGAAGACAGTGTCACTGGAAATCATTTAAAAACGTAGGGAAATAAATCTTACAGATACCAATCAATATGACAGTCTTTTAGGTTATTGCTTGCTATTAGATGTTTGACATTAGAATATTCTTTAAATTTTTAAGTTTTTTTATAGAAATTGCTTTACTTGGGAATTTATGAACTTTGAAATTAGCACGTCTTCCCTTAAGGGAAGAGCAAAAGTTTTAATGTGGAAGAAAGAGAGAGAGAGAGAGAGAGAGAGTGTGTGTGTGTGTGAAGAATGGGTTAAATTGAAAGGATGTAAATCAGTATGCTTGGCCTAGCAGGATTTATAAGCTTCACTCCATGAATGGAGTGATAAAAAAACAGTGAATTAAATTGTTACATAGTCTGTTGGTTAGAATTTTAATGAAAGTTGTCATTCAAATACATTTGTTTTCCCTTGCTTTCTCAAAGGACAGAGTTTAGGCAAGATTCTCTTAGGAGACAGTTCCAAGAATATGTAGGATACCTCCATCCCGTTTTTAACCTATCTTGTCAGCTGAAAGGATTATATATGTTGTTTTAAACATAATTTTCTCATTTGGTTTTCTTAAGGAAAAATAATTTGTGAAAATGATGGAGTAATTAGCCAAGAAGGTAGAATTTAAACAGACTCAAAAGATCAGCAAAGATAAAACACATTTTAAATAAAGATTAATGCATCTTTTTGGATAAGGAAGAAACATAATTAGAAAATATAAAGTGAGGCTCTCAGATTTGTAACCATTAGGCTTTTTAATCAGTTACAGCTGTATATAAGGGTAAAGAACAACAGATGAATCAGCCATTAAAAATCTAGAGATAAGCCATTTTTGTAAGTTCAAACCCCAAAAAGGATCTGTTCACACGGAGTGACAGCAAAAGCTGTAATGATTCTTCTTAAAAAAAAAAAAAAAAAGAGTAAAACTGACCCATCTCTCTTTCTGAGTTCCATCTACCCCTTTCAGCCAGGGAGAAGATTGGAAATTTAACACTGACAATTGCCCTACTTTTCAATATTTTCTACCAGAAGGCTTAACCTAAGCAACATGAAGTCTTTTTTCCCTATTTGATCTTCCCACTCTCATTGTTGCTCTCTCCTCTCTCATCTTTACTTCCTGATTATCGCTGAGTACAAGTATAGCTGGAGACATCAGAATAAGACTAGGTTTTATTAATGTCAACATTCTGGTTTGTGCTATCATACTATAGTTTTGCAGATGTTACCATTGGAGGATACTGGGTAAATGGCACAAGGACTCTGTTCTTTTCTTACAACTGCCTGTGAATTTGTAATTCTGTCAGTAAAACAATGACAAAAATAATGGACAAGTCCACTCTAAAAAAAAAAATGGGGCAGTTTGTCTATTCAGCCAGAGGTTTTAGGCATCATATAAAAATAGGCTTAATGAAATTTTACTACTCTTGGTCATTCTTTTAAAGTACTGAGTACAGTGTAATGACCAACAGTTCAGAAATAACTATATAACAGTATTAAAAACACTGACGTTTTAAGAAAAAGACAATGGGAATTGTTTTGAAGAATTGAAAACTGGAAAGTAACATGATCCTATGTTTATTGTCATGTTTTACTCTGGATATTTGAAGAATTGTTTAGGAAAGTGGAAGTGGAAAGATGGTAAAATCGCAATTGTCTATGTGAGAAGGATGGTGGCTCGGATGCTGGTGGTGACAGTATTGAAGGAAATATATTAAGTATTGAATTATTTAGAGCTTCCTATTAGAGATTCTGCTGGTAGACTGGTTTCCTCATTGCCCCTTTGTCCCTTACCTGAACGAAGTAGAAAAGAAACAAAGAGTAGAATCTGAATTTTCTCTACGCAGTTAATGTTTGTTTGTTTGTTTGTTTGCAACGGAGTCTTGCCTTGTTGCCCAGGCTGGAATGCAGTGGCATGATCTCTGCTCACTGCAACCTCCGCCTCCTGGGTTCAAGTGATTCTCCTGACACAGCCTCCCGAGTAGCTGGGATTACAGGCATCCACCACCACGCCCAGCTAATTTTTTTTTTTTTTTTGTATTTTTGGTAGAGACAGGGTTTTACCATGTTGGCAAGGCTGGTCTTGAACTCCTGACCTCAAATGATCCACCCACCTCGGCCTCCCAAAGTGCTGGGATTCCAGGCGTGAGCCACCGCGTCCAGATCCCAGTTAATGTTTATTTGGCCTGTTAGGCTGAATGTCATGGAAGGCTGTGTGGCAGAGTAAAATGAGTAGTTACAGATCTGGAAAGTAATCCCAATATCTTACCTTGGCCAAGCAACTTAATCCTTTTCAGTTTTCTCAGGTACGGCATGGGATAAAAACACCTTCCTCTAAGAGCGGTTAGGAGAATTAAATATGATGAGGTGTGTTAAGTGGCTAGCAGTGTGCCCGTGTGGAATGCACTAGTTGTTCTGACTGGGTTATGGAAGTCGCTGGGCTCTAAGCCTGTCTTAGTGTTGCTAGTGACTAGTGGTGGCGCCTCCGGGTGATCATTTCACTTTGTGCCTGAGTTTCCTCATTTGTAAAATAAGATATTTGGCCTGTGCCTATGGTTTTCAGGTTTTCGGTTTAGGCTTCTGGAGCCTGTGTCCAGTGTTCACTCCTCCCTGTCACCGCTCCCCTTCTGCTCCAGAAGTTGTTCTCTTTTTCTGTCATGTTCTAACTTCCTCTGGTGATGTCTTTTGAGCAAAATATTATGTGGCAAAAAAGAAATTGGAACAACTTCACAGGGTGATCTTGTAAGGATCGTTTCAGTCTAAGTGCTGGGCATTTTCTTAACGTCATTTTGAATCCAAATCGCATTTCTAAAGTGTTAACTCTCTTAGCTCTCACCTTGTATTTACTGGTTTAGACAAAGAAGTGTATACTTAATAATGAAACCAGAGAATGTTCAGATTTAAATCCAAGAAAATTGCTTTTGTCATTGCAGCATTTTCAAAAGATTATTCCCAAAGGACTACACAAGAGGAAGAAGCAGACCTCAGTCAGAAAAAGGTCTGAACTTTTTATAAAGGAAAAGCCTGAACTGAATTCTCAAAAATACTTGATCTGAGTTATATTCGGAGTATGTAGTTGAAAATAGGAACTTATGGGTGGTATTTAAGTGTAGCTAAAAAAAGAGCATCAACTGTTGCCTAGAGTAGGTGAGTTCTTTCCAAGAGAAGGTCATGGAAACCTGGTAGCAACAGTATCCATGGAGGAAGAGGGCTTGGATGCCTGTCCTGTGTAAGTCGGAGAGCCTTTTAAGAGAAAAGCTAGGTTTGCAAGCTTTTTAAGAGAAAAGCTTTAAAGGTTCTGGCTTAAAATATGGAATATTGCTGCTTTTTTCAGTAAAGTAAATCAAGCTGAGTTAGGTGATGAAAGGTGCGTGGCGTGTTTCCGCTTCTGCCCTCCCCGTGGAGGTCTGGCAGCCTGCTTTCGCTTTCGATCACGTGCTCATCATGGGCAGAATAATGATGCTGCTTTTGGTGTGGTTCAGACCATGAATGAAAAATGGTGACGATAATGAGGGTAATATTTGAAGTAACTGAAGATCCACAAATCATGTTCATGTGTTTTCTTAAAAAAAAAAAAAAATTACCAAAAAGAAGTCTGTTACAATGTTTTAACAGAACAGATGCTGCTTAAGAGTACAAACAGATTTTTAACCCCCAAAAAAAGAAAAAAGGAAAAAAGTTTGAGTGGTGGTGGTTGTAATCATTAAGGGTACTGTAATGGAATATTAATGATTCCCAGTGGGAATTTATATTGAAATTTATTTTCAATTTGATCATGAAGAAGTGCTACAGAATTTCCTATTCAGATGCATCCATAGACGTTTGAATGTTTGTATGTTTGGAGCATTTTTATGTTATGTTATGTTATGTTATGTTATGTTATGTTATGTTATGTTATGTTATGTTGAGACAGGGTCTCACTCTGTTGCCCAGGCAGGAGTGCAGTGGTACAATCTCGGCTCACTGCAACCTCTACCTCCTAGGTTCAGGCGATTCTCCTGCTTCAGCCTCCCAAGTAGCTGAGATTACAGGCGCGTGCCACCACGCCTGGCTAATTTTTGTATTTTTAGTAGGGACAGGGGTTTCACCATGTTGACCAGGCTGGTCTCGAACTCCTAGCCTCAAGTGATCCGCCCACCATGGCCTCCCAAAGTACTGGGATTACAGGCTTGAGCTGCTGCACCCGGCCTTGTTTGGAGCATGTTTAAAGTGTCATAACAGTCCAAGATTGCTGCCCCTCTCACTAACATGAGCATGTATTATTGATATGAATGTAACTGGTCACATCATGAATAAAAGCTATCCTCTTTTTGCTTATGATATGTCAGGAGACTGAGGAGCTCCTTGGGATGATTGATGCCCTCCTTTCAGCAGACCAGCAATGCAAGGATAAGTGGAACTACCATGGCAAATATTCTATCCTGAACATGGTATTTACTTAGCCAATAAGGATACAGAAAAACAAATTTTATTTTAAAGGCATTTATAATTATATAGTCAAAATATCCCATAAAGGAAAACAGTGTGTTGTTATAGTAATGCTTCACTTAGCTAAAGGTCAATCTTTTTTTAAAATGACTAAAAAAAGTGAAAACAAGCAAAAAAATAAAAATAACTCTCAACAGCCAGAATAATTACAGAGTCCATGTATTAATAACTGACCTCACAAATTTCACACAACCTGTATTTAGATCCTGTTTTTAATAATACCCACAATTAGTTTTCACTTTGAAATTTTTGACCTGATCCTCCCCCTGGCATATCATAATCTTGGGCCTGTAGACACAGGCAAATACCAGCATACAAGTTACTGCTGACTATCACCGAGCCAGCTGTTCGTGGGCAAGTTAATAGCCAAATCCAACTGATTTTAATAAGATGAATTTAATAGAACACAGACATTTAGGTTATTACATAAATTTTTAAGTGGAAATTATTCATTTATTAATTTTGAGATGGAGTCTCACCCTGTCGCCCAGGCTGGAATGCAGTGGCGTGATCTCAGCTCACCGCAACCTGTGCCTCCCAGGTTCAAGTGATTCCCCTGTCTTAGCCTCCCGAGTAGTTGGGATTACAGGCATCCGCCACCACGCCCTCCTAATTTTTGTATTTTTAGTAGAGACAGGGTTTCACCATATTGGTCAGGCTGATCCGGAACTCCTGACCTCAGGTAATCCACCCACCTCGGCTTCCCAAAGTGGTGGGATTACAGGCGTGAGCCACCGCACCTGGCCTAAATTGAAATTATTTTAAAGAAACAATTGTTTTCTCAGTTTGGCCATGAATTAGAAGAATGGAGTTCAAGGAAGTGATGTTCCTCAGATAGAGGGGCAGTAGCAAGAAGTGATTTGCTAATGAGGTAAAGAGAAAATGTTGCAACCTTAAAGGGCACTAGGTCTCCAAATGGTACATCTGGAGTTGTTTTGAAGAGAGGCAGTCAAATCTGTGTCGTCAGTAGCCTCTCAGAATGGCTGCATTACAGCACTGCAAAGTAATGGATGTACTTAGTGAGTCATCAAAAATGTTACATTTTGTTTACTTGGTTTGATTAAGGAGACAGGGAGTGTGAAATAGATTGGAAAGATTGCCAGTAAAACTATCTTATAAAGATTTTTTGGCATTTAAAGAAATTACCTTCAATCAGAAAATGCGCTAATGTAGGATAATTCATTTCTCTATCTAAAACCATTCTTGAACTCTGTTCCCTGTCAATGTTGGATTTTTACTGTTATTTAAAACATTTTATTTGCTTGTTTTAATTGTTTTAACATTTACTCTTCCCTTAAACTTTCCATAGATAGCAGCATAGTTTTTGTGCTAAATTGTTGTTTTTGCAGAAACGCCAGAAGCCACATTATCCAGATCTTGCAAGGAAGTATTTTCTGGATAATGCAGGTACATGAACTTTCCTCTTCACAACATACCATCTTGTCAGAGGGAGTTCACACATTCTTTTCTTTTGTGTGGATTTTTTTTTTTTTGGAGTTGGAGTCTCGCTCTGTCCCCTAGGCTGGAGTACAGTGGCATGATCTCGGCTCACTGCAACTTCCACCTCCTGGGTTCGAGTGATTCTCCTGCCTTAACCTCCTGAGTAGCTGGGACTAAGGCGCACGCTACCACACCTGACTAATTTTTGTATGTTTAGTAGAGATGGGATTTCACCATATTGGCCAGGCTGGTCTCAAGCTCCTGACCTCGTGATCCACCTGCCTCGGCTTCCCAGAGTGCTGGGATTACAGGCGTGAACCACCATGCTCATCATCACCCCAGACTGTTGAGAAAAATCCTGATACCTTCACACTTTTTCCCAGAAAAAAATGAACTTACCCTGTTCATTTGGAAACCACTGCCATTTGTAAAAGATCACAGAGGGAAGTGAATTCCTGCTCCTGGAGCAAATCATGTCACGATGAGGTTACCTATTCTAAAAGCAATCAAAAGCAATTATTCCTTGAGAATGCAAGACAGGTACATTGTTACTCTTTTTGCCTCATTTCCATGCTCTTTCTTTCACTCCCAAAAACAGCAATGAAAGGCAAATATGTATACTCAAAATCGTATCTCGAAAGGTTATTTGCATTTCAGGTTGTTTGTCATACAGTATAGACTTAGACAAAAATATATATATATTATATATTATATCATATATGATTATATATTTGATATATATCAAATATAATATATTATATATATTATATATATTATATATAATATATATTATATGTATTATATATAATATATAATATATAATATATATAATTATATATATAATATATATAATTATATATAATATATATAATATATAATTATATATATTACATATATTATATATATTATATATATTATATATATAATAATATATATATTTGAAAAGTTAGGGATTTTGAGAACTTACTGATTAGATGGTGGTATTGCTTATCACTTGCATTTGATCTCCTTCCTTCCAGTATTCTTAAGGACAAGAGACCCTCCTGTTGGCCACAGTATGCCTCATACCTAGTGTAATTCTTAGAACAGATCAGATACTCAACAAATACTCATTAAAGAAATAATTTCAGTTTTCCGTAAAACACAGTGTCAGTGATTCTGCATGTACAACTTGATATTGTATGTAGAATTGTTAATGTGTGTAAGTATATGCATAATTTTTTATTTTTTGAGAGAGAGGAGCTATACCTATGATCAGATATTCAGATGGTTGCTCACTGCAACCTCCGCCTCCTGGGTTCAAGTGATTCTCCTGACACAGCCTCCCGAGTAGCTGGGATTACAGGCATCCACCACCACGCCCAGCTAATTTTTTTTTTTTTTTTATGTATTTTTAGTAGAGACAGGGTTTTACCATGTTGGCAAGGCTGGTCTTGAACTCCTGACCTCAAATGATCCACCCACCTCGGCCTCCCAAAGTGCTGGGATTCCAGGCGTGAGCCACCGCGTCCAGATCCCAGTTAATGTTTATTTGGCCTGTTAGGCTGAATGTCATGGAAGGCTGTGTGGCAGAGTAAAATGAGTAGTTACAGATCTGGAAAGTAATCCCAATATCTTACCTTGGCCAAGCAACTTAATCCTTTTCAGTTTTCTCAGGTACGGCATGGGATAAAAACACCTTCCTCTAAGAGCGGTTAGGAGAATTAAATATGATGAGGTGTGTTAAGTGGCTAGCAGTGTGCCCGTGTGGAATGCACTAGTTGTTCTGACTGGGTTATGGAAGTCGCTGGGCTCTAAGCCTGCCTTAGTGTTGCTAGTGACTAGTGGTGGCGCCTCCGGGTGATCATTTCACTTTGTGCCTGAGTTTCCTCATTTGTAAAATAAGATATTTGGCCTGTGCCTATGGTTTTCAGGTTTTCGGTTTAGGCTTCTGGAGCCTGTGTCCAGTGTTCACCCCTCCCTGTCACCGCTCCCCTTCTGCTCCAGAAGTTGTTCTCTTTTTCTGTCATGTTCTAACTTCCTCTGGTGATGTCTTTTGAGCAAAATATTATGTGGCAAAAAAGAAACTGGAACAACTTCACAGGGTGATCTTGTAAGGATCGTTTCAGTGAGGGGCTTAGCACCCGGGCCAGCGGCTGCGGAGGGTGTACTGGGTCCCCCAGCAGTGCCGGCCCACCAGCGCTGTGCTCGATTTCTCGCCGGGCCTTAGCTGCCTTCCCACAGGGCAGGGCTCGGGACCTGCAGCCCGCCATGCCTGAGCCTTCCCCGCCTCCGTGGGTTCCTGTGCGGCCGGAGCCTCCCCGAAGAGCACCGCCCCCTGCTGCACGGCGCCCAGGTCCATCAACTGCCCAAGGGCTGAGGAGTGTGAGCGCATCGCGCAGGACTGGCAGGCAGCTCCACCTGCAGCCCCGGTGCGGGATCCACTGGGTGAAGCCAGCTGGTCTCCTGAGTCTGGTGGGGAGGTGGAGAGTCTTTATGTCTAACTCAGGGATTGTAAATACACCAGTCGGCACTCTGTATCTAGCTCAAGGTTTGTAAATACACCAATCAGCACCCTGTGTCTAGCTCAGGGTTTGTGAGTGCACCAATCGACACTCTGTGTCTAGCTGCTCTGGTGGGGCCTTGGAGAACCTGTGTGTCCATACTCTGTATCTAACTAATCTGATGGGGACGTGGAGAACCTTTGTATCTAGCTCCGGGATTGTAAACGCACCACTCAGCGCCCTGTCAAAACAGGCCACTCGGCTCTACCAATCAGCAGGATGTGGGTGGGGCCAGATAAGAGAATAAAAGCAGGCTGCCGGAGCCAGCAGTGGCAACCCACTCGGGTCCCCTTCCACACTGTGGAAGGTTTGTTCTTTCGCTCTTTGCAATAAATCTTGCTACTGCTCACTCTTTGGGTCCACGCTGCTTTTATGAGTTGTAACACTCACCGCGAAGATCTGCAGCTTCACTCCTGAGCCCAGCAAGACCACGAGCCCACCGGGAGGAACGAACAACTCCAGACGCGCTACCTTAAGAGCTGTAACACTCATCGCAAAGGTCTGCAGCTTCACTCCTGAGCCAGCGAGACCACGAACCCACCAGAAGGAAGAAACGCCGAACACATCTGAACATCAGAAGGAACAAACTCCAGACGCGCCACCTTAAGAGCTGTAGCACTCACCGCGAGGGTCCGCGGCTTCATTCTTGAAGTCAGTGAGACCAAGAACCCACCAATTCCGGACACAGTTCTAATGCCCACTGAGACTTGAACTATTAAATAGGATATAATATGAAGGAGAATGTGTTAGTTTTATATTGCTGTCGTTAACAAATCACCACAAACTTAGTGGCTTGAAACAACACAGATTGATCATTATCTCATCGTTCTGTGGGTTAGAGGTTTGGGTTTGCTTGGCTGGTTTTTCTACTTCTGGTTTTTCCATTTCCAAATCAAGATTTAGGCAGGACTGTGTCTATTTCTGGAGGCTCTGAAGGTGAATCTGCTTCAAGTTCATTAAGCTTGTTGGAAGGATTAAGTTCTGTGTGGTCATAGGACTGCGGTCCCCCTTTTCTTGTTGGTTGTTGCCCAGGGGTCCTCCTCAGCTTCTAGCGGTCACCTTTAGTCCTTTGCGTGTGGTCCGCTACCTCCATTTTGAAAGCTAGCAGAGATGGCCCAAGTTCTTCTCACTCTCTGGTACTGTCTGACCTCCTCATCCTCTTCTTTTTGCCTCGTCTTTGTCTGGTTTCCTTTTCTGGTGCATCTTCTGAGTGCCTGTTCTCCCTTCCTCTTTGAAGGTCTTGTGTGATTACACTGGGCCCACCCAGATAATCCAGAATAATCTCCCTCTATTAAGGTTAGTTGATGAGTAACCTTAGTTCCATCTGCCGTGTGCCTTCTTAGCAGTGGCTAGATGAACATTTGATTAAATCATCAAGGGATGAGACTCTTAGGGGGCCAGCATCTTTAAAATCCTGCATAAATGCGGAATTACGTATAAAATACTGTGGGATTTCAGAATAAAGAGAAATGACTTTCAACTGGGCAGCATCTGGAAAAGCCCCTTTGAGATGGTAGCACCTTGTCGTCTATTGAAACGTAGTTCCGATGGGTGCTATAGAGCTGGAGTAGAAGGGACTCTGGTTGTGGGGTAACAGCTTAGATGCCAGTGTGGAGACAGGAAGGATGATAACGTGTGGTCCACTAAGAGCAGCCATATCCCTTGAATGTACTCCATGTGTTAGTTACTATTTACAGAGTTATTCAGGCTCCTAACATCAGATTTTTCTAGATCAAAGTAGAAATAAGAGGAACGTCAAGAAGATAATCAACACGTAGCATGCAGAATCATTATTTTAAAAGGACTAAGACAGTTGTGTGGTGTGATTGTTGTACCACCTTCTCTTTGGCTGTTAGAAAGAACTGAGTAGCGTTACACATGAAAATGTGAAATCTGATTTTCTTATTTCTAAACTTTTAAAAGCTCCATATCTACTGATACAAACCAGAGAATGTGGCCTTTGGGAAAAGTCTCCCACTCTCCTTTTGTATTGCCCCACAGGGCTTACCTCTGTGACCATTCTGAGTGGGCTTTGTACCCTACTTTAGGTGGATGATAACTTCAGCACAGTCCCAGCTTGTGTGGAGAGATGATGAGGTCATGTTGGCAGGTCCTTGGTGTCTCTAAACATTACTGCCGTATTATAACTGATTTTCTATAACAATTCCACATAAAGGAAAAATCTTTTTTTTTTTTTTTTTTTTGGAGACGGAGTCTCGCTCTGTCGCCCAGGCTGGAGTGCAGTGGCGCGATCTCAGCTCACTGCAAGCTCTGCATCCCAGGTTCACGCCATTCTCCTGCCTCAGCCTCCTGAGTAGCTGGGACTACAGGCGCCTGCCACCAAGCCCGGCTAATTTTTTGTATTTTTAGTAGAGATGGGGTTTCACCGTGTTAGCCAGGATAGTCTCGATCTCCTGGCCTCGTGATCCGCCCGCCTTGGCCTCTCAAAGTGCTGGGATTACAGGTGTGAGCCATCGCGCCCAGCCTGGAAAAATCTTTATTAGCGTTACTCTCTACCACTTCCCTTCCTTTTCACCTAATTTATTTATAAGCTTTAAAAAGAGTTGTATATACCTTTTTATTTTGAAAGCATGCATCTATACAAAGGAGTCACAGAATACTTTCTGCCAACCTTTGAAAAATACAAAGGATGTAACTGCCCACAGTTGCTTTTCTTCAGCCTTTTAAAGTGTGTATACATAAGGGCTAAAATAACAAAACCAGTGCAGCCAGCTGGTCCTTTTTTCACATGCTGCATATGAGAAATAGGATTAAAAGGGGAAGTTATGGTGGCAGAAAGCCAAGGGGTGTTTTATGAGAGATCAGCAATTTCACTTGCCTTTGGTGACTCATATTTTGCCCTTAAAGCTTCTAGTACATACGAAGACTTCCGTAGTCTTTCCAAACCTTTCTCCCTCTCTCTTGCCAGAGTTTGTTTTCCTTCCTTCTCTTCCCACCTTCCACCGAAACCTGAAGTGCTGGTCCTGATGATTAGAGGCCTGCAAAAGGAAACTCGTCTTCTTCTGTGTCTTTTTTTTTCTTTTTTTTTTACTCACTTTGATAAGAAAAATAGCCTTTTCTTGGAGTTGCTCTCTGCATACTGAGCAGACATTGGTACACATGTAATTCATATAGTAGTTAATTGGCACTATTTAGCAGCTGGAAAGGAAGCACTACCTTCCTTACCATGTGGCAGTCTCATTCTTGTCACTATCCAGCCATAATCTCTGCTGGTGTTCTGATTAAAGCTTTGTGCTTTCAGATTCAGAGACACTGGGAACTGTTTCTGGTTTCCTCTTTTTCCATTCATTTTCCCACTTTAATATGCTAAGGTATGTTTTCTGATAATTCAGAAAGATTGCTGTTGCTTTCACCTGTAGTTTTCTCTTCCTGTTTCCACAATGCATCTGACTTTGAGAATACATTACTTTGCCCATCTATTATGTCAGTCATGTCCACTTCTGGTTTCTTTCCTGTAGGGAAAATTGATTTTTTAAAAATGAAACCAAACCTTTAGAAACTCTCTTAGGTAATTTCTTCCAGCTCTCATGTTCCTATATTTTCCTTGTTTGTAATATCTAATTAAAAGCTTATTATAAGGATCCTTCCAGTGTCGTTAACTTCAAGTAAACTGTGTCTGTACACCTGCAGGTACCCACATACATTTTTATGAAAAGGCCAAGCTCCAATTTGTGGTACATTTTTAAATCGTTAGTATTAAGAATTGAAGATGTGGGGGCATTATTTACGTTTGAGAAGCCCTTTTCAATCTTAAAATCTATAGGGTTCTAAGCTTCACATTATCTCATATGAACAAAGGTGACACCGCCATTTAAAAACTGAGGCTATGCATACACAGGTAGAGAGAGAGAGCAAGCAGGCACATGGATGCAAGCACAAACATGCTGAGAAAATATCCATGCCTAAGGGCATTTCTTTCAGTCCTCACTGAATGTGCCCTTCTATTCATTTGCTACATTAAATCACAACCCTGGCATTTACCCTCTTAGGATACAAATTAATAATTAAGACCAACCAGTCCATGAAAACTCAAAGTGGAAAGTATAAACAGTAACAAATGAACCTAATTGTATTA
Source organism: Homo sapiens (assembly GCF_000001405.40). Classification (NCBI taxonomy): domain Eukaryota; kingdom Metazoa; phylum Chordata; class Mammalia; order Primates; family Hominidae; genus Homo; species Homo sapiens. The sequence continues at coordinate 18,746,768 of NC_000008.11, read as the reverse complement.
CAAATTAAGTATTTTGTAATTTACACTAAAGGGAATGGAAAAGGAAAGAACGAACATAAATAATTTTGAAAAACAGTTTTTTAACTGTATGCCGTGTGGTTGAAGACAAAAAGAACAGTACACAAACACTGTACTCCAGTTAGTAAATTTGTCTTTTACAGGGGTATGAGCTATTAATTCTGAAACTATTACTGATGCAGAATTTTTCTTCTTGGTCACTTCGCAAGGTGGGGACCCCTGACCAGCAACACCCCCCCTGGACCTCCCTTGGCCACGCTGGTGTGCCCCAGCTTACCTGTGTTAGAGCTTGTACCTTTGTTTGGTGTTTCCGAACTCTTAGACTGCACTGAAGAAGAATGAGGACACGTGGGGCATGGAAGGGTGAGGAGGATGGAGAAGAATGTTTTCGAGTTATGAAAACGGCTTTCAGCAAGGGTCAGCAGGGGAGGGAGGGGGTTCCTCTGTGTGGCTGGGTCTGGGGCCCTTTATGGACTCAGAATGGGGAGTGCATGCTGATTGGTTTGTAAGTATGCAAAAAAGATTAAAGCAAAAACACCACTCAAAGGTGGGCAGGACAGTGTAGAAAAACCAATTAGGAAAGGGTAGGAAACCAATTAGGAAAGGGTATATGTAAAATACGTGAAGGGTGGGGACCCATCAGAGGAAAGTATGCCAGACAGGAAGACACTCTCAGTTTGGTCCAAAGATTTAACTTGTAGCTCAGCTTTCAGGCTTTAAACTATCTTTGGCCTGAAGGTAGGATTTTGCAGGGGACCTGCCTCTGTCTGTCTGTCTAGGCATTTGTCTGCCTCTATCATTACTTTATCTGTATACTAGGATATGCAAATAAACAAACATACTATAGATGATAAGAGGCAGTTTTCTCTCTATGGGAGAAAGAAATTATGAATAAGGAACCCTGTGGTATTGGATTCCAGTTGACGTTATTCATATGAACTTGTAATTTTTAATGTATGGATTGATGCAGAAACGTAGGTGAGTTTGCATGATGGGTATGTATATATGCATGTAAATATACGCCTGCATATATTTCTTAGCTCTGCCTGCCGAGCGGATCTAGAAGCACTGATATCTCAATATCAATGAGCAGCGTAGCTTCCAGACCTTGGTTTCTAAATACTGTTCACCAGTAAAATGAATTAATGCTCTGTGGAGAATTGGTTGGTTGTAGTCCTGGGGCAGGGAAAATATAAAATGAGCCTAGAACATCTTGTGGTGCCAGAAAGTAAGTGCTCAAAAGAAGAGGGTGGTGTGCCAGAAGGCCAACCTAGCCAACCTGGAGGAGCTCCTAATGGCCAAAGCTGGAACAATTTGAGCAACAAAGTGATAGTATTAGATTATACTCAGAGAAGAAAATGAATATCCGTTGAATACATTTTAAAAATTGTGGAGAAGGGACAGGTTTTTATTACAGAAAAATTTTAACAATTGTGAAAGGAAAGGAGGAAATGGCAAATATCGCAGTAATTATTGTTGTTGATAGAGCCATTGAAGGATACTAAATTTAGTAGATGAAAGTTAGGGAAGAAACAGGATATTTGTGTAGTCTCAAAGTATCTCTCCCAGGATATTTATTCATTATGAGGGGAAAATACTAACTTTACAATGTAGACAGTGAAAGATACCACCTTAACCAAGTGATCAAGATTAACATCACCAGTGGCAAGGCATCTCAACATCATGAAGCCTCTGATGCTCTAAAGGAGAAGATAACATCACTTAACATCACTTCTCTTTCCCAAAATGCCTAACTTCATTGTAAACATGAGAAAACAGCAGCCAAACCCAAATTGCAAGATATTCTATATAATAACTGGCCCATCTTCTTTTGAAGTGTCGAGGTCATAAAAGACAAGGGAATACTGAAGAACTGTCACCAAATGGAGGAGACTAAGAAGCCATAGTAACTGAAGGCCTTGTGGGTTCTAGAGAGGATCATGGAATAGGACAAGGGCAGTAATGGGGAAACTGGTGAAATTTGAATAAGGTGTATAGTTCAGTTAATACTATACCAACATTAACGTTCTGGTTTTGATAATTGCACTGATGGTTACGTAAGATGTTAACATTAAGGGAAGACTGGGTGGAGGATTTACAGGAACTCTGTACCATTTGTACAACCTTTTTGTAAGTCTAAAATTATTTCAGAAGAAAAAAGAAAGATGCTGGGTAGTTAAACGTACAAAGGTATGTGTACAAGGACATTAAAAGCAGCATTGTATACAATAGCAAAAAATTGAGAATAATACAAATCTCGATCAGTGAAGGATTACATCAGTTATACTTTATTCATGTAATTAATACAGTTGTTAAAAAGACCACGTAGAGTTATGAGTAGTGGTATGGATGGCAAAGTGAAGAGAAGGGGTTAAGAGTATAGCTTCTTTATTCATGCTGCCTGGATTCTCTGATACTTAGCACCAATTCTGTGACCTTGGGGAAATTATTCCTCTATCAGCTTCCTCATCTGGAACTTGGGAAAAGTAAATATACCTACTTATGAACCAGGAATGAGGTTTAAATGTGAAAATCCATGTAAAGCCTACAGGATGATACTTGGCACATAAAAAATACTTCATAAAATATGATTACCTAATTATTATTTTCAAGGAATTGATGGTGGGGAACATCAATACAAAATTAAGTATGGAATGATACCATTTATGTTAAAATTCATATGTGAGAATCTAGAAGATGAATGTGTTAATAGTGGTGATGTCAGGGGAGCAGCATATTAGGGAACTTCTGGGTGGTGGTGGTGGTGGTGGTGGTGGTGGTGGTGGTGGTGAGAGACAGAGTTTGCACTTTCACCCAGGCTGGAGTGCAATATAGCGATGCAACCATATCTCACTGCAACCACAAATTCCTGGGCTCAAGGGATCCTCCCACCTTAACCTCCCCCCTCAAAGTAGCTGGGACTGCAGGCATGTGCCACCAAGCCTAGCTAATTTTCTTTCTTTTTTTTTTTTTTTTAATAGAGACAGGGTCTTTCTGTGTTGCCCAGATTGGTCTCAAATTCCTGGCCTCAAGTAATCTTCCCCCTCGGCCTCCCAAATAGGAACTTCCACTTTCTAAGTTAAATATTTTAAAATTTATTTTGCATAAAGTATACTGAAGGTATCCAGGGAACTTCACTCCAAAATATGGCTCCCTGGTATAATAGGTATTTTGAATGAAAGGTTCTTAGAGATCAGTAAATGTGGGAAGAGACTTTTCCCCCATCCAAGTAAAGACTGGACCCACCAAGGAGAACGACTGTTTGTCCTTCACCTCCTTGTTATCTCATTATCTATTGTAACAAAGAATACTAAAGAATGTAAGCATGCTCGAACATTTTCTAAAGAGGACCATTTACAAGTTCATCTCTGTTTTCCCATCCGTTCATTCTCCTTGGTAATCATTTATTGCCCTTTGACAGAGTTCCCTGCATTCGCTATCTCCCCGCTCCTCTATGAAAAGAAGCTGTAGGAGTATGTTGGCCCCATTGGAATATTTGGGGAATCACTCTGTGATTGTCCCTTGTACATATTAATAAATTGTATGCTTTTTTCGCTGTTATTCTACCTTTGGCCAGTTGATTTTCAGTGAACCTTCAAAGGGCAAAGGGGAGGTTTGCCCTTTGTTCCTGCAATACAGTTGAAGAAGTATGCATAGCAACTTTTAAGAGAAGCCTGCTATCAATATTTATTAAGTAAAACCAGCCATGAAAACTATTTCTAAAGCTAAAGGCATCGCATAGTGTCCAAGGTCATATGACTTGTCCCTCACATTGGAAATTGTAAGAGACCTGACTGTGCTCTCAGCCACTTAAAACTAGTTGATGTCTACAGTTCTCTGAAATGTGGGTCTTAACTTGGAAGATTAACTAATTACTCTAGTGTATAATCCTAGGTTGTGAAAGGTTATGGATAACCTAGGTAAGGATGGGTATGACTAGCTCTTTGTCTTTATGAAAAATAAACCAAATGGCTTCTAAACTGTAGCATTTTGCCAGTAATAAATAATTCCTGACATTTTTATTAGAGTGATTAAAACCTGGAGTTGGGCACCAAAATGGTGATGTAATCTCCAGGACTGAAGTTAAAAATAGGATAGATATCAATTGCTTTTTAATCTTTAGGTGGTGATGGGCCAACTGAGTTACAGGGGGATCCGGAATTCACTAATACCTTCACAAAAGCTATCTATGATTATATACACTGTAGGTAAAATATATATGGAAATAACTACATGTTTTCAAAGAATATGCTTATATTTATATTTTGGATATAACATCAGTTTGTTTCACGATTATAAAGATTTTTTCTTCCTTGCTTGGTTTGATGCCTGTGTCATTCTGAAGTTCTTTATAGTGTTTACTAGAGAACTCAGCCTGACCATTCTAATTTAAGTGTATACAGGTTACGTAGCAAATTTAAGGCCCGTCTGTCTTTGTGGTTTTGGTGATACTAGGTTGGTTGCTTGGTTGGTTGGTTTGTTTCTTTCTCTTTTTTCTTTTTTGGTAAATCATATATAAAGCAAAGTATACCAGGTTTCTTAAAGAGGTATATTGCAAGGAAATAGGAAGATGATTCTAAGAAATTAGAACAAAAGGTGAAACTTTCTTCTGTTCTCTTGGACTTGTGATTCCTTTTTATATCTTCCCTATTATAGTCCTTTTAAATTTGAATCACCAAAGCTTTCCAAGGATAAAATGAAAATGTCGAAAGCATTATTTTCCTCATATTACTCCTGGTAATGTTTTTATACATTTTTCATCCTGGTTTCTTAAACACTTTCGTTTAAGTATACATTACTGGTTGACCAGCTATTTTTAAATCTTTTAGATCTCATTTCAGTTGTACTTTTTTTTGTCAGGGCTCCACCTGCTTTTTTATTCTGTTTGCAACAGTCACTATTTCATTTGTTGGTAACCATATGGCATAGCCTTTTTTTTTTTTTTTTTTTTTTTTACAATAAAATTAGATGCAGTGTGTTGAAGCCCATATTGTTGTATCACAGTCTCTGGAGAGCTTAAAGTAGGTGGGAGAGGGCATCCCAAAATGCAGCATGCCGCTGATAGGACGGATAATCTTAGCACAGGATTGGATTTTAAAATACTGCATTTCAAAGGTGCCGACATATGTAGCTAGTGCCAGTACAAGAGTAGAGTCTATAGATGAATAGCACAGCTGCAGTGTTGGTGGAGTTTTCCCTCCTATTTCCCAAATACTTTGGTTTCTTAAATTCTAGGATTGTTTTTAAACTCTTCTTCCTGCACACTGAAATTCTAAGATTTTAATATGATATAAGCTACTCCCATGGACCACTGTTGTAAAGTTGAGATCATCATGGTAACAAACTCTAGGGAAAGATCAATGGACTCTTGGAGTCACATCATCTTGGTTAAAGTTCTGACCCTGACACTTACTGGCATTGTGACATTGGGCAAATTAAGGAGGCTTTCAGAGTCCACTTTCTCTAACCATAAAATGGAGATGACATCGCATCTTGTGAACAGTTGTTACAGGAGGAAATGAGATTACATGTGTCACATGCTTCGCTCGTTCTCTGGACCGTAACTCGTACCTGTAAGTGTCCTTCCTTCCTTTCTCCCCACCACTTACTCTCATCTCCCTCTTACTCAGTGTTGTGTTTTCTAAGATTTAAAAAACAGACAACAGAAAACAATATTTTAATCCCTTTTTATGTTAGGATCTGAAAATCTTTAGATATTTCCTTTCTCCCTTTCATTCCTTCATTCATTTTTGGCTTTGCACCAGGACTTATTTCTTGAGGGTCAGATAAGCCCTCTGACCTCAGGGAGGCACCCAGGTTAATCCACACTCAGAGAAAAGCCGGAAGTCACTGGGAAAGTCTAGTGGAAGTGCTGAACCCGGAAGCAGCTGGAAGGTAGGGGAAGTGAAGTCAGCCTCACAGAGCTGAGGTTTAAGGGACATTAGGAGGACTAGGAGACAAAGTCGTGGGACAGAGGGAATCATTTGTTCATTTGAATATGAGGATGAGTGAGAGAGAGGATTTCCATGTGACTTTTGGGATTTAAGTACCTGGTAGGGTCATTTCACTGAGATAAGGAATATGAGCAGGTTATTAGAAATGGAAGTAATCTTAAAAGATTTTCTAGATAGTCTGATATTCCTAAATCATTAGGTAATGAAACCGAGGGGCTGTCAAGGTTAAGCTCAAAAAGCAGTTGAGATTCATCCAAGGTCACTCAGACTCTCTCTGCCAATAATAAGAGGGCAATAATGTGACTGCTAAAAGGGCCCTTAGAGAACAGGACTGAAGGTGTGATGGATTCTACTTGAGAATTTTGCAAATGAAACCCAACACAGTTTTCTCTTTGTAGCTAGGGAAGGTCACTGCAAGCTGTCAGAATTGAGGAGAAGTGAAGTGGAACAGAAAGGGTGCAGTTGAGGTCAGATTCCGAGGAGAGAGAGAGTAGGTTGCCAAAATTTAGTGCTCATAAAGCAGTGTGGGGGCGATCCAGGCTGAGTTAACACAGCAGGAGCTGTCACTGTGGAACCCGTGTCAGCGTCCAGTTTTGCGGGCCAGTCGGAGATCAGACCTGGGAACAGAAGACAGGAAAGCAACGCCGTGCTAGGGGAATGTGGAGTGGGTCCAGAGCAGCTCCATGGACAGCAGCTCCTGCTCGTGGAGGCTGGCTGGCCTCCACTCTGGTTGATAGGAACATCTTGCAGTTTTGTCCCTGTGAGCTTGTCCATGCACAAGAAAGTTACTACGCAGTCTGTTATCCCAGATTTGATATTATATTATTTGTGAGTTCTTGACATTTCTTTTAGAAATAACTTATGTTCTAAAGATAGCTGATAATGTTACTTTCATCTGATTTCTAATATTCTTTACAAATATTAGAATTAGACTGATGAAGACAGATACTATAGTTGATCTTAGCCAGAAAGCCAGGTCAATTTCAAATGTTCTCACTGCAAAAAAGTATTTGAGGTAATGGGCATGTTAATTTGTTTGATTTGATTATTTCACACTGAATTTTCAAATCATAATATTACTTTGTATCCTCAAATATATACAATGATAAGTTGTTGATTTATAATTAAAAAATGTGGTTTATTTTTTTGCTACTATAAATAGGATAAATTAGAGCCCTGTGACCATGCTAGCTAATAGTGGTACTGTATTTATAAAATGAATGTGTTATCTTTAGCTATTAGACACATGAAAAATGGAAATTAGAAAATAGATTTCAAAGTACATATTACCTTCTTCTTTATTTTCAACCCTATAATAAAACAGATGTTTTAGAACACTTTCTGGTTCTCTATAGAGTCCAGACAAAGGCACTGTATTTACATGTGTTGTTTTCCAGGTTTGCCCGGCCTCTTGTTTCTTTAAATACTCTTGGTATTTCAACAGCGAGTTTATAACTAATAATTAAGTATGGGAACACCTATTTTTTCCCTTAAATAGCTTACTCTTTTTCTTCCACAAAGATCTGTTTATTGCCTACAGTTCTATATTTTTGTGGGGGAATCATCTGCTTCCTTGTTACTGATTATAACTGGGAAGCATTTTCAATTTAAATTAATTTTTGGTTGGTTAATATTCTTCCTTAAATATATTTATTACTAAATATTCATCCATCTGAAGTTTTCCTAGTTTTCCATATGTGCCTTCCAAAATGATTTTTGAACCACAAACATGTTTATTAATTAAATCACTAGGCGAAATCCGCCTTTAGTCCAAGTTGTTCTGAACAATCTGTGATACCTAAGAGCCGAAGGTTCTTCTTAAAAGGAAAAGAAATCCTTGTGGTATTTTTTTGTCTTTAAAATATATTAAAAGGTACATTTCAGAACAAAAAAAATGACTAGAATTTTTTTCTAGAATATTCTTTGAGGTGAAGGGATTTCTTGGTGTTTTTTTTGTTTTTGTTTTTTTTTTTCGGAGCGGGTGTGGTATAGCTTACTTCTTAGCAATCCAAGAATAGCATTTCTGGAAAGTGATCAGTCAGTTCAAGCTATAGTCTGCCCTTGAATGTGTATGCTGTTTATATCTCTGTCATGGAGTTATCAGGTGGCTAGTACGAGTCTTTATTGCTGAGAGTAAGATGCCAGTTTGATTTTCAGCCTACTTGTGTTAAGGTTTAACCTGTGATGGAATTCACATTTCTGATAATGATTACTGTATTAAAAATTTAACATGTGATGTGTATGGTAGATCCCTTTTATAATATGGCTGCTGTGTGGATTCTATTTAGCATGTGGTAGATTCTGTCCACAGGAAAAGCAACTATTCACAGTATAAACATCATAGGCCAGCCCTGTCCTCCTTGACAATGCAGATGTTATCTCATCATAGAACATTGTAATTCGAAGTCACCCTTGAGATGATCTTGATGAACCTTCCCATTTTATAAATGAGAAAAGGAGTTTCAGAGAGATAGTGAGTTGTTTAAGGCCCTAATTAGTGTGGGTAAAGACAGAACAGAGAGAAGGACAGCTACTTGTCCTTCTCACTGCCATGGTTTTCCCACCTGCCAGGAGGCCTCTAATTTGAAATGATATGCAAAATTGGTCACCAGAAAGTCCTGGTAACAGTTTGTGATGTAGAGGCTGAGCTGTGGAATTAACATTCAGTTCTGGGCTTGCTCTTCTTTCCCTGTGACCCCATGTTAGCCATTCGGATTTCCTGATTTCCATTCCTTTGCCCTTCTCCCAATTTCACACTGATTAAGACTTTTAAAATCTAGCAAAGATAGCTTCTAGTTGGTGTCATCTGCAAGCAGAAAATAATTTATAAGCAGTTTCTCTTGATCACAAATTGAGTAGAGGGAGCCTCTGCCTCCTGCCTGTGTGATAAGGATCTGTGCAAGGGCATACTTGCAAAAACAATAGGAAATCAGGCTCAAGTAGGTCAAAATCAAAGTTAGAAGTAAACCCCATGATGCAAGACTAGTTTTGTGTATATTTTCTACTGAAGTTCAGTGAAATAATGTCTTTAAAGTTAGAAAGTGATAATAGACCAGAGAACAGTCTGTACCCTGGGGAAAAAAAATAAGGTATATACTTTCCCCTCCGAAACTGATATTTGCAAGACTTATTTATAGCCTTATGCATATTATAAAGCCATAGACCTTTTGAGTAATTTATTGAAAATAGCATAGAGGCCAAGCGTAGTGACTCACACCTGTAATCCCAGCACTCTGGGAGGCCAAGCGAGCAGATTGCTTGAGGTCAAGAGTTTGAAACCAGCCTGGACAACATGGCAACACTCCATCTCTACAAAAATATATTTAAAAAAGTAAGTCCCACCTCTCGGGAGGCTGAGGTGGGAGGATCGCTTGAGCCCAGGAAGCCAAGGCTGCATGAGCCATGAGCATGCACTGCATTCCATCCTGGGCTACAGAGTAAGACCCCGTCACACGCACACACACACACAAATAAACAAATAGCACAGCATAGTACCTGGGTTCAAATTAAAGTTCCATTATTTTCTAACTGTGGGCCCTATTTTTCTCATTTGTGAACTAATGCAGTGTTTCTCAGCTGTGGCTATATGTTAGAACTACCTGGGACAATTACAAAGACTAAAGAAAACAAACCAGCAAAATAGTGCACAGCCTCTATCCCCAGAAAGTTCTGATTTTAATTGATCTGGAAAGAGAACAGTATTTTTTCAGATGCTCCCCAGGTGATTCCAATGGACAACTAAACCACAAAAGCAGATGACTTTGAAGTCCTTTTCACATTTTAATATTCTACAATTCTGAGATTTTTTTATGTCATCTAGTCCAGGCTCACACTCAGCATAATCATCTCTCTATATTTGAAAAGCAGCATTTTGTTTTTAATGTTAGCATTCATTTGGAAAGAATGCTCATTGCCATCAGAAAGCTTTGATTTAAAAGATTTTTCTGATCATCAGCCAAATTTACCTTTGGAAAAACAAATAATAAGTCTAATTACTGATTTAATTGATGACGATTCTGATATTTGAAGATTACTTCTATGATTCAGCAAAGTTACCTCTTCTTAGGTGAAACCTTTCCAATTTTTTTCATCTCTTGTTTTTGTGCACCATTATTTCCGTATCTCAACATGCTATTCTGCTCTGGGGTAATCTGCCCTTATCTCTATAAAATATTTCCCTGGAGTTGAACTACAGCCCCATTGATGATCAAAGGAGGGAACTTGGGGATTTTGGGTGATTATTCCCTTCTCAAACTCTTACTGAATGTAGGATTAATAAATAGACTCTAGTTTTAGTAAACAGTTTAGTAAATGGTGTTTACTAACACATACTCGTCTATAAATATGTATACTAATAAACACAGTTGATGATAAAATTCCCAGCATTTAAAAATTTTCATGGTGTGCCAGGCATTATTCTAGTGTTTAAATATATTAACACATTTGATTCTTTCAGTAACCCTTGAGGGTAGGTACCATTATTTTACTTTTTAGATATAAAGAAGAAACAGACTAAGGAGCAGAGTAGTTAAGTGTCTTGCCTTCAATTTCACAGTAAGTGGCAGAGCTAGAGTGTTGATTGGATAATATAGGGCATCTTATTCCAGAGTTTGTAAGTATGGAAGTTGGAGGTTATAGAAATTACGTGAGATATATAAGGTTTATGCTTATACTTAAATAGGTAAACTGTAGCATAGGAGATGTGCTCAAGTTTGTTGGAATTCTACGTTGTTTTAAGAAAGTTGAAATTTGTCAGAAGCTACTTTCCATAAAAACAATTTATAGTTAGATTGTTTTTTGTAGTTAGATATATCTAGTTAGATTTATAGTTAGATCCATAAAAATCAATTGTTTTTATTTATTCTTTGTATTTTTAATGAATTCTGCTTGACAATCTTTGTTCAATTTGCCAAATAAGTTTCCTAAAACTTAATTTTACTATTCAGGTGCGTGTTTCTTAGTTGACTTAAACAGAAAATTTCTGGTGCTGTGTCACTGAAAAATTATTTGAAGAACTGTTGTTGGTATCCAATAATCCTTTGTTTTCCCATAGTTTCATCAGCCTCATAAATTTGTACTGATTCTAACTGCTTATGATCATTATTTCTTAGTCCTTGTCTGATTCATTCTGAAAACTGAAGCTTTTTATGTAAGGCTTACCCACTTGAGGTTGCCAGTAAAAACCATGCTACCAGGAGATAGAAATCTGTCAGAGAAAAACTGTGCTTGTAGAACCTACCCTCCATTTAACTACTACAGCCTTAAATATGTTTGTAGGGCGAATAAAGAATATAAAGTGTAAAGGCAGCAAAGAAAGCATTCCTATCCCCTGGGAATCTTATCCTAGGGAGTAGTGTGTCCACTTGGGTACGTTTATCGTCCATTCGCCATTCAGTGTATTACTCTGATTGTGAGTATCTCAATGACCATTCTGATAATTGAAGATTACTTCTATGATTCAACATAGTTATCTCTTCTTAGGTGAAGCTTTCCCAATTTTTTTCATCTCTTGTTTTTGGGCACCATTATTTCCGTATCTCAACATGCTCTTCTGCCCTGGCGGTAAGTAGTCTCCTCTTATCTCTATAAAGTGTTTTCCTGGAGTTGAACTACAGCCCCACTGATGATCAGAGGAGAGAACTTAGGGATTTTTGGTGATTATTCCCTTCTCAAACTCTTACTGAATGTAGGATTAATCAACAGACCCTAGTTTTAGTAAACAGTTTCTGATTCTGTATGCTAAGGCATGAGTGGTCCTCGGCGTATGTGCCAATATTACTCTGAATTATTGCTTTCAAGGGGATAAAGGGCACAGTCTTTGATGTGAGGACTTGATTTTCCCTTTAACAGTAGAATTTTAAGTTTTCAACTGAGATGAGGACTGTTCGTTTTTAATTCAGAAAGCCTTTGTAATGGTATTGCTGTTCTCTGGAAGCTTTTGATTTTGGCTTGAGAAAAAATGATTTAACACCTTACAAAACATCAGAATGAGAAACTGTGGTCTTCCTTCTTTTTGTTGACTTTTATATTTACAGTTACGGGTTCACAGGCTTAAAGCTGGAGAGGGTCTTGAAGATATTCTAACCCAGTCACCTCATCGTTTAGAAAACAGTAGCCAACACTGTACATTCATTGCTTTTAGGTCTCCTCATGACTTGCTAAGTTCCATAAGGGCGGGGACTTTATTTGCCGTGTTTACTGTTAGTGCCTCCAAATGAATTCAGGTTTACAAGCAAATAAATGAAATGGAGAACCTAGGACTTGGAAAGAGAAAAGACTTACCCAAGATCATCTTGCCAGGAGGAACAAAATCTGACCTAGAACCATTGAACCATCATCTTGTGACAACAAAATTTGTGTCTTTTCCATGATTTAAAAAAAGAAAAAGGACTTTTACTTGGGAGTCTTAATCTGTATTAAAGATCAGAATCATACACAGTTTATATTTATTAGATACTGTTTTTCAGACATATACATGAATTTCATTGAAAAGTTATAGTACAACTCTTTGAATGAAGGTATTTTTAATCCATATTTTTATAGATGAAGAAACTTGGGCTTTGAAACAAAAAGTAATTTTCCAAAGGCTATACATAGAGGCAGAATTCAAGTCTGGTTTCTACCTCCAAGTTTAGTGATATTTTCTACTTTTGTCTTTTACATGGATACCAATGTTTGTCAATATTAAGAATTATCTAGACCCATAAGTAACAATCACTGAAATTATTTTTCTAGCACCTTATATGTTATAGACTTTAATACCTGTGGATATGTTAAATAAGTGCTGCCTTTGCCTAGGGGTCTGTATTTAAAAGGCAGCAAAAAAAACCCATAGCTTCTCAGTTCCTTTCATCTGTGGTTTTGGCCTTCTGTGTGGTCTGATTTGAAGGGCTTTTCTGCTCTTTTTCTTTTTTTCATTTTCCCATAATTGGACTTGGATTTCCTCCTTTTGGTCCTAAATGATTTGCAGGCTTCAAAGCCTTTCTACTACATTGCAGACACTGCCGGTATGGGATGTTAGTTGAGGATTAACATCTGTAGCTGGAAGAAAGATAATTGCCTTTTTTTTGGTTTCTGTTGAGGAGTGGAGGGAGGAATGATGATAAACCAGGACGTGAGTGGAAGCCATTGTGACATGGCACATTTGTCTACGTTCTGTGAAAGTAAAAAGCCTCTGATCCAGTGAAATTCTTGTCCAGGCTCAACTGGGCTACTTGCATAGGGACTCAGAATAATCTCATCACATCTCCACTTTGCTGGGCAAACCCATCTGCCAGCCACTTTTTGGCAAAGGTCATGCATGAGTAATACCACCATTTGCTATTCTCAAAGAGTCAGGATTTCAAGAGGGGGATGGCATTCTGCAGCATTGCAGTTTTAGTGCAGGATAAAGGATGTCGTCACAGGATCTACTATATTACCCCCTCCATTTATCAGTTTCCTTTTTCACCTGTGGCTGTTCTAGTCTTTCTTCTAGAAAGATATGCTAGAAACATTGAACTTATACAATTATGACCCTAAAAAGTAGAACCTCTCATTTTTTAAAAAAAGAGATTTTCCTTTTTTCCCTAACAATTTATATATTGTTTACCTGGTACCAAATCCTTGTAGCATTTCTTTTTGTGTAAAACATACATTGAGCCAAAAGTCATAAGAAAAAGCAGTAAGTGGTGGTTCTAGGTTCTCCTTCATTTGTTCTCTTTCTGTATTTTTAAAGGACCCTAATAAGATGTTGTAACCAACGCTGCTGTCCGTGATGCTATAGTCTGCATTGCACGTTTCATTCTCTTCTTTCTTTTCTCTCCTTCGTTGGTTGAAGAGTCAAGGGCAGAAGATGGTGGTGATAGGGAGGGGGCGTGTGTAGGCAAGGTACTTCGTCCCGGTCATCTTATCTTTTTCCTAATTTCATTTTATATTATCGTGGTTCACAATAGTGGGGCTTGTGGTAGAATATCTGTGAAAAAAAAATAAAAAAAAAAGGAAGAAATGATCACTTGGAGTTCTCCCATCCCTGCACGAACATGTTGTTCCATTCATCAGGAGTGTAGAGTCTATTTCCCCTCCCGCCGAAGCCTGGGCTGGTTTGTGTGACAGAATGTGGCAGAAGTGGTGCTGTTGTAACGGCAGGCCTTAAGAGGCCTGGCAGTTTCGGAGCCACCATGTAAGGAAGGAAGCTCAAGATATCCTGCTGGAGGGAGAAGCCATGTGTAGGAGCATCAAGGTGCTCCAGCTTGCAGCTGGCACCATGCTCATACATTGGACTGGGGCATCTTGGATCCTCCAGCCCCAGGTCAGCTCGGCCATTAGCACATGGGGTTGAGACATCCTGTTCTCACTGAGTTCTGCCCCAGACTGCACTTGTGCAGAATCTCTAGCAAATGAACTGATGATGATTTAAAGCCCCTCGCTTTTGGGGTAGCTTGTTACAGAGCAATAGATTACTGAGACAGGATTTGTAGCTTCCTAATCTTCCTTCTTTTCTCATATCTGTTTACGGTGTGTCCAGATAGTTCTATGACTCCGTATGTCCATCTACAATCAGTATTTTGTTTTAGTACGAGTTCGTTAGGCATTCTTCAGTCGCTATTTCTTGCTTTGTAGTTAGTGGGTTTTTTTTTCGGGGGGGAGGAGGGTTGTTTTTTTACCAGCTTTATATTTGTCCTCACTTGAAGCAGGTGACTCTCCTGAAATGCTCCTAGGGGGACATTTCTCTGAGGGGCACAGTGATACCATTTTCTTCTAGTTGTATATGAGAGACAGAAAATTACTTGTCTCTCTCAAAAGAAAAACAGTGGAAAAAAGATGACTTATTTTCCCTAAAGAATATTTCCTGCTACCCATTAAACCATAGTGACCTCTCAGACTCCTCAAATAGCTGTGCATCCTACTCACTGATGGGCAGAAAACAAAGCAGAAGGATCTAGGGTAAACATTTTTATTTAAAAGCAAAGACCCAGACACTCCAAGGAGAGTTTGCAATGTGTATTTTCTGTTCAAATGGCAAGTGTTCCCAGGAAAACCTGGAAGGTAGTTACCTAGTTTTATTTTAGATTTTCTGGAAGGATCTGAAACCCTTTTTAAAAGTACAACTTTTAATTTCCTGAGTAGAACACATGACTGTTCTGAGTCCTGGTTTCAGTTTCTATAAGCAATTTCCTTTGAGCACACAAGGTAGTATTTTTCTCATTTCGTTGTCAGTTTTTTGTACTTAAAAGATTTATTGTTTCTCCTGTTGTCTTTCTGCCTAGCAATTCCTTTCCTCAAGCTGTCCTAAACAGTTGATTAAAAAAGAATTACTGAGATCATGTTTGATACAGGGCAGTAAATTTTAAGTATCAAATAGATAAAAGAGGAAGGGTATAGAGAATCTAAGTTGCCTTTCTTAATTGGCAGAATCTTCCAATGTCACTTTCATGATTTGTTTGCTGTTTCCATCCTTCTGGTCTTTATTTTTTAACACTGACTCCATGAGTGCATTAGTCCATAGTCAGAATAAATGTTTTGCTATGTGATGAAGAAGGTTTTTTGTTTTTTGTTTTTGAGACAGAGTTTCACTCTTGTCACCCAGGCAAGAGTGCAGTGGTGCAATCTCTGCTCACTGCAACCTCCGCTTCCCGGGTTCAAGCGATTCTCCTGCCTCAGGCTCCCGAGTAGCTGGGATTTCAGCTGCCCGCCCCCACGTCCAGCTAATTTTTGTATTTTTATTAGAGACAGGGTTTTACCATGTTGGCCAGGCTGGTGAAGAGTGTTTATTTTGTGGGGGAGGTAAAGGGGTGAATTTTCTAGAGAGGACAGATTGGAATGACTTTTAGAAAGAAATTATCTTTTTAAAGTTTTATTTAAAAATAAACATTACTTTCGACCTTAGCTAGGTACATGTGATTTTTTTTTTGGTAGCCATCTTGCCAACTCTAAAATGTTATTATCGGCTATTTATTTGTTCAGTGTTTTCATATATTTTAAGTACACACATCTTGTCTTTCAGTTATATCTTAAATTTCTGAAAAACAGTGCCCACAGAATCTTAAACTCTAAGACAAGGCTTCCCAAAGGACATCTGGCAATGTTTGGAGATCTATTTGGTTGTTACAGCTGAGGCAATTAGCTGCTACTGGTATTTTAAGGGATAGAAGCCAAAAATATGTGTAAACAGTGTATAGCGTACAGTATCTGGCACATAGAAAGTGATCAATAAATACTTTTTGAGTGGATGGATGAAAGGCCAGTGAATGTAACAATGGATATAGTGTATCTTTTCTTTATCTTTCCTCAGAGGTACTAAGGGTCAACTTCGTTAAAGATCAGATTGCTAGTTCAACTATAAGGCATGGTCATCTCATTAATATTTATATATAAAGGGTTTTTGTATTTCCTCCACAATGACAAGTCAAAGCTAGATAATGTTTTAGTTATAACGTGGGGTGTATATGTTTGTTTATATTGGAGAATACTTACCGCTTGTCAGCTGGAGAAGGAGACATTTTACATATTAGCAGATGAGATTTGGTAGCAGTGTTGATGATTGTGCTGTGGTACCTTCATACCTAGAAGGTCAGGTCCTCATTTTATTGTTGTGTGATTGTGGAATAAATGCAGATTTTTTAGAGCTGTCCCACGGAAACATTTCATAGTCAAAATATCTCAAAAGAAGTGGTGCCTTGGGAAAAACACAGCATATTACTTGTCATTAGAAAGAGGCAATACTTGAGCATATTTCTTATTTTTGAAAGTCAGTAGCTAGTATCCCGTATGATATTCCTGTTTCAAAAATGAGGAAGCTTTTTTTGCTTTATGATGCTTTCTTCCTTTTCCAGTCTTTATGGAATGTAGGCTTTGCTATTCTAATTAAAATGGAAATAAATGAATGTGATAAATAAGAGTTTTTACTGGGTAGAAATGTTTAGTGCATTGTAGCAACGTTGGTAAGAGAAATTGAATTAGTAATTTCCTCAGTGGAAGGTTTAGCATGAGGATTTATTTCCTTCTCCTGTGTAGTAGGCTCAAGATAGGGATGTGAAGGATTTTCCTCCAGAATGGCATTTGTAATTTCTCACAGTGGCCTCATTTCATTCATGGCCCAGAGAGAGTGCAAGCTATTTAGAGAAAGAAGAGTTTTTGAAGGTAATACATGAGACAGATGTTGGGTATCTTTTCTTGATATACAATTACTAAAAATTATCCAGTTAAAATCTATACCTTACATAGGAACCTGCACTGTACCCTTTTTTGTCTTAGGAGCTTTGACTTTTGTTTATTCGTTTTATGGTTGTTGCATGCTACTTTTATTTAATGTGGTGGCATGTTCTTAGGAGAACTGCATAAGTCTAGATACAGCCCTCTTCATCTTGAAATAATTTTGGGTAAGAACCTTACACAAGGTCCCACATTTGACTTGAACTTGGTATTGAGTATGGACTAATGTTAGACACTGCTGTGGGTTAAAGGAGTCAGTTAATCTGATGCAACAGAGAAATTGAAATCAGAACCACTTAGAGCTGTTTCCTTAGCTCATTGCTTAAGCTTTTACAGAATGCATAATTATGAAAATTTATAGGTTTGTGGATTGTGGGGGACGTGTGGTTCAGAAATCTCTACTGACTAGTTCAGAGTCTCAAAGGGGAAGAAAATTGAAAGGGACATAAGGTTCTTATAGTTGATGAAGTCTCTAGCGTTAAAAATTGCTTATTAGTCTCTGTTAGTTGTTAAATTTTACAGCTGTTCTTTTTCTTTGGGTGGGAAAGGTGCAGGAAGAATCAAAGTTTTCAAATCAACAGGTTTTCTTGTGAATTCCACATTTTTTGAACAGACATTTTGAGATACAGAGAAAGCCTGAAACCAGATCTCTGCTTTTCTTAAAAGAAATCTTCCAGAATAACTGAGAAGCAGAACTGACATGTGAGGCGTCCACCCTCTCTGTCCCCTTCCCCTTCCCAGCTTCCCTTTCATATTCATTTTCATAGCTTTTTTTTCAAAAGTTTTATATTTTTCAAAATTGACATATAAAGGTTATATTTGTCATGTACAACATGTTTTGAAATCTGTATACATTTTGGAATGGCTAAATCGAGCTAATTAACTTATGCATGACTTCACATAACTCACATTTTTAGCTCACGCAGCGTAACTCAAGGTGACTGCTTGGCCCTTGAAAGTCTGGTCCTTGCCCACCCCAGCAGCTTTGGCTCTTTGCTGCCCATGTACTCCAGAACCACTGAACTTCCTTCAATTCCCAAACACTTTTCCTAAACACTCTGTCTTGCCTCTAAGTCTCCATCCATGCTGTTTCCTCTGCCTGAAACACTCCTCCCTCCTTTTTGTCTGGGTAACTCATACTCACCCTTCAAGTCTTCCGTTAGCTGTCCCTTCCTCTGAGAAGCCTTCCCTGTCATCAAAGTCTAAGTGTTCTTTCTATGTGCACCTGTGGTAGCTGGTTTTTAATTGACTTTGTTGAATGTTTCTATGAGACTATAAGTTTGGAGAAGGCATAAACCATGTCTGTGCTGTGCAGAGTTTGGTGGATAGGAGGTTCTCAACTTTTCATTGAATTCTTGCAATGAGTATTTCAGTGCTCAATTGTACGGTGCAGAAATTCCATGGAAAATCAGAGAAGAGAGAAATCAGTGAAGGCTGAAGTGATGAGTGAAAGTGGGACTTGACCTGAACCTATAATGATAAACTCCTTTGTGAAGTTTAACACTCTCTCTTCTACTTCCCTTTCTCCGCTTTTTTTTTTCTGTTTTTCATAAAATCATTCATTCATTCAGCAAATATTTAAGGGTCCAGTCTTCAGGCATTGATCTAGGTGGTGAAGATATAACAGTGAAAAATCCCTGCCCTCATGGAATATGTGTTCTAATAGACTAAATGGATAAAAATGGGTTAAATATAAGTCTAGAAAGTAGCTTAGTAGACTAGTAGGGCAATGAGGAGGCCAACTCGATGGGTGGGATATGTTACAAACTTGGACTTTGAATGGTTTTCCTTAAGAGCATAATTTTACTTGGGAGAGTAGGTGGGTAATAGGGAAGTATAAATAACTTCTGAGCAAAAGAGACTTTTCGTCTGTAACTGGTATGCAGACACTGAAAGTAAAAAGTCCAGCTTAGACAGGACTGCCAAAATATGGGTAATGATAGCCAGCCTGGAATAGTGTAGTAGGGGAGGGTTGTGGCAGAGAGGTAAAGATGAATAAGAGGGGTGTGTGTGTGCGTGCGTGTGTGTGTGTGTGTGTGTGTGTGTGTGTGTTTGGATTTTTTTTTAATTTAGCTATTGATTGATTGATCGATTGAGATGGAATCTTGCTCTGTTACCCAGGCTGCAGTGCAGTGGCACAATCGTGGCTTACTGCAGCCTCCACCTCCCAGGCTCAAGGAGTTCTCCCTGCCTCAGCTTCCCAAGTAGCTGCGATTACAGGTGTCCACCACCATGCCTGGCTCATTTTTTTTTTTTTTTTTTTTTTTTTGAGACACAGTCTTGCGGTTTCCTGGGCTGGAGTGCAGTAGTGCGATCTCGGCTCACTGCAACCTCCGCCTCCCAGGTTCAATCGATTCTCCTGCCTCAGCTTCTAGAGTAGCTGGGATTACAGGTGCCCACCACCATGCCCAGGTAGTTTTTTGTATTTTTAGTAGAGATGGGGCTTCACCATGTTGGCCAAGCTGGTCTTGAATACCTGTCCTCATGGTTCACCCACTTCGGCCTCCCAAAGTTCTGGGATTACAGGCGTGAGCCACTGCGCCTGGCCTGCCTGGACGATTTTTATATTTTTAGTAGAGATGGGGTTTTGTCATGTTGACCAGGCTGGTCTAGAACTCCT
Source organism: Homo sapiens (assembly GCF_000001405.40). NCBI lineage: Eukaryota > Metazoa > Chordata > Mammalia > Primates > Hominidae > Homo > Homo sapiens. The sequence goes on along the minus strand of NC_000008.11, from coordinate 18,726,983 downwards.
GACTTCAGGTGATCCTCCTGCCTCTGCCTCCCAAAGTGCAAGTGCTGGGATTACAGGCATGAGCCACCGCACCCAGCCTAGCAATTTATTTTCTAAAGAAAATTTCCTAGATGGTGGACTGTCTGGATAGTGGAAATAAAGGACAGGGATGAGTTAAGACTATCTAAAGTTAGAGCCCCGAAGCGTGGTTGGAACATTAAGATAGTAGTTTTGGTTTAGTTGGAATGAAGGTATTTTGCATAAGCTGAATCTGAGATTTCATTAGACCTAGGTTCATTCAGTTGATACCTATTAAGCATGTTCTAGGGGTTATAAAGATGCAACAGAACAGACATCGAGTTCATGTTCTAATAGACTCTGAGATGAGAAGATAGAATTGTTTGGAAATCTTTCGCCATGAGCATGAATTAAAGTCATGGGAATGGATGGAGATTTGGGCCTAGTTCTAGGTAGCAGATAATCCTGTAGTTTATTTAAACCTCTATATTTAGGGTTTGATATAATAACGTAATGATTATAATCAGCTATACAGCAGTTGATATTAAAATAAGGATACAAGAGAATATTGGGGAATTACAGTGGATCTTTTAAGCAGCTATGTTCCTTTTCTGTATGTGGAAGACGATAAAAGACATTTCTTTGTCTTTAAATTCTAAGCTGTTATTTCATTAAAGTTCAGTAACTTAATGTCTCTGGCTGCTTATTACTTGGCAATATCTCACTAGCTCATCGATGTCAGTGTAGGCTGGTCTACAATAAATGCATAAAAGAAACAGAGGCCAGTGATTCATATGATTTTTAAACAGATTTGGCACAGGAGTGCCTTTCTGGGTTTAGGGAAGTGGTGGACAAGGCAGGAGAGAACCACATTCATCTTCTCCTCTTGTGTTTGTCTTCTGTCTTTCAATAACGTCCATGAACTGTGAGGTTAGTGTCTTGGCTGAGAGATAAGTATGGCTTGGCATTGATTCTTCTGTTGTTACCTCAAGCTGTTTTCTAGTCCCCAAGAACAGCACTCTCAGTGGGTGTGGAAGTGGGCGGGACATGAAGCAATGGTTTTACATTGCATTGCCTGGCTACAGCTTGGCATTTCTTTCCTTTTTCTTTTTCTTTGCGTCATTGCCATTGGTGCCACTAATTTTGCTTCCCCTCTCTTTTATAACTTGTTTCTTCGGGAGTTGCCTAGAGTCTCTGCATTATATCTTATTTGGTATTGAGGCAGTGTGTTCTTGGCCAATAACCTAGGAGATGATATCTGTTCATCTTACAGGTTTAGTGCTGGAGGAATTCATTAAAAATAATAATAAAACAAAAAGGAAAAATAAAAGTTCCTTTCAGTGGGTCTTCTTCTTCCTGTCCCTGGCTGTCCTTTACTTTGGGACATGTACTGACTCCATTTTAGATGTCCCCGTCTCTCAAAAGAGGGGAAAGTGGAACATGAGGTGGGAGGGTGATAGAAAAGAATGCCAAGCCCATTGTCCCCAGTGGTTCCAGAAATCAAAAGCTAGCCCGCTTGAAGGAAGTATAATGGATTTCTCCCCTTTAGGACAAAGTGGGATTGGAATACTTTGTTTTTCATCTTTCTTCTGACCCCAACCAAGGAAATCTATAATATTCAGTTCTTTGAAGATCTGATCCTACTTATATTTTCTCCTTTTGATATTTCTGTCCCTTGTCTGTTTGTAGCCCCTCTTCCAAAAGCTGACTGCAGGAAAAGAGAAAGATTACTATTTTCTAAGTTTCCTAAAAAATAAAAGAGTTCTTGGGGGGCTTGCGTCGCGTTAGACCTAAAGGATGGATAGAATTTGGGTGGATTGGAGTAGAGGCTTACTCCAGGCATGGGTTACATAGGAAATATGATGGGGAGCCAATACGTAGAACCTGTTTGCTGCACTGAAAACTTTAATGGAAGTTTATTTGGTAGAAAAGAACAAGGAAATTAGATTTGCTCAATGATTCCCAACATGGTAGAATTCTGTTCACTTTGTCTTTTAAAATCCTTTTACATGACTTTTCTTTTTCTTTCTTTTCTGAGCCACTAATTTTGCCTAAGCCCACCTGCCCATTCCACATCTCCCATTGTTCCCATCTAGTTGTTACGATTGTTCTTTGACCACATATTTCTCCTTATATCCAGGGACGCAGACTGTTAGTTAGTTATATGTTATTTCCTTGCTGCTTTTATTCATGCCTTCATTTATTTTTCCATTTATTAATAAGCTTATTTGTTCTTGAATCATTTGTTAAGCCCATGTATCTTTCTCAAATGAGGAATTACGTGCCCACATTAACTCTCTACACTTCCCCCGCCAGGTCCCCACCAGCAGAAAGAATTATTTTATTTTTATTTTTATTTTTATTTATTTTTTTTAGAGACAGGGTCTCACTCTGTCACCCAGGCTGGAGTACAATGGAGTGATCATAGCTCACTGCAGCCTCAGACTCTGGGCTCAAGTGATCCTCCTGCCTCAGCTTCTTCTCAAGTAGCTGGGATTACAGGTTCACACCACCACACAGCTCATGTTTTATTTTCTGTTGAGATGGGGGTCTCGCTATGTTGCCCAGGCTGGCTTTGAACTCCTGGCCACAAGAGATGCTCCTGCCCTGACCTACCAAAATGCTGGGATTACAAGCATGAGCCACCACACCTGGCCCAACAGTAAGAACTCTAAGGAGATTTCTGGCTTTAATATTACTGCTATTTGTTTTGCCCAATATGATTTTGCCTCATTTTTCTTCTTCCATTTATAGACCGCTGTAATAGCCTTGGTGACAGGCATTACCCCTCTACTCGTCCTGATGCTGAGATCTCTAATCCACATGATTCTTCCACCCCTACCTGCTTATAAAGAATCCAAACCCTAGGCTCATATTTTCATCTTCTTTTTAGTATTTTCATTCTTCTTATGTCTATTATCATTAACCCTCAAAAGAATAATTTTCTGTATAACTGTAGACATGTAAGTTTACAGATCTTTACTTGAGTTCATATGGCTGTGATAGTGTTTCACTGCTGTGACTACTGGAAGCTTCCTTAGGTATTCCATTGTGTATGGAAACGGAAGTTGCCAATCACATTAAATTAATTTCTGCCTCAGGAAACATGAGAGATTTAAAATCAATAAATGATTTTTCAGTGACACTGTCAGGGAAAATCAAATCTTCTAGAAATTTAAGTCAGAATTAAAAATGTGTTCTTAAAATGTATTTATTTTTATGTACTTGGCTTTCATATGATAGTTTATTTTAAAAAGGCTACCGTACTTTGCTATGTTTATACTTACCAGTGTCATTAATCTGTAAACAGTGCAGTGCCACTGACATATTCTTTGAACCATTAGTGTATGGAAGGCCTCGGGAGAGATGGTACTGGAGATACAGAAGGAACAGGGTTTTTTTCCCCCACCTCAAAATAGAAAGGGAACTCTGTCATATGTCTTTTTGTATTTCTTTCAGGATGTCGCTCTGTGCTAAGCATTTAATTGATCTTCAGTAGAGAAACGCCTAAGGAACTAACTTAGATTATATTAAAATAGCTACTGAAGATCTTTTTAATGACTTTCTATAAAATGAGAAAGTGCACTGGATGATGAATGCAAAAATGAAAGAAAAATTAAATCCATATATGCACAAAGGCATTTGCAGAGTTTGCATGACAGCTCATTCCTAAGTATTACTTATGGCACTTAGCTTTCTATGCAGAGAGTAACAATAACAGTAATATTGATCGTTACACCTGGGCTTTTCAAACAAGCTAGAACACACGTGTCATCTGCAGCCACATGTCCTTCATGTGCTCCTGGGTTCATGCACTGCCCACGGAGGAAATACTGTGGGTCACTCTTAAGAGGCATGAGTTTTGCTGTGTCAATTCAACGGAGCATGGTTTGTTTGTTCGTTTGTTTCTTTGTTTTTCTCAAGCACCTGTTTGTCCATTTGCATGCCAGTATTATGGAAAACATTTTAAAAGTATGAGTTATGTTGCATGTTCTTCATCTTAATGGTTTAAATAGGGAAACAAAACTGATAACATGTAAAACAGCTAGCAAGGGACATACGGCATTCTATAATTGTTGCTCATTGTGGGGTTCGCATAACGGGTGCTGAAATAGTTCAGAAAATTAGAGTTTGGAGGGCATATTGTACTCCAGTAATGCTCCTTGGGAGTGATAGAATTTGAATGGGCTCTATAGATAGATGAGATTTAGGCAGATGGAAGGGGGCGCTGGTCAGAGGCAGCCTCAGGGCATCCCAGGCCGAAGAGGTCAGTATGCTTTTCTCCCTCATCCATTATTGCTTCTTCTTTCTCCTCCTACTTGGTTTCAGTCTTTTGGAAATGAGATTGACATCTTTCTCTAATGATTATATTTAGATACATTTATTCACATCTGTACTTCCTTCAGGTGGAAATGAAGGGGGAGGAAATGGAGAGAAAGAATTAATGTTTTCCATTTTTTAAAGATTAAGTTTATTCTTAGTGTGGATTACGTATTACTCACTTGAAGGGAAACCTTTTACAAGGCCATCTAGATAAGAGAAATCTCAGATTATCAACTGTGATTAGTGTTTTCAACTGCACTGGAAACAGAACATATAAGAACATGGATATTTTTAGATTCTGATTTAACTCTTTTATTCTATTTGCCAGCTCTAAAAAGTAGACTGAGCAAAGGTAAGGGTGAGTGCTGCTGCTTTAAAAAAGGGAACAACCAGCTTCTTGTCTAGTTAGGGAATCTCTTAAGACTCTGTCACATACATTTTAGTCCCACTGACATATTACTCCCACCTCCTTGTGGGTAGTAAAGTTAAAATGTTTTAAATGTTCTTTGATCGTCCACCCACCGATCTAGTAGACTTTTAAGTTCAATACCGCAGCTGGGAGAAAGGGGAGTTGAAATTCAATTTTTACTGTTAAAAACAAGGCTCAACAATCATAGTCTGTATGTCTGCACCAGTTTAGAAATTGTAACAATAAATTGGCTTCCGCTTTCAAATGTGTTGTTAGTCATCACACTTTAAATTACGTGGCATTACTATGTGTGACCTACTTAAAAATGGTTGTCCCTTCAGTGGGAACAATATGTGTGCAGCCATTGGGTGTCTCGTAGGCCTTTTAAAAAGCTCACTTTTAATGCAACACATTTTGAACATCAACACATTAAATAAATACTTACTATGATTCTTTACTGGCTGGATTTTATTGGGTAAAGAAGTGTGATCAGTCTTTAGGGAACGATTTAGTAAACAGTTACACTAGCAAATGCCTCCCTCTTGCCCTGTGTTAATAGGACACATATTCCAGAATGATCATCGGTTTATGCAGTATGGTTCCTGGAACAGGAGTCCAAAGACCCAGGCCCATCTCTGGTCTTGTTGTTACACAGCTTCATGGCCTTGAGCATGTCACCTAACCTTATACAATATCACCTTCCTCATGTATAAAATGAGACATTGCATTATTGTCTCAATAAACGTCAATCTTTTTAACTTCTAAGGCTTTAATGGTCCCAGCTATGCTATAGAACTTCAAGGAAAAACAAAAGGATAAATACAGCAGTTCCTGGTCTTGGGTGGCTCAAGCACTTGGTCCTAGTTACTTGGGATACAGTTAGTTCATTCTGATAGACATTTGTAGGCATGTCTCAAAATGAGTCTTACATAGCACCCCTGGGTGCCTTCCCCACCCCTTTGGAGCCTGTATTGGAACATTGGCAGGTTTTTTTTTTTTAATGAAATAATCCTTAAAGAGAAATCAGTGATTGATAAAACAGTATCAGAAATTGCACACACCTTGTTTTGCTAGCCAGAAGTGAGTTTTCAGGGGTGTCCGGTGGGACAGATGGCGATGACATGAATCACTAGGGCTCTTCGGGTGAGAAGGGCCTTTGCTCCGAGTGGGATGTGGATTGTGGGCTTTTCTGCAGAGACTTCTTTCCCCAAGAAAACCAGTAGAATGCTAGTGATGTAAACTCCTTGTTCACATTGACAGATGAACCTTTCTCCTCAGTATGAATTTTTTTCTTCATCTTGTCTTTTTTAAATAGAGGCTTGTTTTTGCCCTCAGATCCTGGGGTTTGGGAGAGAGTGATATCAAATAGGAAAAAATAAAACCTTTAAGGCATCACTACAAATAATAAATCACTGCTTTGGAATGTGACCCTTTAACCTCATTTTATTTTCCTGAAGACTTGGATTGTTGTAATTATGTGTGTGTTTAAAACGCACTGAGCAAATGCATCGGCGCTCCTGTGACTGGTATTGTATGCCATCTGCAGAGCACTGTGGGGGTGGCCAGGCAGGGAGGATGGGTTTGTACTAAACACTGGATTTTTCTTTTAATTTTACTGGCACATTCAGTATGTACTTCTGTAAGAATCAATTTTCATTTCACTTTTTGGTCATTTTGCATGTATTTTGTATTTATGTCCCACTCAAGATCTTCTAATTCTTGCCAATTGTTAATTGCTGTAAACACATATAATTCCAGGTAGTCTGAGGATATGGATAGAGGTTTGCTTTTGTTGTTGTTTTTAACTCTGGTTTCTTAGATTGCTCATCCTTGACTTAATAAAATTATACCCTTTTCCTAGATATTTTATTAAAATGTGTTGTCAATCCAAAGAGTCACCTTAAGAGGCTCAGAGAATCCAATTGTGGTAAAATGTGTAATCCAGTAAACATCTGGTGGTTCATGTTGCCAGGAATGATTGGAATGTGCCTGGTACTTTAATGACCATTTTAATAAAATATGGTTATGTTTTTGGATTCAAAGCAGGAGCTTTGAGGGTTTTTTGTTTTTTTGTTTTTGTTTTCCAACTTCTCTGCTTGCAAGGGAATATCTGCAGATTTTCTCTACATATATGAGTTTCCCATACATTGGAAATGGCAGTAGTCCCTAATGAGTTGGGTCAGAATGGGGCAGTCATAACTGCCCATGGAATTCTATTTTACATTTTAGGGCATTAAGGGCAAGAAAACTTACGTATCTTTACCTTTTTGGGTTTCGATATGAGAAATATGATGCATATATCGCTATGAACAGAAGAGGCCTGGTTGGTATTCTTTAATCCTTCGTGTTTATAGAGCCTGATATACAAAAGAACTATTGTCTAAAAAATCTTTGACAAAGCAAAATATACAGAGTTTTGCTATCTAGATATATGCTATATTCCTACAGAGCTTTCTGGTTAAAATGAAACCAGCTCTAAAGAATAGATTTAGGTAACTTGAAGATTAAAAATAAAATAAACTAGAATAAACAAGTCAGGCTTTCTCAAAGTTGGAGGTGTCCATGAATAGATCATACTATCTCGGGAAATAGTGGGTTCCTTGACCTGCAAATGTTCAAGAATAGTTGTGCAATTAGGATGTTGAACAAGGGGCTCAGCTAAACGAGTAAATGAGTATTTGGAGTAAATGATTTTTAAAGTCTTGTTCAAGTGAGATTCTATAGTATCTGTTTTGATACAGTTTTATACAAATATGAATATTGTTTTAAAGCAGTATGACTAGTAGCACATAATAAAGATAATGTCCTTGACCTGTCTTTTGCTTCTGCCAGGGTTGTGTATGTGGCTTGAGAAAATTCTTTTTCTCTGGAGTTCTCTAAAACATGGAATAAAGCAAAAGTCTGGATTTAGTAGTTTGTACAAGCCATAAACTCAGTTTCAGATTTTTAAAATTTCAGTTAAAAAGTCAAGGTCAGAATGCAGTCTTGTTTAGAGGAACTCTGTGTATTGTACCCAGGAAACTTTTCACTTTGACAATCTCAGTGGCGTCCACTCATACCCATCTTCCAGGGTGCCTTCTAGACACTCGTTTATTGGCCAAACAGAGCAGAGCGCTTCTGAAGCAGGCTGCGGGACTATCCGAAGTCACAGCCACCTAATTTTCGATCTCTGTCTTAGCTTTTTCCTTTTAGCCTCATTCTCCTGATCTAGGATAACTCTGTTATCACTTACATTCTTTAATGCTTTATTCCCACAAGATCTCTACATCAGCTGGTTGACAGCTCCACAGATAATTGTAGCAGTCAAGTGGAGACTGAAGGTCTGTGATGTCTTTTTTTGAATGTTGTCTTGGCTTTTGTGCTGAACTCTGCTCTCCCCATTGCCTCCTTTTTGTAAAACCTGATTTTCCCATTTTAGTTTAGGTGGGGTTTTTTTGCACCAAACGACTTTCAAACTCATTATTAATGTCTCTAAATTATAAAATTTCCTTGACCTCCTACTCTCTTCTGTCATCATTTCCTGTTTTTCTTGTACCATATGTCATCTCCTAAAGGTTTTTAGCGGTTTTCTTCAGATTATATGACATTTCGGGTCTTAGGAGAGTGCTATGTTCAAAAGCACAGCTAATACATGAATACATGTGATACTTTTTGTTAATATTCTTCTGATTATAAAATGTATTAAACATTTGTTTTAGCAAATCTGTAAAGTTTTAAAAATGCATCAGTATTCCCAAAGCTGAGATAACTGTGTTTGAATATTCCCTTCTAGTCCTGTATATCTGTCTATGAAGCTAAATGATCTAACCTCTTTGTAATCCCTGTCTCTGCCTACTTCACTGCAAGAACAAACAAACCAAAGCACACACATAATAATATGCTAAAGCTACAAATCTTCTTTTATAATTCCCTATGGGGAAAAGTAAAGTTAATTTGAGCATGTAATGGATAACATGGGAAAATAGGTAAATATTGCTGTGATTCTAGATGAATGTAGATGAATAGAGGAATTAATAAAATAAAAGATTGTGAGGGTAGAAGACTATTACATACAAGGTAACCTTGTTGAGGGTGTTGTTTTAGGAAATGGCGACAGGGTAGGGGTGTGGCAGCTGCTCCAGGAGGTAAGATACAGTCAGAGCTTCAAGGGCTCACTAGGGCAGGGTGAAACTAATTCCATTTCTGCCGAATGTGCTTGAAGAAAGACTGTTAAACCCTTGGACAGAAGTGGGAGGCAATACACAAGCACATGAGTCCCAGAGGCAGGCCGCTGGGTGCCGTCTTGGAAGCTGGCCATCACCAGTCCCACTGAGCCAGCTTCAGCATTTAGTCTAATCCTATGGAGCATTTTTTGTGTTCTATTTACCAAGTCTCACCGCAGAGAATTTAATGTTCGTAAGGGAGCTAGAGCAGGCAAAAGTTTATGAAATACAAAGAAAATGAATAGTTCAGATTTATGTGTGAAAAGAATTACAAGGCAGGCTGTATGGAGAGAAGGCAAAGGGAATATTTTGTTTTGCTTTTTTATCTTTCTAACTGAGTCAAAAAGTCAGGAGTTGACTCAAGTGGTTATAGTGTGACCCTTCATCAAAGCCAGTATTGTGGCTGCTTTGGAGAAAGTAAAAGAAATTAAATTTAACATACAAACATATAAAATATATAATATAACAAATTTGTTTAAAATTGATTCCCTTTCTGCAATTTTGCTTCATGGTTGGTTTTTTTTTAACTGGAGCAAAATATGTTTTGGCTCAAAAGCTTGCAACATTAACATTGTATAAAGAAAAGCAAATTAGAACATTCAGACCACATTTATAATGGGTGACCTCATAACAGTAATAAATGCTCCTGGCAGAAGCATAATAGTTGCTAAACTAGGCATGTACTTATAGCAAGAACTCCTCACTCCCATTCTGGAACAATTTTTAAATTGACCTTTTCTTTTAAGTGGTTCTGCTCCTTAAGAAAGTGGCCCGTTGCAAATGGATGTTAGTATAAAATGGTTACTTTTTGAAAAAAAAATTAAAATAAACGTAATTTGGTTAATTTTATTTTTATTTCATTCTCTTGTTTGAGTTTGAAATGTTTTGGCTTTAGGTTGCATATTGGAGACGGGAACAAAAAAACCTTTAAGACTGTTTAAAATAGGTTGATTTTAGTGCTGGAAGCTAATTTCGTTTTTGTTTCTAACTAGGAAGAATCTCAGGATTTTAAGTCCAGAGGTCTGAGTTTTGTTTTTTAGAAAAAAACTTACCCTTGATTAACCACATCTTCCTGGAGCCTGGCAAGAGGTGGGTGTCCAGGCTTGGGCCTGCTACCTTTGGCTACTCCTCTTGGTCTTAGAGAAGGTAGAGATGATCATGCTCACACATGTGCTGTATCCGTGAGGGAGTTATAGATTGAGAAATATTACCTTTTAGGCCTTTTTTAATTGAAAAAGTTACTCCATAGAAGATCAAATGAAGTCACTTTAAAATTGTACATTTTTAAGCTATTGATGTAAATCAAGCATGGAGAACAGTTTATAGAACTACAATGGTCTATTAAGAAAGGTTATTCAGAACATGTTATTCCTCTGCTTAAAATCCTCATCCTATAACATCCTTCTACACTTAGGAAAATACATTTAGACTCCTTATCAAAGCTTGCAAGACTTACTTGAACTGGGTCTTGAATACCCTCCCTGCCTCATCTCTCATTATTTCCTCTCCCACTGCCCAAGCTTCAGCCACCCTGGCCATCTTGCTGCTGTGTGAATACACCAAGCTCATTCCCACTCTCAGCCTTTTGTTTCACCCACCTGGAACACTTCCTTTCATTGGCTCCTCATTAATCAGGGGCCTGCAAGAATGTTGTGTTTTCATAGAGGCATTTTTCCATTTATTCCACTGCAGAGCCCGGAAAGGTAAAAACTATATTTCCCTCTCCTCTTGCTGCTCAGGTTCTGGTTGTGGTTTGATGCCACCGTCAGACACACCATATGAGGTGTGTAAGGTGAGTGTGGACCATGAGTGGTAAGTATGGATGTGGGCGTGTTTCGTAGACATTCAGCCTTGAAGTTTTTCTTTGACCTTTCCAGCAATCAACTGTTTAATACCTGATAAATCATGTTTTAAGCTAGCTAACTAGATTTTGTTCTCTGCACTCATGGCCTGACCAACAATTGGGCCATGGCCATCCTCTTTGAAATAGCACTCACCCACTCCTGCCGTTATGCTCTGTCCTCTTACCCTACTTTTGTTCGTTAAAGCACCCAGAGCAACCTGAAGCAACCAATGTATTTGCTTATTCCTTTGTTAGCCAGCTCCCTCACTCAAATCTATGTTCTATGAAGTTAGATGCTTTGCATTTTTACTGCTGTGTCTGTCTCTACCTAGAACAATGCCTGTCACATAGTAGGGACTCAGTAAATATGCGTTGGATGTACTTATTTGCTACAGTTTTTTGGTAGCTGCCTGGAGGGTTGGAGTAAGAAGAAATTGCAGATTGCAATGGGGTTCAAGAAATGAGCAGTATTATTAGTAAGTGGTGTTTGCCATGGGTTCTAGAGCAGCAGAGCCCTGTTGCTATGCCTGCCATAGATTATAACAACTGAGGTAGAGCATTGATGCCTGTGTTTGGGAAACACTTCCAAGCGATTTTGCTTTTTTAAAAATTATGTTTTATTTAGCTCCAGAGACAAAATCTAAAGCCTTCTAGTCTGTAGGAAAAACATTCCATTTTAAAATTTCTGTCAGTTTATAAGTCATTAAGTTAGAGTTTGTAGAGCACTTACTCTTTAATAATTTGAATGAGGATAATTCAAGGAATAGCAAAATATTGGCTTTCCTGAAAGTGTTGAATTACATACATGGATACATTAATAATATGTTTCTTAGATCTGCTTAATCTAGGTCAATGCTTTTCAAAGTGTAGATTGTAACCTATTAATGGGTCATTATGTTAATTTAGTGGTTTGTGACTAGCATGTTTTTTTCTTTTAATTTTACATGTGCAGGATGTGCAGGTTTGTTACATGGGTAAACGTGTGCCATGGTGGTTAGCTGCACCTATCAACCCATCACCTAAGTATTAAGCCCAGCCTGCATTAGCTATTTTTCCTGATGTTCTCCGTCTTCCCACCCCCTACAAGGCCCAGTGTGTGTTGTTTCCCTCCCTGTGTCCACGGGTTCTCCTTGTTCATCTCCCACTTATGAGTGAGAACATGCAGTGTTTGGTTTTCTTTTCCTGCATTAGTTTGCTGAGGATGATGGCTTCCAGATCTATCCATGTCCCTGCAAAAGAAATGATCTCATTCCTTTTTATGGCTGCATAGTATTCTATGGTGTATATGTGCCACGTTTTCTGTATGCAGTCTATCACTGATGGACATTTGGGTTGATTCCATGTCTTTGATATTGTGAATAGCACTCCAGTGAACATACACGTGCATGTGTCTTTATAACAGAATAATTTATATTCCTTTGGGTATATACCCAGTAATGGGATTGCTAGATTAAATTGTATTTCTGGTTCTAGGTCTTTGAGGAATTGCCACACTGTCTTCTACAATGGTTGAACCAACTTACATTCCTACCAGCAGCGTAAAAGCGTTGCTGTTTTTCCAAAGCCTCACCAGCATCTGTTGTTTCTTGACTTTGCAATAATCACCATTCTGACTGGTGTGAAATGGTATCTCATTGTGGTTTTGATTTGCATTTCTCTAATGACTAGCGATATTGAGGGTTTTTTTCATAAGTTTCTTGGCTGCACGTATGACTTTTGAGAAGTATCTGTTCATGTCCTTTGCCTGCTTTTTGATGGGGTTGTTTGGTTTTTTTTTTTTTTCTTGTAAATTTAAGTTCCTTGTAGTCTCTGGATATCAGACCTTTGTCAAACGGATGTTTCAAACATTTTTTCCCATTCTGTGGGTTGAATGTTTGCTGTGATGATAGTTTCTTTTGCTGTGAAGAAGCTCTTTAGTTTAATTAGATTTCATTTGTCAATTTTTACTTTTGTTGCAGTTGCTTTTGACATTTTCATCATAAAATCTTTGCCCATGCGTATGTCCTGAATGGTATTGCCTAGATTTTCTTCTAGTTTTTCCAGTTTTGGGTTTTACATTTAAGTCTTTAATCCATCTTGAGTTAATTTTTGTATAAGGTATAAGGAAGGGGTACAGTTTCAATTTTATGCATATGGCTAGCCAGTTTTCACAACACTATTTATTAAATAGGGAATCATTTCCCCATTGCCTGCTTTTGTCAGGTTTGTTGACGATCAGATGGTTGTAAATGTGTAGTCTTATTTCTGAGTTCTCTTTCTGTTCCATTGGTCTATGTGTCTGTTTTTTGTACCAGTACCATACTGTTTTGGTTACTGTAGACTTGTAGTATAGTTTGAATTCAGGTAGTGGGATTTCTCCAGGTTTGTTCTTTTTGCTTAGGATTGTCTTGGCTGTACAGACTCTTTTTCGGTTCCATATGAATTTTAAAATGATGTTTTCTAATTCTGTGAAGAATGCCAATGGTAGTTTGATTGGAATAACATTGAATGTATAAATTATTTTGGGCAGTATGGCCGTTTTCATGATACTGATCCTTACTATCCATGAGCATAGAACGTTTTTTCATTTGTTTGCATCATCTGATTTCCTTGGGCAGAGGTTTGTCGTTCTCCTTGAAGAGGTCGTTCACTTCCCTTGTTTGCCATATTCCTAGGTATTTTATTCTCTTTGTAGCAATTGTGAATGGGAGTTCATTCATGATTTGGCTCTCTGCTTGTCTGTTGTTGGTGTATAGGAATGCTTATCATTTTTGCACATTGATTTTGTATCCTGAGACATTGCTGAAGTGACTTATCAGGTAAAGAAGCTTTTCAGCTGAGATAATGGTGTTTTCTAGATATAGGTTTATATCATCTGCAAACAAAGACAATTTGACTTCTCTTCCTATTTGAATACCCTTTATTTCTTTCTCTTGCCTGATTTCCTTGGCCAGAATGTCTAATACTGTGTTGAATACGAGTGGTGAAAGAGGGCATCCTTGTCTTGTGCCGGTTTTCAAGGGGTGTGCTTCCTGCTTTTGCCCATTCAGTATGATACTGGCTGTGGGTTTGTCATGAATGGCTTTTATTGTTTTGAGGTACGTTCCTTCAATACCTAGTTTATTCAGAATTTTTAACATGAAGGGATATTGAATTTTATCAAAGGTCTTTTTGGTATCTATCGAGATAATCCCGTGGTTTTTGTCTGGAGTTCTGTGTATGTGATGAATTACATTAACTGATTTGCATATGTTGAACCCGCCTTGCATTCCAGGGATGAAGCCAACTTCATCATGGTGGATAAGTTTTTCAATGTGCTTCGGGATGCAGTTTGCCAGCATTTATTGAGGATTTTTGCACTGGTGTTCACCACGTATGTTGGTTTGAAGTTTTCTTTTTTTTGTTATATCTCTGCCAGGTTTTGATATCAGGATGATGCTGGCCTCATAACGCGAGTAAGGGAGGAGTTCTTCCTTTTCAATTTTTTGGAATAGTTTCGCATGAAATGGTACTAGCTCCTGTTTGTACCTGTGGTAGAATTCAGCTGTAATGCATCTGGTCCTGGGCTTTTTTGTTTGTTTGGTTGGGAGGCTATTTATTACTGCCTCAATATCAGAACTCAATATTGGTCTGTTCAGGGATTCAACCACTTCCTGATTCAGTCTTGGGAAGGTGTATGTGTGTATGTGTCTAGGAATATATCCATTTCTTCTAGATTTTCTAGTTTATTTGCATACAGGTGTTTATGGTATTCTCTGATGGTTGTTTATATTTCTGTGGGGTCAGGGATGATACCCCTTTATCATTTTTATTGTGTGTATTCAATTATTTTTTCTTCTTTATTGTTCTAGCTAGTGGTTCATCTATTAATTTTTTCAAAAAACCAGCTCTGGGATTCATTGATTTTTTTTTTTTGGAAGGATTTTTCATGTCCCTATCTCCTTCAGTTCTGCGCTGATTTTAGTCATATCTTGTCTTCTGCGGGCTTTGAGGTTTGTTTGCTCTTGGTTCTCTAGTTCTTTTAGTTGTGATGTTAGGTTGTTGATGTGAGGTCTTTGTAGCTTTTTGCTGTGGGCATTTAGTACTGTAAATGTCCCTCTTAACATTGCTTTAGCTGTGTCCCAGAGATTCTGGTACATTGTCTTTGTTCTCATTAGTTTCAGAGAACTTCGTAATTTCTGCCTTAATTTCATTATTTACTCAGGAGTCATTCAGAAGCAGGTTGTTCAATTTCCATGTAGTTGTGTGGTTTTATATGGGTTTCTTAATCTTGATTTCTGATTGGATCACTCTGTGGTCCGAGAGACTATTATGATTTCAGTTATTTTGCATTTGCTGAGGAGTGTTTTACTTCCAATTATGTGATCAATTTTAGAGTAAGTACCATGTGGTGATAAAAAGAATGTGTATTCTGTTGTTTCGGGGTGGAAGGTTCTGTAGATACCTGTCAGGTCTGCTTGATCCAGAGCTGATTTCAGGTTCTGAGTATCTTTGTTAATTTTCTCTCTTGACGATCTGTCTGATATTGTCAATGGGGTGTTAACATCTCCCATTATCATTGTGTGGGAGTCTAAGTCTCTTTGTAGGTCTGTTAAGAACTTGCTTTATGAATCTGGATGCTCCTGTATTAGGTGCATATGTATTTGGGATAGTTAGCTCTTCGTGTTGAATTGCATCCTTTACCGTTATGTGAGGCACTTCTTTGTATTTTTTTATCTTTGTTCATTTAAAGTCTGTTTTGTCAAAACTATGATTGTGACCCCTGCTGTTTTCTGTTTTCCATGTGCTTTTCCTCCCTCCATTTATTTTGAGCCTATTGTGTCTTTGCGTGTGAGATGGGTCTCTTGAAGACAGCACAGCAATGGGTTTTGACTCTTTCTCCAGCTTTCCATTCTGTGTCTTTTAATTGAGGCATTTAGCCCATTTACATTTAAGGTTCATATTGTTATGTGTGAATTTGATCCTGTCATCATGATGCTGGCTGGTTATTTTACAGACTTGTTAATGTAGTTGCTTCATAGTGTTATTGGTCTGTGTACTTCAGTATGTTTTTGTAGTGGCTGGTAACCATTTTCCCTTTCCATATTCAGTGCTTCTTACAGGAGTTCTTGCAAGGCAGGTCTGGTGGTGATGAATTCTGTCATCATTTGCTTGTCTGAAAAAGATTTTATTTCCCCTTCACTCACAAAGCTTAGTTTGGCCAGATATTAAATTCTAGGTCGGAAATTCTTTTTTTTAAGAATGTTGAGACCAGGCGCAGTGGCTCATGCCTGTAATCCCAGAACTTTGGGAGGCCGAGTTGGGCAGATCACCTGAGGCCAGGAGTTCAAGACCAGCCTGGTCCAATATGGTGAAACCCAATCTCTACTAAAAATACAAAAATTAGCTAGGTGTGGTGGCAGGCACCTGTAATCCCAGCTACTCAGGAAGCTGAGGCAGAAGAATCACTTGAACCTGGGAGTTGGACGTTGCAGTGAGCCTAAATCACGCCACTGCACTCCAGCCTTGGCGACAGAGAGAGACTCCATCTCAAAAAAAAAAATTGAATATTGGCCCCCAATCTCTTCTGGCTCGTAAGGTTTCTGCTGAGAGGTCCACTGTTAGTCTCATGGGCTTCCCTTTGTAAGTGACCTGGCCTTTTTCCCTGGCTCCCTTTAAGATTTTTTCTTTTATTTCAACCTTTGCTGAAGATTAGGTATCTTAGAGTTGTTCTTCTCATGGAGTATCTTACTGTGGTTCTCTGGGTTTCCTCAATGTGAATATTTGCCTGTCTTGCTAGGTTGGGGAAGTTCTCCTGGATGACATCTTGGAGTATGTTTTCCAACCTGGTTCTGTTCCCCCTGTCTCTTTCAGGTACCCCAATCAGTCGTAGGTTTTGTCTTTTTACATAATCTCATAGTTTTCGAAGGTTTTGTTCATTCCTTCTCATTTTTTTTCCCTCTAATCTTTTCTGCCTGTCTTACTTCAGCAACATAGTCTTCACCTCTGAGATTCTCTCCTCCACATGGTCTGTTTGGCTATTGATACTCATGGTTGCGTTGTGAAGTTCTCGTGTTGTGTGTTTCAGCTCCATGAGGTCATTTATGTTCCTCTCTAAACGGGTTATTCTGGTTAACAGGTCCTGTAGTGTTTCATCATGGTTTTTAGCCGCTTTGAATTGGGTTAGAACCCACTCCTTTAGCTCAGCAAAGCTTGTTATTACCACCTTGTGAAGCTTACTTCTATCACTTCATCTGTCTCAGGCTCAGTCCAGTTCTGTGCCCTTGCTGGAGAGGTGGTGCAATCATTTGGAGGAGAAGAGGCACCCTATTTCTTTTTAATTTTCAGTGTTTTTTCTTTGATTCTTTCTAATCTTTGTGAGCTTATTTACCTTGGATCTTTGAGGCTGCTGGCCTTTGGCTGGGGTTTTTGTGGTGTCTTTTTTGTTATTGTTGTTGTTGCTTTCTGTTTTTCTTTTAATAGTTAGGTCCCTCTTCCATAGGGCTGCTGTGGTTTCTGGGGTTCCACTCCACACCCTATTCACCTGGGTACCTCCCATACCTGGAGGTATCACCAGGGGAGTCTGCAGAACAGCAAAGATGGTTGCCTGTTTGTTTCTCTGGGAACTCTGTCCTAGAGGGACACTGACCTGATGCTAGCCAGAACTCTGCTGTATGAGGTGTCTGATGACTTCTGTTGGGAGGTTTCACCTAGTCAGGGGGCACAGGATCAGGGACCCTCTTGAAGAAGCAGCCTGGCTGCCCCTTGGCAGAACAGGTGCAGTGGGCTGAGGGGATTCCCACTTTTCTGAGCTGACCAGACTCCTCAGAGCCAGCAGGCGGGAGAGATTAAATCTGCTGAACCAGAGACAGTGGCCGCCCCTCCCGTCAGGGGCTCCATCCCAGGGATCAAGAGTTTTATCCTAAATCCCTGGCTGGAGTTGCTGGAATTCATGTGGGGAGACCCTGCCCAGTGAGGAGGGATGGATCAGGTCCCACCTAAAGAAGTCAGCCCATGATCTGCCACAGTCGCTGTGCTTCACTGTGGGGAATTCCTCCTGGTCTAAACTGCCCAGTCTCCCTGGCATCAGCAGGAGAAAACGGCCAATTGGAGCCACAGTGATGGCAGCCACCCCTTTCCCCAAGAACTTGGTCATCTTAGTCTCCAGCCTGCTACCGCTGTCCACAACCCGAGCAGCTGCTGAGAGTCTGCACAGCTCTGTGCATGGGACCCAAGGCCCTGGTAGCGTGGGTTCACAAGGGGATCTCCTGATCCGCAGGTTGCATAGATACTTGGAAAAAGCGTGGTTTCCCTGGTGGGGTAGTATGATCACTCTCCACCTCCCTTGACTGGAGGTGGGAGTTCCTCTTACCCCGTGTGGCTCTCAGGTTGGCCATTGTTCTACCCTGCTTTTTCTTGCTCTCCATGGGTCACGCCAACCACCTCATTAGTCCCAGTGAGATAATCCGGATCCCTCAGCTGAAGGTGCAGGATTCACTCACTGTTTTTGTTCCTCTGGGTGGGAGCCACAGAGGAGAGCTGCTTCTAGTAGGCCATCTTGACCTCTTTCTTGACTAGCATTTCTTTTATTAAAATGCAGTAGAAAATAGAGGGTATTATGCATATTTGCATCTTTTATGTACTGGGTCATGACGAAAATGTTGTCTGTTACAGAAGGTTAGAGTAAAAACTTTTGGAAAAACACGGAGAGACAGCTGTGTGGTCTGTAACTTATAAGTGATGGCTCTACTCAGAGGTACTGCTAAGACTGAAAGTTAGAAATTTTTCTGTGGAAAAAAAAAATTTTCTAATTTTTTTTTCAATCCCAGGCCTAGAGCTGCCATGAGGTGCTATATTCAGTATTCACATAGGTGGAAAGTGGAGAGAGAGCAGTTAATCACCCTTGTATTGAGCTAGGTGCTTTACCACAGTCTCTTATTTGGCCCTTCCATACAATGTAGAGGAATTACTGTTACTCTCATCCCTAAATCCTAAGAAAGAAAAGGAAGGTTTTTCTGTTGTCTTTATCCTTATATCCTCTTTGCCATATGTGTAAAGAAGGAAGAAAGAGTAAGTCTGAGGTTTAAAGTGAGCCCCATTAAAACTGTAAATTAGTCAGGATTCCTCTGTCTGTTTTCCCTTTCTCCCCTGTCTCCAGGATCAGACTGGGTACCTCTGCCGAGATTGTGAATAAATATTCTTTACATAATTGGCCAACATTTCTTTAAAAGCAAGGTGGTTTATTACCTGGTACAAGAGCAGAGAAGGAAATGTAGGTGGCATTGCCTAATCTTTCCTCTGTTGCCCTGAGCAATTCAGCTCTAGCCCCAAACTTTGATGTCCTACTTGGCCACATACTGCAGTCATTGTGACCTGTCTTCTGTGGAAGACATCAGTATCTGTCTGTTTGATTCAGGCTTTCCTTTTTGCGTCTCTTACTTCCCATCCCAAACTTTTCCATCTCAGACTGTACTCTTCGGGGAAGAAGTATAAGAATTTCTTCCTAGCTTACTATGTTTCTAATGAGCCTTATTTTATTATAATGAGCTAAAATTGGCAGGAGGTAACAAACATGGGCCCTGAATCCCAGCCGTACCACTT
Source organism: Homo sapiens (assembly GCF_000001405.40). Lineage (NCBI taxonomy): Eukaryota > Metazoa > Chordata > Mammalia > Primates > Hominidae > Homo > Homo sapiens. The sequence goes on along the minus strand of NC_000008.11, from coordinate 18,707,650 downwards.
CTGACCTCAAGAGTGTTATCAGTCATATGAGCTTTGCTGTCTCATCTGGAACATGGGAGTGATGATAATATCTATCTCATAGTCTTGCACTTTTTGTTTTTATAAGATCATTGATTAAAAAGTATTCAGAACTGCCTGGCAGTAGTAGCAAGTGTGTGTGTTGTGGGGCTGTCAACTGTAAATCCCAATCCTCCAATCTGCCAAGATAAGTAGGATAAGCCCTGCCCTGAAGCTGTTGGATTAATTTAGTCAGAAATCAATTTCATGAACACTTCTTGAGAATCTGCTACTTACCTGTTGCTGTGGGCTGTGTATAGAAAACTTCAAGGAGCTGATATTCATCTAGAAAAGTCTCATAGACTTGACACAGGAGCAGAGCAGTATAAAGGGGTAGTGCTGCTGTTGTGAATTGTCGGGTAGGTTTTCTGGAAAGGGGAAGAGGGTGAGCTTTGAGGCGTTTTTGAAGGATGGGTAGGATTTGGACAGGCAGAGAAGAATATGCAAAATCAGCACAACGAGAGAGTGAGTATATGATGTGTATACATGTGTGGAGTGGCAGCTGAATGGGAATAAGCGTAATAGGAACATGGAATTGCAAATGAGAAGTAGTCAAGATTGCATTGGATAGAATGCAGTATGGAAAATCCTGATTTCCTAAATGAGAATTTGACTTAGTAGTCAAGAATCTTTGCCTATTTCTTCCCTCATTCCCTTATAAAAATTAAATTTAAATGCCAGTTTATTAATTTAAATAAATGCTGTCTAAGCTGGTTTAACCAGGACATTCTTTCCTAATAGGTAACTAAGAAACCATATAATATGGTATACTCAGAAGGTTGCTTAGCTGGTGTGGCATCAGGACAAAGGAAGCTAGAGGTGGTGACTGTTTAATGTCATGAAGCTTAGGCAGCTTGATGTAGCCATTTCCAGTGAGGATGTGTTTGCCAAAGGTCCACAAACCTCACAGTTCATTAGATGCAGCTTCTATATCCATCTCCTTGCTAGGTGATTGCCAGCTGGATGAAAAATATATCCAAGCCCATTAGCTAAGGCTTTTTCTCCCCTGGATTGTGCATGGATGGGCACCACCAGTGCTCTTCTATATGGCTTTTTTGCTAATCTTCTTTGGCTGACAAATAGTGAACAATGATTATTTCTTTGGATATTGAAATGACTCAGTCAAGTTAGAATCAATTCCTTTTAGTTTGTTGACCTATCCTGTTGTTTTAAGGTTTTCTTTTTTTTAACCAATGTGTGTTTGTGTAATACATAGTTATAATAGAACAATTAGGAAATATAAATAAGCAAAACGAGAAAAAATTCTTCCATAATGACAATTTACAGCACAATATTGCATTGTGTATTTACTAAACAGCTTTTCTGAGTAACAAAGAACCCTAAAATCTTAATGGGTTGAAACAGGTATTCATTTCCCTTTTCAATTACTTTTTGGTGGCTACAGAACGGCTGTGGCAGAGCTCTGCTCTAAGCGTCTTCTCGTTGGGAGATCCATTTTGAAATAACAGTTGCTCAGTGACAAGCCCTTCCTGTGGTGGAAGGGAAGAACTGGACGCTGAGCCAACCTATACAGTGCATTTAAAGCTGCTGGAATGGGACATGGGCCCTATTTGTTCATAGTCCACTGGCCAAAGCAAGTTACATGGGTGTGGTCAACATCAATGGAGTAGGAAGCTTTCCTTGGGAAACCTTGGGAGTAGGATATGCAGTAGATATTTGTGAAAAGTAGTATTTTTGATACTCTTGATCACAAATATTCTTTTTCCACATACAAAATACGTTTGTATATAGCAATACAACAACCACATTCCACTTTCTTGATCACGAATACTCATTCCCCTCCAAAGGCAGAATATACTCAACTCCTCCCCAAAGAATAGTTACCCAGACATAGCCTATGTCACTTTCTTTAAGACTTTTTTAATATAGATATAGATGAACACATATTTAAGTGTGGTCTTCTTTTTTACCTATTAATATACTAAAAAGATCTTTACATATCAATATGTATTTCAACAGAATTTTAATATTTACACTAGATTTCATTTTATATGCCTTATGTTATTTAACGAATTTTTTTTTTTTTTTTTTTTTTTTTGCTTGAGACAGGGTCTGGCTCTGTCACCTAGGCTGAAGTATAGTGGCACGGTCTCAGCTCACTGTAACCTCTGCCTCCCAAGCTCAAGTCATCCTCCCACCTCAGCCTCCCAAGTAGCTAAGACTACAGGCACACGACACCACACCCAGCTAATTTTTCTATTTTTTTGTATAGGCACCGTCTTAAGCCATGTTGCCCTGGCTGATCTCGAACTACTGAGCTTGAGCAGTCCACCCGGCTTGGCCTCCCAAAGGGCTGGGATTACAGGCATGAGCCATCACGCCTGGCCTAGTCCCTCATTTTTAGACATTGTTATTGTTTTCATTTTTTGTTATTTTCAACAACTGCTTCAACTAAACATTTTTTCATTTCCTTAAGAATTACTGAGTCAAAGAATGAATGCAGATGTTTTTGTGCTTTTTATTTGTATTATTAATACAATAAATTGTCATCTAGGAAGGGTGTTCCATACTATTTCTGGGCCAGTTTGACTGATGAAATTAGTACTCATTGTCTCGATTTGCATTTTTGGTACTAGTTAATTTTTATTTTTCTTATGTTTATGGAAAACTTGCTTTCTTCATTTTGGGGTTGCCCATTTATTTTTTCCAATTTTTAAATTGAGATATTCATCTTTTTCTTAGTTGATCTCCAAAACCTTTTTATTTTTTTTAAACATTATTATTACCTTTGTCGTATATGCTGCTTATATTTTTGCTGGTTTGTCTTTTAACATATTATTTTTCTACTTTCAGTTTTTAATCATAAGCTGGACAAAGACATGAATGTTGTAGGAAGGCAGAATGAAAAGAACAAAGCAATAGAACTAGATAGGAAGTGTCTCAGCAACTTAGCAGAACTGAGATGGAAACTCACAATAAGGTTCTCTTATTGGGGCCAGACATGGTGGCTCACGCCTGTAATCCCAACACTTTGTGAGGCTGAGGCAGGCAGATCACGAGGTCAGGAGTTCAAGACCAGCCAGCCTGGCCAGCGTGGGGAAACCCTGTCTCTACTAAAAATACAAAAATTAGCCGAGTGTGGTGGCACGTCCCTGTAATCCTAGCTACTGGGGAGGGTGAGACAGGAGAATCACTTGAACCCAGGAGACAGAAGTTTCAGTGAGCCGAGACCACACAACTGCACTCCAGCCTGTGCGACAGAGACTCTGTCTCACAAAAAAAGGTTCTCTTATTTTCCTTTATACACGGAGTTTAAGGTCCCCATTGTGTAAGTTCATCTTGCTAGAACTGGTCCTCTAGTAAAGGGAGATTCTTCATTTAGAGTCTAGTAAGAAAAATAAATGTCCAGAGTAAAGCACATTCTTATTTCAGTAAAGGGTTGTGTGAAGCTATGGCATTTTTCTTACCCTTTAGTTGCCAAATGGTCTAAAGAACTACTAGCGTTTTAAAGAGAGGAAAGAAATGTATCTGTTTTCAGTTGGAAAGTAGCATTTTGGTACATCATGCTTTGCTTTGTTTCTTGCTTTTTCATCTTTTTGGCATCTTTTTTAAAGATCTTATCTGCCAGGAAGTTCCTTTTTTCTTTTTTTTCCCTTTTTCGTGGATCAGCTGCTTTTTGGAATCAATGCCACAATTTTAGGACCAAATCAGTGATGCTGCAGTAGTTTCAGGGTTAAAAGCACTTTGGTTAATGTGAAATTCATTGTCAAATATACTTCAGGACAAATTATGAAAATGATAGCATTGAGATTCAGCTGTATCCATTTCTATTCATGGCTTAATGAATATTTTCAGGCTTAGTGTTATATATTCTCATTAGCAACATATTCATGTTATTTTACTTATTTTAAAAAATAAACAACTAAAGGTTAGCCACCATCTTCTCGGAAATATTAACAGCATCCATTGTACTGCAGTCATCCAGTCTTCTGTGGAAGTCAGTTGCATGTTATTTACTTTAACAAAGAATTTCATGTCCAAGGGAATTCTCTATATGGGATCTCTTTTCTCTGGGTGATTTATTTTCACTGGCAAAATGGTACGTTTCTAGAGGTTTGTGTGCTTATGAGTTTGGTTTAAACTTTTCCTTGAAAAGTAAATGCTTGATCCCCTCAGAGTCCAACCACCTAGTGATAATGAAGAACTGAAGGATAGTTATTTCAATTTCGACGTCTTAAAAGTGCTTAATGAGCACCTTTTCATACCTTTAAGGGGACCTCTCTGTGTAAGTCTCTGAAGGCCCTTGCTGAGACATTGGTTCATCAGTGGCAGGCTCATTTGCATCTTGGTCCCTGAGCGGCTTCAGTGTGTTTTACAGCTGCAGAATGCACTGGAAACTTCTGCCCCTTTGTAGACTATTAATTCATTGGGGAGAAAAGCCCTCGTGACGAGGCAGTGGCATCTGCTGGTGGTGTTGCCTTCTTTTTCTTGTATTCCTTTTTTAACCAAAAAGTTAAGACATTTCCTTCAGCTCTCGACACTCTCAAATAAGGAGAGTTCCTCCCATTAGGATTTTTCACAGTTCTTGCCTCAGAAAAACACAAAAATCAAGATAATACCAGAAAAGACATGGAGAAAGACATTTTAGGAGAACATGAAAATGGCTATAGCAGGCACTACACAAAGCAGTAAAATGCCTCTTATAAAGAGTACCTATAGCTGTCCAAGCGCGGTGGCTCACACCTGTAATCCCAGCACTTTGGGAGGCTGAGGCGGGCGGATCATGAGGTCAGGAGATCGAGACCATCCCGGCTAACATGGTGAAACCCTGTCTCTACTAAAAATGCAAAAATTTAGCCAGGCGTGATGGCGGGCACCGGTAGTCCCAGCTACTCGGGAGGCTGAGGCAGGAAAATGGTGTGAACCCGGGAGCCGGAGCTTGCAGGGAACCGAGATCACACCACTGCACTCCAGCCTGGGCAACAGAGCGAGATTCCATCTCAAAAAAAGAAAGAAAGAAAGAAAGAGTACCTATAGCTAGAAGAGAAAAATTGTAATGCTCCCACCACAAACCAAAGATAAATGTTTAAGGCGATGAATATCCCAGTTACCCTGACTTGATCATTGCACATTGTTGTGTATATGTGTCAAAAGAACACACATACCCCTAAAGTACGTACAACTATGATTCACAATACAAAAAGGGGAAAACAGTACCAATTAAGGTAAAGATGTGCTACCAAAGATGTGCTAACATTTTACATGATTTCCATCTCATAACTCTTAGAACAACCCATAAAGTAGGTTACCTATGTACATAAACACACACCAAAAAATTTCCTCCATCACCAAAATCAGGTGATGTTTTGAAGTCATCCGGGAGAATGTGGATCTGAGAGATACATTTCCAATATATTTCAAGATGATCTTAAACATGTAGAAAGACCTGTCGGTTACAAATTGATTATTTCAGCCTTCCTCTACAGATGGACAAGTTATTGGTGTAAATACATGGCAGCTGTAAATATCAGTCGGAGTATCTGAAGTCACTCCCAGGATTCCTGGGAAAACATTCTGCCTTGGGAAGTAAAATGCTGAAACGAATGCACTCTTAAAGGGGTTTTGTTTTTGCTTCTTTTTTGTTTTCAGCTCTTTCATGTAATTTCACATAATTTGTAGGCAAAAATCCCAAGAGCCGTAAATGGTCCTGTGAACATAGTATTTCACACCAGTGATATTTTCATGTTTTTTTGTCGGTTGAAAAAACCTGAGATGAAATAGTGTTCATAAATCTCTACTTTGTACGTAGATTTTTACTCCCTCAGGAAAGCTCATGGCTATGCAGTTGTAAAGCTCTTATATTTGGTAAATATTAAAGCAAATATTCACTTAAAGTCATACTCCAAATATTACTGCATAAATCAGTGCATTTAAAGAAAGTTCACATTGACAGGCACGTGTATATATCCTTTAAACATCTTGGAACTTACTCTGCACTACTAGGAAGCCACTTTTTTGTTTCCTTCAACAATGGAAGACTTCACTTAAATGATGAGACTAGTACATACACATTTGGTTTAACTGGACTGCAATATAAATGTTCAGCTTACCCTATTGATAAACGATGTGATTGTTCCATTCTGTATAAAAGGTTTCTTGATACATAGTATGTTTTCAATTGTGTAAGCTTCATAAAGGGGCTTGTTGAAATAGGTTACTGTATATGAGTTTAAAATTTATAGCAAGCTGAATGAGACTTGTATTGTGTTTGAAATTATTTATACCAACTCAAGAGACACAGCATTTCTTGTGACCAAAAAAAACTATTTTACTTACAGTATACAAGATAAAAATGTTTCATGTGGCCAGTCACAGTGACTTGCACCTGTAATCTCAGAATTTGGGGAAGTTAAGGCAGGAAGATCACTTGGGCCCAGGAGTTCGAGACCAACCTGGACAACATAGAGTGATCCTGTCTCTACAGAAAAAAAAAAAAAAAATCAGCCAGGCTTCTTGGCACACACCTGTGGTCTCAGCTACTTGGGAGGCTGGGGTGAGAGGATTGCTTAAGCCAGGAGGTTGAGGCTACAGTGAGCCATGATCACAACACTGCACTCCAGCCTGGGTGACAGAGTAACACCCTGTCTCAAAATAAATAAATACACAAAATATTGTTTTATGAAATTATAGAGTTTTAAATTTCCAAAGACCTTGGAGATTATAACATCAGTACAGATATATAAACTGAGGTCTGGAGATGTAAAGTGACTCTTCCAAGGCTGTATCACAGGATGGTGGCATTGCGTCAGGTTCACTCAAATGTTGTGAATCTTAGTCCTGCATCCTTTCTACTCTACTGTTTGCTTACCCCTAGACGGAAGGAAAGAAAGAAAAAACCAAAGGAAAGAAAAAGACTGAAAAAAAAGGAAGTTGCAGTATTCTACGTATTGGTCTTCAGTGTGATGGTGTGAAACCCATTGGTGTTTGAGTTGAGAGGTCTCGAGGCTTGGCTTCTGTTCCTGGTTTTCCCCCAGTATGTCTGCTAAGAGACCATGTTGTGCTTATGCTTATTCTTAGCTCCGGAAGCACATTGTTGATTTTCTCAAATATTGTTTTCAGGTTATTAGAAGTGGAGCAGAAAGGTTTAAGCATGGGAGATAGCCTCTCACGAGTGTTCACACTATTTCAGCAGTATGTTATATCTTTAAGAGCTTGATCCTTAAGAAACAACCGTACTCTAGAAAGTACATCATTTTTCCTATTACTAATAATGTATAGATAACTCATTAATAGGAATCTGTAAAATATTCTTATTTTTGGCCACCGATATGATAAATTCTTGGACTTTATGTACCTTTTAAAGTACATCTAATTAAGTGATTAGGAGGTCTGTTTTTAAAGGGAAACAGGGAAAGTTGCTGCATTATTGTCTGGGTTTGGTTTTTATATTGTATATTATCTTTAATGTTAATACAACAGTCCCAAAAGATGGTTGCTAATTTCAGGTTCTGTTTCTCTAATTCTTGGCCTAGGAAAATGAAAATAAGGTTTGACTGAAATAAGATTCTGTTCAAATGTCCTTGCAAATGAGGAAGCCTCACATTACCAATTTTTTCCCAGGAATTTTATTGTTGATTAACTGCTGATGGGGTAGAATTTATAGTTGAGAATAATTTCAAAAAGTTAATCAGTTGCCAATGGGCTTAGTAAAGAAAGGAAAATATAGGAGCGGAATCTGCAGCTTGATTTTTGTGGTTTTTTTTTTTGGGTGGGGATCTCATTATTGTTTGTACAATGTGTGTTACTGCGAAAAACCCTAATGAACTTTGGCTTAAATACTGGTAATAACTAAAACTGCTCATTCTCCCAGTGTGACCACCCACCATTCTATAGCCTACCATGCCTATCCAAAAGTTTATAATTAATTTATTTTTATATCATTTGAATTCTTTTTCCTGTATTGCCCAGCAGTCTTTACGCTACCTGAAATTTTTACCAGAAATGACAGACATTCCAGCACATATTTTCTAAGGGCACTATCCTTCATATAGAGTATTCGGTCAAGTGAGTAGAAGGTTAGTCAAACTCATTCAATATAAGTCCCCAGTTTTCACTACACTCTATGAATTGTTATCAACCTGAAAATAAGCTCAAGAAAGAAATGTTGGGTCGTCTTGCCTGACTGTGACTAGGTGTCTTCATCTGAGTAGGCTACATTACTGTAGTAAATGATCTCAAATTGTTGACTGGCTCCAACACAGTATAAGTTTGTTTCTTGTTTACATGGTTGTCAAAGCTAGATATTCCTGGTGAACAGATTGCTTCTTTTTGCAAAAATACAGCAGCCTCTTTCCATTTTGTGGCATCATCATCTTCGGGGACTTATGAATTTTTCTGTATTTGGCCTGTAAAAGTAAAATGAGTAGTGGCTCTTAAAAAGCTTGGCCTGGAAGTGGCACACATAGCTTTCACTCACATTCCTTAGCAGGAATCTAGTTGCAAGGGATGCTGAGAAGCAGTCTCTGGATGTTCCCAGAAACAACCCTGTACCATGGGAGGAAGAAGGGATTTAGGTGGACAAACAGGCATCTCTGCCACACCAGGTAACCTTTTCATTCATTTCCTTATGAGCCTGGTTGAGTGGGGTTTCATCTTTGGGTCTTCAGATGATTAATATTAATACAGATTTACTATCTCTCATTAATGTTAATTTTAAATGATAGTGTTTCTACATATTTTCTAGAAAAAGCTAGTACTTTTTTATTGAAACTTATCTCACATATTATTGTTCCTGCATATAAAAGCTAACACAGAACTCCTTAATCCTAATTAAATAGATTAGTTGGAAATCAATACACCTACTTCTGACAAAGAAGCCACATAGATATACCATCTTGGATGTTACTTGTATGATTATAGGTATATCTGTTTGCTATTGCTACTGTATCAAATTACCATAAACTTGTTGTCTTAACACAATATATTAGCTCATAGGTCTGAAGGTCAGAAGTCCAAAATGGGTTGGCAGGGCTGTATTCCTTCTGGAGGCTCGAGGGGAGAATCTTTTTGCTTGTCTTTTCCAGCTTCTAAGAGCTGTCTATTCCTTGATTCATGACCCCCTTTCTCCACCTTCAAACCTCTTCTTCCCTTCTGCTTCTGTCATCCCGTCTTCTCTGACTCTGAACCTCCAACCTCTTTTGTAAGAACGCTGTGAGGCTGAGCATCATGGCTTGCACCTATAATCTTAGCACTTCGGGAGGCCAAGGCAGGAGGATCACTTGAGCCCAGGAGTTAGAGACCAACCTGGGCAACGTAATGAGACCTCATCTCTACAAAAATTTTTTTAAAAAATTAAAAAATGTTAAAACTAGGTGGGCATAGTGGCATGTGCCTGTAGACCTAGCTACTTGAAAGATTGAAGCAGGAGGCTCAGTTGAGCCTAGGAGTTCGAGGTTACAATGAGCTATGATCGCACCACTGCACTTGAGCCTGGGCTACAGAGTGAGACCCTGTCTCTGAAAAAACAAAACAAAAATACATCCTGTGTGCCCACTGAGACAACCCAGGGTAATCTCTTCTCCTTAAGTTCGTTAACTTATTCACATCTGCAAATTCTCTTTTGACATATAATATTCACAGAGTATCATAAAAATCTTGTGATCTGAGAGTTAGGACATGGACATCTTTGGGGGGACCATTATTCATCTTTCCACAATAGATAAATTATGTACAGACTTTTTCTCAGAGAAAAGTGATGCAACGATGAAATGGATTTTTGTTTGCTTTTCAGAAAACAATTTGCTGATCAGACTGTGCTGTGTAGTGACGAAATGTTGATGCCAGAAGGAACTGGAGAGGTTATTTCATCCAACACTCACATTTCCTGGATGAGGAATCTAGGACCCCTAAAAATTGATAGATACTTGCCCAGAGGTAATTCACGCAATCACAGGCAGAGCTTTGGGACCTTCTGGGGATTTTAAGATAAAGGAGGAGAGAAGGTGCCATGTTCTTTTCTTAGAACTCCATTTAAAGCATTTTGTTTCTTTAAGTAACAATAATGTTCTAGAATATAAAATGTTCCCAAGTTGACTTCTGATAGCAACGAAATGTTTTAGTGAATCATGGACCTCAGACCTTAATACTGTATATAAAAGAAACACTTTTCTATAATGTTCTGCAGAGCACTCTTGTTTACATAGACTGTCAAGGAGATGGGCTCCATATTTAAGAGAAAATGTTTTGAGTCTTATCACTTGTCAGGTACTTTTGTTGGCCAGTCAGGAGTGGATGGTAAAAGTACTGACAATTCTCTTATCTCATTCTTAGCCCGTTGTTTCCTACCCTCTCCCCCTTGCCTGTGATACCCAGTATTGTCGCCACTCACCCCATGTCGCTGTCGAGCAGTTAATACCTGGCTAGTCCAAATTGAGATATTCTGGGAGTGTAAAATACACACCAGATTTCAAAGACTCGTGCAGAAAAAATAATGTAAAATATCTCATTGTTTTTATTGATTACATGTTGAAATAACTTCTTTTAAATTTGATAAAATAGAAAGAGAGTCTTACTATGTTGCCCAGGCTGGTCTCAAACCCCTGGGCTCAAGTGATCCTCCCACGTTGTCCCCGCAAAGTGGCAAAGTGCTGGGATTATAGACATGAGCCAACGTGCCTGGCCTGAAATGGTAACATTTTGGATATATGGGGCAAACAAGATGCATCGTTAAAGTTAATTTTACTTGTTTTCTTTTTACACATTTTAATGAGGTTACTAGAAATTTTAAGTTATTATGTGGCTTTTATAGACTTCTATTGGACAGTACCATTCTATACTTTTCCCCAGCTCTAATGATGTTCCGATTTGAGGCACACTACTGCTCCCTTATCCTATGAGAATCAGATATCTTAGAACTAGTGCAGTAAAAATGGAGTATTTCTTATTTGTATTCACAAGCTAGGAAGCTCATCATATCTTGATGAGTGACTGTGATACTTATTATAATGTACTAAGACCTTTGTAATTCTGGGGAAAATGCAATTAGTAATATCTGAATTAAAGAATAATTTAAAAGAAATGCACTTTTATTTGCTCCTCGGAATGTATCTTAACACAAGCTGAGCAACGTGCTGCTTAGTAAAACAGGCCACACAGAGTAATTGAAAGAGCATAGTCTTGAGGATCCAAGTAGATTCAACATTGAATCCAAGCTCCTGTCTTAGCTGAAAAGCTTTAGACAAGTTAACTACTTCCTCTAAAACCATGTATAAAATGGGACTGATAATATCTATCTAATAGTGTTTGTCATACGTATTAAATGAGATAATGTGAAGTTTCCGGCCTGTATGAAATTCCCTGGGGAACAGACTGAGTCGTATGGAGGTGAGGAGGAGGTGGAAAGGAAGCAGGATTGGGCAGAGAGGAACGGACGGCAATGCCATCTCAACAAAGGCCTCTGTGAATCCTTGCAGAGCTCTGGGACCGGAGGTCGGTGGAGAAAGCTAGAGAGGCATTGACACATCCTCAGATGCAGGTCCTGTCTCCCATGACCCTGGGCCAGGCACCTTTTTTCATCTCAGGGCAATTCTCAGCGACAGCTGCCAGGTGACGCTGGATGTGCCCTTGATTCCTGAAGGGGTGTCTGGGCAGCTCAGCACAGAGTCTACCCAGGAATGTGCATTCCCCCCGTTCCTGTTACCAGCTTGCATTACACATGAGAGAGGGTACTGTTCTGGTCACATGAAGTTATCATTGTTAATTTATCCATTTGACTTGTTTCATACTCCTTCTTGTTACAGACAACATTTTTTAACTCATCTGTTCCAAGTTTCTGTAATGGTCTTTCTAGAGTGTAGTCCTTGGAAAAGAACTGTGAGGTTACAAGGTAGATAAATTCAACTTTACAAGATAATGCAAAATTATTTTCTGGTATGTGTATATACCCAGGAAGAGCAAAACCGTTGAGATTGGTGTCCTCAAGAAGTTTAATGGTGATGGTTATGTTCTGTTTCATGTACTTGGAGGAATGTTTAAGGGTGTTTTTTATTATTTCTAATATCTTGTGTAAATATTATATGTATTGTTTCGTATGTGTCAGTTATTACATAATAAAAATGCCCCTTAAGGGGGAATAGATCAAAGTTATCCACAGTTCTATGGAATCCTTCAGGGGTCTTCTGGCATACATGGAAGAAGTCTAATAGTTTGTTTCTACAGTATTTGATATACTACCTAGTTTGGTTTATGACATGACAGGAGGCATCAAAGATGCTGTTATCTTTTTACTTCATGCATGCACTTTTATGTCTGCAAGGCTGATTTGGGGCTGACAGGTATCAATGACTGTTGTGTCTGCAGTTTCCTCTGAGAGAGATTAAGATTTCATTTAGATTGTCAGCCTTCACATAGCCAGCCCAAGTTGTGATCTCAATATTACTGTAACATTAGCTCTCATCAGGCCTTTGTCGTTGCTGTTCTTTGCAAGGAAGCTTTCTCCCTCTGCTAGGGATCTTTAGTCTAAAAGTCTAGAAGGCTAAGGATCCCTAGTAGAAGGGGAAGGAGTAGTTTTACCCCTAGAGAATTTGGGAATTGCACAGCCTAACTCTGGTCCCTTCCTGTCTTAGAGGGTCTTTTTTCCTATCCATTTATTGTTTCCTTCTTATATAAAAATGTATTAGATTTTTTTAAATATCTAAGAGTTAGTATTTTTATGCTATAATTTTCCTCCATACCTTTGGCCAGCTCCAAGGATCCCTTGAATCAGTACTACCACATGAAAACAGTTTCATTTATCAGAATAATTTTTTTTTTCAGTGGAGATAGGGTTTCACTATGTTGCCCAGGCTGGTCTTGAGCTCCTGAGCTCAAGTGCTCAAGTGATCCGCCTGTCTTGGCCTCCCAAAGTGCTAGGATTACACATGTGAACCACTGCACCCAGCCTATCAGAATAATTTTAATTTATTATTTAAGAAGTGAAAGAAGCTTCCATCTAGAGAAGGAACTTCACTTTTTTTTTTTTTTTCGGAGATGCAGTCTCACTCTGTTGCCCAGGCTGGAGTGCAGTGGCACGATCTCGGCTCACTGCAAGCTCTGCCTCCCGGGTTCACGCCATTCTCCTGCCTCAGCCTCCCAAGTAGCTGGGACTACAGGTGCCCAGCACCACGCCCGGCTAATTTTTTGTATTTTTAATAGAGACAGGGTTTCACCATCTTAGCCAGGATGGTCTCGATCTGCTGACCTTGTGATCCACCTGCCTCAGCCTTCTAAAGTGCTGGGATTACAGACGTGCGCCACCGCGCCTGGCTGGAACTTCATTTTTAATTTAGTTAATTTGAGTTTTGTAGAATGTTTTCTCCACAGGCTTAGGGAACAGTGTGGTGGTAGCAGATGAGGAGAGTTGGCTGGCAGGTTAGGGCTCAGGTGGGTGTGGTGGGCAGGTGTTGAAGGGACCAGGAACATTTTATTGATGATGATTTACTGTGTGGTGCCTCAGGCTTGAGTAGGTACCAGTGTCTTCTTAATCTTTGTCACTGAAACAAAACACTGGCTTGAGGTGCTCTAGTTACCTTACTGTTTCATGACACTTGGACAGGACTATTTTCAGATCCCAAATTCTTTTTTCAGATCTTTCCTAGCATTCAGGGTCCAGTGTTACTACCCATCATCACTACTTACCTATCAGATGCCATGCTAATGCTTCATCTCTGTTTGCCCTGCACCATCTAATATAAGTCAGTTGTAATAGCCAGGATTCCTGGCTCCAAAAACATGGAAACTGACCTTTAATAACTTAAGAGTAAAAAGGAATCTATTGAAAGGTCATCAGGTAGTTCACAGAATGGAGGAGGAGGCTATTTTGAGGATCATATTAGAAAAATAGACTTGAACCAAGGAGGCTGAGTGCAGAGGAAAGTGCCACGTTGCTTCCGTAGGAAAAGTGTGGGGCTAGTAGCCTGCAGTTGCCACCACAACTGCAACAGGGGGGCTCTGTCACCGACTCTGAGTCTTTACGCCACTTTTTTGAGAGCATCATATGGCCGGGCTTAGGTCACATGGCTTATACCTTTGTTTCCAGCTTACAGGGACAGGGAATACCTGAAGATTTCCGCTAAAGCAGGATGTTGTTTTGGTGAGTAGCCTAAAATCAACAAATTTTAATACAGCATGTTTCCCCCTGTTTTTAAGTGAAATATAGAGAATTTCAGGAACTTATTCAATGTCACTGACCAGTCAATGACAAAGCCAAGATATGAACACAGGTCCGTTTGGCTCATAGCCATTGCGCTTTGCTGCCGCCTTATGTGCTGTTGACCTGGTAGAAACCATGATTTGGGGCTTGGCCACATTGAAATTTGGATGAGGCAGAGTATGAAATAGCAAATCTGTTGGGTTTGTTTGTTGTATTTAAGGTCGTATGTGTCAAGCTGGTCTGATTCATAGAATCCCTACTCATTGAGGGGTAGCAGCAGTACAACCAGCAGTTGGGGGAAATGTGTTTGAAATAGCCCTGTCTTCTCCAAATTTTGTGGTGTTCTGCTCCATTTGAGAAGTTCATCATCTCCATGTTTTATGTAGCCCGGCCTTCACATATGTCAGCGTCTGTTTCAGATTTTTCTAAACCCTTCAGGAATTTACTTGAGGTTGAGCTAGTACCAGTCCAAACTCCCACCTGGACATTCTACCCCCGGTAGTGAATTTCTGCAGCCCCAGAGCTTAGCTTTGGTATTAAAGTTTGAATTTTAATTGTTCCCCAACTATCTGTACTCCATCCTTTAATTTCAGAGAGACCTTATCCAGTGAGGAGTTAAAATAACATCTATATAATATAGGCAGTTTGGTTTACTGCCCTTTTGAATATAAAGGCCGAAGATACATTTGGTTACAGAAAATGTGCCCAAAGTGACAATTCTTGCAGCTAGCCAAACATCAGTTACTGGGAAGAAAAAAATGAATAATCCCCTCAAAATTCCAATCAGGTTCTGTTACTACTTTTTAAAGTCCCTTTGATAGCTTTTCATCATCTTTAAAAAAGCCTCTCATCATCCTTCTTAAATATATTTCTCAGCTCCCGCTCCATTATGGCCTGATTTTCTTCTGGTTGCTCCTGCTTTTACCTTTTACCCCTCCGTCAGAGGGCCTTGGCACAGACTGCTGTTCCCTCTTTTCTCCTGTTCATTCTTCAGATCCTGCCTCATTTTCTAAAGTCCTCAGGGAAGCATTCCCAGACTTCCTTAAGGCCAGGCCCATTCCAATTGCTGTCAGAGACTTCCAGAGCTGCAGTACCTTGTGATTCTCTTCCATTGTATTGGCACAGTTACTGTTTTACATTTATTTTGGGTATTATTTGATTATTACTTATTGATTGATTAATGTCTATCTCAGTGTCAGCTCAGTGGGAAGAGGAATCTCTCTGGATTTGCATAATATTTTATTCCTCATGCCTGGCACAGTGAATGAGGGAAGTTAAAATGTTGAACAGAATTTAAACAGATGTTTTGTCTTTTGCACTATAGAGCTTACAGTTACTCTTACATTGTACCAAATGGTCACCCTTTTTTGATGAAACTAAATATGGCTTGACATTATTAAGGACTGATAGAAATTCATAAGTGACCCAGACTACCAAGCAAACTAATCAAAGAAATGAAAAATGAAATGTTGGTAATTTTAGAGGACTTTTGATAAATGAAAATGAGACAGCAAAAAGTGGCTCCCTCTCTGTCTCTGTTCAAATAATCTTTTTTTAGAAAAAATGCACCTAGGGTCATGTACTTCGACTGGCATTGTTTTTTACTTAGAGAATAATTTGTCTTTGATGTGAAGCACAAGGGCAGGGATCTCTGATCATTTTATTGCCTCCTAGATTCAATGATTGGCATGTATTAGGCACTTGGGGAATATTTGTTGAGTTGACACTAGATGTTAGAGATAATTATGGACGGGCTTATTGGATTAGCTTTTGAAACAGTATTTTCTCAGCACTCACCCTTTTATATACAATTATTGGTTTACTCATCTGGATGAACAGCTTTGGAGGCTGTGAAATAGCATTTCTGTATTTGCATTTTGTGTTTACTTTGGGCTAGAATTAAGAATACCTTCTTGTAGCACAGAAAGAAGAGTTTATAATGCCTCAGGTATATAGGGTAAGTTTTTCTGATCTCCGGAAGGCCCTGTAGCTTCACAGTTTTGTGTTTGTTTTCCATATGATGGTTGGAAAGGTCTGAGCTGACTGTGGCATTGTCAGCTATACAGAGTTAAGTGTGTGAACACACAGAGGCCGTCTTTGTTCTGCATTGTCCGTACTTCTAAACAGCAAATCTAATGCATCACTCTGGTCTAAAACATCTTACATGACTGGTCTTGTTCATGAGGGGGAAAAAATGAGGTTTTTTTCCAGGTTCAAAACTGTTTAACTTATACGGGTGTTCCCCCTGCCTTAAGAATGTTATTTCATTTGCAATGTAAGAACGTTCTATTTAAAGATTTTTCCCCCCATCCTGTTGCTTTGTATGTTTGAGGAACAGATGGAATCAAAAGCGTGTGATGCTCCAGGAAGATTGAAGGCTGCTGGAGTGAGGTGATGCGTCCTCATAGGTTGTACAAATCATAGGATTTTTTTTTTTTTACTCCTAACCGCCAATTCTTATAGTGATTGTTCATTAAGGTTGATTTAGCTTAGATTCTAGTGATGTCTTATGGACTAAGGAAATCCGTAGCCCCACTGCTAGAAAAAACTTTGCAGTTTTATGTCCAATTGAGATGGGTGAAGGCAAGCCTTATTGGACCTTTCTGAGAAGGGGCAGGGGAAATCAAGGGAAGGGGCTCTGAAGCTGGTTCAGCAGGCTGGGGTCGAAGGGTGACGGACCAGACAGCGAGGAAGAGGTAGCCCGGCACTGTGGGCCAAGTGTTTATTCTGGGAGAAAGGGTCTGAGTCCCGTTTAGGAAAGCGGTGGTGTGTCCATCAAGGTGGTAGGTTAGTGACACATGGCAGCAGGGTTCTGGTGCAGGCTCAGATGTCAGGCAGTGGAGCCTGTATCAGGCCTCATGTGGCTGGACCATCTAGGGGATAAGAATCCTGTCCTGGGGTGTAGAGTGTTAGAAGAAGCTAGGCTGCCACCATCTGCTGGGGTTCAAAATAGATCCCTAGACTAGAAAAGTATTAGCTGGAAAGGCCTGGAAGAAGACAGGAAAAATAAAGCAGTACGTTTTGATCCAATGTATCTGTTTTCCTCATGATACCTTGTGTGTTTATGTATCCTTAACAGTAGTAGCTATCGTTCTCTGCAAAATTAACTTGCTTTGTAGTCATGTTACCGCATGGAAAGGAATAGCACTCAGAGAACGAAAGGTTGCGTACCTCACTCCTGCCAGGTCAAGGACAGGGAGCTGTCACATACGTTTCAGGACTCCAAGACCAGTTCCTACGCTATTGGTACAGTTGATTTTGTCCTTTCATGTCTCCTTTTCGTAGTTCTTATGAGTAGCTGGCCTCTATTTCACTTCTAGAGTCAGTCTCCCAGCCTTGAACTTTCCATTTCAAGATAACCTTTCAGGCCTTAATGTAGTCTGAAGAGATATGTGTTCGTGGAATATTTAGCTTTCAAGAAACAAATAGCATAGGAGGAAAAAAAGAAACCTCAATATTGGTAATTAAGAAACCTGGGCCCAAGTCTCAGTTTGGTCACTTCATAGTTATGAGCTCCTGGACAAGTCACTTTGTTTCTGTGTCTCAGGAGTCATCTATAGAATGAAGAGATTGAAGATGATTCTTGCTGAGGCCTCTCCCAGCTCTAATAATAAGTCCAAATGAATAGTCTAGGAAACAATTAATCATTAGCATCTTTATAACAGCAGCACTAGCCTCTTGAATATGTTGGGCTACGTGACAAACATGGACAGAAAATCTTGGCAAGCCCCTGCCCTGTCACTCCCAAATCAGCCTCTGTCACTTTACTCTGTTTCAGTACAAGCAAATGTAATGTGAGGAACCTAGGGAAAGTCATGAGAGCCTTTTGAATTAACTGAGTGTTACAACCGCCATTCTGTTCTGAAAATAGGCTGAGGCTGAGTTCCTCTTGACACCTCATGCCTCTCTTCCCTCCCCAGTCCTTCTTGGTATCCTGCTAATTGTACCTCTAGACAATTGGTATTTATAATTCATTTCCACTTTAGCTTTTCTCCAGAGTTCATACCTCAGTCTTCACCTCCTTCTACTAATGGTTCTGTGAGATTTTCTTAGCAAAGAGGGAAGTGTCTGCCTGGGTGCCGTTTGATACTCTCCTGTTGATTTCACTTGGGATCTGAAAGCCTTTCAGTTCATTGATACTCTGAAGATATTCATCATTATAATTATGGCAACAGAATTTCTTGTTCTCTCTACCTCCTACCCCCGACTGAATGTGAGCTGCTCAAAGTTAGGGGCCTGATGGTATCAGCGTTGTGTGTCCCCAGCATCTGGTACCTAGTAGACACAGCAAAGAAGTGTATTGAGTTCATTTCTCTGGTACTCTTTTGAGAGGTTGAGTTTTTCTGATGACCATTAACTAGGTCCCTTGTTAGAAGCCTTTTAGGGTTTATCTACCAAACGGTGTCCTTAGAGAAAGCATCAGAAGGTGAAGCACCAGTTTCCAGCCTTCCGCTTAATTAGTTTGCTTCATTAAATGTCTCCTGCTATTTTGATTTGTTATGGAAGTCACCTTCACTTTCTGCTAAAGCTTTTGTGGAAAGTTATTTTGTACCTTTAAACAGCTGCTTCTCTCCAGGAAGCCTGCTTTTATTTTATAGCAAGCCGGCTCGGCTGTCTCTGTACAGGCTGGCTCATGTCTATAAATGGTCAAGGCCTCAGAGCCAGATGGGGCAGGACAGGGTCATCCAACACGTCTTTGAAGTGATTATTTCATATTGAATCTAGTTGTGAACCCCATATGTACCTAACACCATGATTGTGGGTGATAAGAAATAATGTAGGATGAAGAAAATAAGACTTGTTCAGAAAACAATTGGAAAACTATGTTGTTTCAATGTTAGGATGTGATACATTGCAGGGGTATTATTCACTGCATCATTATTGTAGCAAAAGATTGCAGACTAAATGTTCAATAATAAGACCCTGTTACAATATGATACATTCACATGCTCGAATACTATGCTGCTATTAACAAGAGTAAGGCGGCTTTGTATGTGATAATGTAACAGGATTTTGATAAGGGTTAAAAGAGCAAGAAATATTAAGAAGGCCAGGCACAGTGGCTCACGCCCATAATCCCAGCACTTTGAGAGGCCGAGGCAGGAGTATCGCTTGAGACCAGGAGTTTGAGACTAGCCTGGACAGCATAGCAAGACCCTATTTCTACCAAAACAAACAAACAAACAAACAGCCTGACGTGATCGTGCCAGGTGCATGCCTGTAGTCCTAGCTACTCAGGAGGCTCAGGCATGAGGATCACTTGAGTCCAGGATCTTTGCTCATAGCTGCAGTGAGCTATTATGGCATCACTGCACTCCAGCCTGAGCGACAGAACAGGACCCTATCTCTAAAATATAAATAAAAATAGCAAAAATAGACCAAGCGTAGTGGCTCACATCTGTAATCCCAGCACTTTGGGAGGCAGAGGAGGGTGGATTACCTGAGGTTAGGAGTTCAAGACCAGCCTGGCCAACATGGCGAAACCCCATCTTTACTAAAAAATACAAAAATTACCCAGGCATGGTGGCAGGTGCCTGTAATCCCAGCTACTCCAGAGGCTGACGCAGGGAGAATTACTTGAACCCGGGAGGCGGAGGTTACAGTCAGCCAAGATCATGCCACTGTACTCCAGCCTGGGCGATGGAGCAAGACTCCATCTTAAAAAAAAATAGCAAAAATATATATCATGCTTCCATTTATAGTCCATGAGAAGAAAAGGGATGGGCAAGCGCACACACACAAACCCAAACACACACACGCACGTGGACACACACACGTGGATGGCTTATTATCTCTGGAAGGATGCATAGGAAACTGGGAACAGTTCTTGTTTCGGGCAGAGGGACTGAACAGGAAAATGGTACGGGAAGGAAACAAATTTCACTTCATACTTTTTTGTATAGTTAGGGGGGAAATCATTTCGTATTTATTGTATTCATTTTTTCAGAAAAAAAAAAAACTGCTAAATTTTCTTTTTTTGAGACAGGATCTCACTGTGTCTCCCAAGCTGGAGTGCAGTTGTATGATCACAGCTCACTGCAACCTCAACCTCCTGGGCTCAGGTGATCCTCCCACCCCAGCCTCTCAAGTAGTCAGGACCACAGGTGCTCATCATCATGCCCGGCTAATTTTTTGTATTATTTGTAGAGATGGGTTTTTCACTGTTTTGCCCAGGTTGGTCTTGAACTCTTGGACTCATGTGATCCGCCCGCCTTGGCCTCCCAAAGTGCTGGGATTACAGGAGTGAGCCACTGCACCCATCCTGAATTTTCTTTAAAAGAAAGTTGAATGACGTGAGAGCCGATAGAGAAGGGAAACTTGTATATTTAAAGTAGTTCCTTTATTTGACAGCTGGTCATTGAGCTCCGGCTCTTCACCAGGTTCTGTTTTGGCCTCTGAGATGCAGGTAATTTCAAACAGCTATGAGTGCCCTGAAGTCACAGAAGTAGGGGTTTTGGTGGCAAATGAATGACTAGGGTGGAGCTGGGCTGCTGTTTAAGGAAGGATGGTCACAGAAGGTCCTTTTGGAAAAAGATACTGAGCTGACTGCTGAATGAGGAGAAGCCAGCTTAGTAGTGAATCAGGATGGGGCAACAGAGTTCCAGACAGGATGACAGCAGATGGAGGGTCATTCGGGAAAGCTTCAGAAAGGAGGCAAGCTTGCCTTCCATGCATGGGCTGAGTGGAAGCTAAAGTGCCACGCACTCACCTGGAATGAAGAGTCAGGCCTGACTGACAAAGATAAGAAGAGTGAGAAGCGGTTGGGATTAAGTTTAGGTCAGTAGGATGAGGCCTGAGCATCAAGGGCCCCTGGATGCTGAGGTCTGTACAGCTTTTTCAGGTACCTCTTGAGACATACTCAGATATGTCGCAGGGATCATCTGCTGTGAGACTGCTAGCAGCATTGTAGGAGTTCTCTTCACTCTGTCCACGTAGAAATACGTGTTCTGCAACAGAGAGTAAAAGGCAGGAGCAGAAGAAAACTTTCTCTCCCTGACTTGCAGAAAAGCTCATGGCAGGTTTAAAAAGGACAGGGCAATGCAGACAGCTATAGTGTGAGGGACACAGCGTGGTTCCTGGTATACTTCATGCGAGAATCTGCATGCTGGCTCTGTGATAGCGTCCTCATCAGGAAAGTGGGGATTGCAATATTACCTCAACCCACTTCGCAGAATTGTCATGTTGAGAGTGAAAACAAGAGAACAAGTGGCTTCTGTAAGGTATTAGGTGTTAAACAGATCGATGAAAGTGGTTATTAGTGGAGACAGTACAGGAGTAACGTCAATTGGGCAGTCTTTGGGTAAAGATGGCGTCCTTCTGCTAAACCTCCCAGAAATGACATGTATCAGATTCCATTTCTGTACATCCTACCATATGGTTTTAGTTTTTGTTGTTGTTGTTGTTGTTTGTTTGTTTGTTTTTTAATCTAACCATTTTGGTGGAGAAAAGAAAGTTCATCAGGAGATAGTTTATAACTCCTCATTATGATGACTGACAAATATCCAAAGGGCATGTTTCTTTTAAGCCCGTGCACTGTCTTTATCCCCACACAGAGGCAGGCGCTCATGTCTTTTACACGGGACATTTTGAATTTTTATCTTTATTATGGTATTAGTTTCTTACTGGGTTCCACCTCAAGCTTACTTTTGTTAACTGGAGATCTTTACCTGTAGACTCGTCGTCTGCTTAAGTTAGAACTAAGTCTATTCCAAATGATCGATTTTATTTTACTGCTATAGTACACCACTTTTTATGTCTTTGGAATATGCTTTGTAAAATAGTAACTTTACAGAATTTTTCTTAATTCTGAGAAACAGTTATTTGGTAGCTTCAGTTTCCTAAGAAGAGAGGAAAATGTACCTCAAAGGACAGGAGAGTCCCCAAGATCTTCCAAAACCTATTCCAAAAATAATCTATTATTATTTTAGATGGTAACATTTTACCAATATTAATGTCTTCGTCTTCTTTATAGCACAATAGAAGCACTAAGTGCTTTAAAAATAGGAGATGAAAAGTTAAAAAAAAAAAATGTAAAGGATATAGGAAGAAAGCCCCTGTCATGAGGATGCAACAAAACCCAAGGGTCAAACATCACCCTCTGCTGGGCCTGTTGACAGTAGAGGGAAACAGTTACCTGACATTAAAACATAACTTTAGTAATTAAAGTTTAAGAATTACTTTAAACCATTTTTTAAAAAATTAATTATCTCAAATAATGCTCAAGAACACCAGTGCGTTGCAAAATTTGAACATTGGTACATTGTAAAAAAAAGTGTATACATTCTTGAGTTGTAAAGGAAAAGTTTAAATCTGAGGGGTGGGATGGATTGAGGCTGACGTTTTTCCCAGAGTGGTCTTTGTAAACAATGTTTAAGTTTTGTTATTTATATTAACACGAAAGCCTCCTTTATCTGGAGAACACGCTTATGTGGCTGAGCCTCTGTCCCTGGGATGCCAGATAGTGAGACATCGCAATCCTGAGTAGTATGCTCAAAACTCACTTCATATGTTAGGAGCTAAAATGGTCTTGTTTTCTAGTAATCTCCAGTTTGTGATTCGTACTCAGAGGCTTGCACATTGCTGTGTACACTGACAGAACATTGATGGCTTTTGGAAAAGCTGCTTGCTGCTTGTTGCCCGGAGTTAGCTTTATTGCTCTCACTCTGTGCCATATTGAAAGTTAACCTGTGCTAACCCCCCAGTCATTTTCTCAGTCTCCTAGAGAGGTAACAGAACATCTTTATTCTGGATTTGCCGTACACACTGACATAATTCCTCTTGAAATATCTGGCTGTCGTAGTCTAAGGTCATAAGAAACATTTAATTCTTCAGAATGGCAACATAATTTGAATTGCTGTCAAACAGTGTGTGGCCTGAAACGGGAAAGAAAGGAAAATTATTGATCATTGAGATGCCTTTGTGTCTCGCATCGTTTCACTAGCCTGTAATTAATTGAGCCTTTTGACGTCCATCCATATTTTTTTTCTTCCTTGTGGAAATTCAGCTACGTTCCCACCCCACATGGTGCCTTGGAGATTACTTGAGACTTTTATTTGTGGTATCTCTATTTGGTTGTTGACATTAATGAGCTTACTTCACAAATATCACAAGAGAAATAGTGTTGCTTTTTGGAATGTTAATGAATTGCTTGCCTGGCCAATTGCCATTCGTTCCAGTGTGTGAATATGATGGGGTGTGTGTGTGTGTGTGTGTGTGTGTGTGTGTGTGTGTGTGTGTGTGGAAAAGAGAGACGAGTAGCAGGGGTGGATTGCATTTTTTTCCTCTTTGCAGCCAGTGACGTGAGCTGTGCCTGGAACAATCAGACTCGCTGCAAACAGGGTAGTTGAAGATGCTGGGGGAGGCAGCCTGGTGCTTCTTAAGCTAACGCGGATCACGGCGCTCAGGAGCTGCTCAGGCACAACCCCGCAGAGTTCCTCCAGCGTGAGAGCCTTGGAACGGTTGGAAAGTGCCTTTTTATTTCTCTAAACCCCTTCCTTAGTTGACCTTCGAAAATGATTGGCGTGAATAGTGTCCAGAGTGCCAGCAAGGTACGGGTGAGGACCTCAGGTTCCGTGAAATACTCCCGGGAGGATTCTATCCGGCGGCAGTCTCACAGGTCAAAGTCCATGAAAATTTCCAACTCCTCAGAGTTTTCTGCTAAGGAGAACAAGGTAAAGAAATACCACATTGAACCTTATTGACAGCTGTGTGGCAGGGCAACAGAATTGGATAGTCTTTGGCAGTGTCTAATGTGCAGTGATAGACTGAGAAAGTAACGAGGAGTATAAAATGGTTCTAAGAGAATCAGGTGCGATCAGGTGAAACGGATGGGACCTGAACTCCAGATACAAAGATGCTGTGGCATGGGTCAGTTTTGTAAAGAGCCAGTTTGTGGAAGAGATGGGCGAAAGCCGTGCTCAAAATGAGATGACTGTGGGAAACTGTTGTTTGGCACATCGATCTTGTTTTTGGTCTCAGAAAGGTTGCCTTGACAAATGATTTTTCAGTGCGGAGTATTTTTAGAACATCAGGAATACAGAGATATTGTGTATGATTTTATCTTTCAGTTAGTTCCTTTTTCCTTTCCTCCCCTGGTCTTCCCCCAGCCCCCAGTCTGTGGAGCTGATGTACAAGTATGACCTGGTCCTATTATACTACATTCATGTCAGGTTTAGAGTGGTTAGCCCCAGGCATATGTAATGAAGAGAAATTTCTTCTTTCATGTTCCTTACACATATATGTGCTGATGCTATGCTGCCATGAAACCACTCGTGTTTTTGCAGCTGTCTTGAAGATAATATAATCTTTGTTCGTGTGAAATGTGAAGGGAGTGATTACGTAGTGAAGTGGGCATTTACTACATGCAACATATTCTTGAGATTCTTCCCACCACCATCTGTGTGAGCAGGGTACTCAGAAACACTCCCACTCCACAGGTTTAAAAATGGAATAATAGAATCATAGGATCACAGAACTCCAGGTCTGGAGATGGAGATGATTATAACGGAGATTCATGGGCTTGATAATGTGCAGAGAGAGCGTCAGGAGGTGGATCTCAGTGTCATTTCAGCCTTCTCGGGGTTATATCCAGACCCACTGAGAGTGACATCAGGCTTTCTTCACCCTCCCACCACTCCCCACTGCCCTCCTCCTCTGCTACCTCCCCATCCCTGTGTGACATAACATTATTGAAAGACTTTGGCATTAACAGGTTCCCCTCAAAATATGGCAGGGGACAGGTGGCAAAATACCTTAGTGTGACTTTAAGAAATATGTTGGCTTCCTATTCACCCCCTTACATTATGACATAGTGGAGTCTGACCCCCTCCGTCATTAGCAAATTGCCTGGCTCCAGTAAGTCTTCAAATCTGGCTTTTTACTCCTCACTGTTTTTTTAAAAAGCTTTATCTTTAGAGAGAAACGTGTCTTCAAAGTCCTTTAATGTGACCTGTATAGGGATGTGTTGGCTTCTACTGAAAGTGTTATGAGACCACCTGTGGTGTCAGGACTGCGGTCTCCTGCTGAAATAGACCAGAATGGTTTATCATATTCTTAAATAAATGTATGTGAGCATGTATGTAATTCTCAACATGGCTATAAAATTGGCTTCTATAAGAGCACTAAGAGACGTCTCTGGATTTTGTTTTGGATGTTTTAATGTGGAGTATACCCATGGTATGCAGTCAGAGGCTATGGGAAATTAAGAGCTCATCATCCTTAACTCTGTTGTAGTCCTACTACCTATCCTCATGATAATTTAGGCATTGTAATATTAGTGGGTTCACCCAGAATTATGGTTGTGTAGTGTAATGTTGGAATCCAGCATAGATACCACATGAAAAGATTCTCTACTGTCCTCTGTGTTTGTCACACAGTACAGGTACTTTTACTTGATATGTATCTGTGGAAGAGAAGGCCAAGCACTTTTTTTTTTTTTTTTTGAATATTGCAAACGCCGCAGGAGTTAACAGTATAAAAGGCCACTGGTAGAACTGTAGTCAGTAGGCCATCACATGATACCTTAAAGATTATAGTCGGTTTTTAAGAGATGATTAGTATTTTTTTGAGGCATATGTGGTCCCTAAGTTACAGAATATGTGTTCAAGGATATAGCCAAGCTCCCAATATCTCACAAGAGATATTTTTAGGATTATCTAGTGGCTTAAAATTGAACACCAGAGCTAAGAGAAAATCAGTAGAATAGAATATTCTATCAGAGTGACCCTAATCATTGACTAGCCATTTATATTCCCTAAATGAAATAAACTGAATAATATGACAGGCTTGTACCCTAAATTACTGAACTTAATTATACTATAATAGACATGTGTAAAATGTTGATTTAAGCATCACTTCTCCCATTTTTATCCACAGTTACACGTTTTCCTCCAATTTTAATCAGAATTTTCATTGATCTTACTTGTATCTAGTAGTATTTTTTAGCCCTTAAATCAGTGTTTCTTCTTCCTCCTCTTCTTTTTTTTTTTTTTTTTTTTTTGAAACAGAAACAATGTCTCAGTATGTTGCCCAGGTTGGTCTCCAACTCCTGGGCTCAAGCAGTCCTTCCACCTCTGCCTCCCAAAGTATTGGGATGATAGGCACGAGCTACTGCACCCAGCTGGTATTTCTTCTTGCTAATCATGTAAACAGCATTTTTGATTATCTGACTCTTTCATCCAAAATGCAGGATGTCTAATTTGATGATTAGAAGATCCCCATTGCCACCTCTCTCCACCCTCTCATGTCATCTTCCCAACCTGTAAAAAATAAGATACCATTAACTCGTGGTTCGCTCCTGGGATTTAATGTTATCTTTCTAGAACTCTGGCTCTTTCTAGAATAGGTGTAATAATTGCTTCTCCTTGTCAGAGTTGGAATTACATGTTTTGTATTCTTTGAAACTTTCATCTTTGATGTTTCCAGCTTGTTTTCTTGGCCATTAAAACATAATGGTTTATTCAAATATTAATTATCTGTAGTCCTCACTTGTTCTCTGATTTATTCATATTCATTTGAAAAAAAGTGTTAAAGGACTGTGGAAAGGATTAGAAGTTTTGCTTTTAATTTTAGTGAGATATCTTAAATGCTTTTCTTGGTCTAAATATTTTAAATTAAGAAAATTGAATTTTCCAGTACTTTATGGTTCATATTGACCTCGTCTGAAGAATATTATTTAACCTACTAAAATTCAGCTTATAGATGTTATTTTCTTTAAAACCCCCTTCTCCGTGTTGACTTTTTTTCTTTATTCTGTGTTTAAATCTTACCATTTCCTCTAGAGAGAGTGTGGCTTTGTCTTTTTCTCGATAATAATGTTTGTATCAACCTCTGAAGCACATAATATGGGCAGGATGCAAATCTGAATATGTTTTGGAAGAACATGTGTTTCGTGGAGACCGGCATTCATTATTAAAATTAATGAAGTCTGACTGAGCTCAGCTCTTCATTGGGTGTCTGTTATTGGAAGAGTTACTAGCAAGGCTTCTGGCCATGAGGGGGCAGTGCAGACCTTCCTGCTGTCAGATCCAGCTGGTTGCTCTGCCTTTGACAGAAGTAACATTTTAGAATCAATTAGATTCTAATTGATTTCTAATTTAGAAACAATTTCCTAAAAGTAGAATACAATCAGCCCCGGGTATTCGGGTACCCTTGGGGTTTCAAAACCCATGGATATGGAGGGCCAACTGTACTC
This sequence comes from Homo sapiens, assembly GCF_000001405.40. Lineage (NCBI taxonomy): Eukaryota > Metazoa > Chordata > Mammalia > Primates > Hominidae > Homo > Homo sapiens. The sequence goes on along the minus strand of NC_000008.11, from coordinate 18,680,252 downwards.
CAGAATTTGGAATGTGCAGTATTAGAAAATGTTGATTTAAGCCTCAGTTCTCCCAGACATTTCCACAGTCCTCCTCTGAGTCTAAATATTTGTCAAATATAAATTATTCTAGTACTAATTTTTAACTTATGGTTTAAAACATAAATCTGTAAAAGTTCATGTTGATAAACACTCTTTTCTTCCCCATCTCTTGCCAAACTACGTGATACCGTTTAAATGAGGCGGAATCTCAAACTGTTGTTTCTTTATGTTGTTGTAGGTGAATGTCACATGAGTGGATTAATATAACATGCGTGGCTGAATCCTTGAGGCCTTTTTTGAGGAATAAGCATGATGCTAGAGATTAGATCAAGAATTCTCTAGTTAATAATGTTGATTCAAGTGAACCGTTTAAAGCTTTTATTCAGTGATATAGCAAAGAAATCAATTTCTGTGACACCGAAATTTCAAGAACTTCCAGTAAAGTACTGGTACTTTGGTTGGTGCATAGTGAAACATTGGCCTGTTGGTTTCTCAGTCAGGATGCCGCATCCTGGCGGGCTACCCTGGTTTTGCTTTCTAAGTAGCAATGTTCACCTAGACAAGTTACTTCACCTCCCCAAGACTCATCCCTAAAATGCAGGGTTTTGACAAAATGATATCTTTGTTCTGAACACTGTTAATTTTAGAAATCTTGCCGAGGTTGGTGGGGTTATTTCCTCTGTGGAAGGAACCTTAAAGACTGAGCTAGATTTAACAAAGGTAGTTTTATATGTATTCTGAATAAACCTCTTCCTGTACTAGGAGATGTTAACCATAAACGTGTTAAAGGAAAATGGAAGTCCTTTGCTCCAAACCTCTGCTCTGCTAAGTGCCTAATCCATTGCTTTTTAAAAACGTGTTGCAATAATGTTGAAAGGCACCATCACCTCTATTCTCCCCATTCTGCTTAGGCTTCACTTGCTGTTTCCTTTGCATTGTTAGATAACTGCTAATCATTGCTTCCTCTGTGAGTTAAAGCTATACACAAAGAAACCTGAAGAAATCATTACAATGGCCCTTTGCGACCTGAAGTTTTGGTGGCAGGCTTGCAGATTGTTGTCATTTCTTCCTAGACCACTTTTGCTCTTTAGACTAAGGCTAGAGCCTGGGAAGGAGATTCTGGTCAAACAGGACATTGATATCTGCCTATTTTAAAATGGAGAAAATTCTTAGTCATAATATGAAAATTTTCTTGCAAATGTCTTTACATATTTTTGTTATTCCTAAGTTGAAGGAGTACATTTTTAACCTCATAAATTCATCCTTTAGCTGAATAGACTTTATTAAAAGAAAAACTTAAGCATATATACATTTTCAAGAGTTTGAACATTCAGGGATGCATAAATTAGGGTTGTACCAAACCACAAGGGGCTGGCACTCTGATGAGAGGTGCAAGAAGGAAAACTTTTTTTTTTTTTTGAGACGGAGTTTTGCTTTTGTTGCCCAGGCTGGAGTGCAATGGCACAATCTCGGCTCACCGCAACCTCTGCCTCCCAGATTCGAGCGATTCCCCTGCCTCGGCCTCCCAAGTTAGCTGGGATTACAGGCATGCGCCACCACGTCCGGCTAATTTTGTATTTTTAATAGTGACGGAGTTTCTCCATGTTTGTCGGGCTGGTCTTGAACTCCCAACCTCAGGCGATCCGCCCACTTAGGCCTCCCAAAGCGTTGGGATTATAGGCGTGAGCCACCACGCCCAGCTGGGAAAACTCTTATGTAGTATTTGCAGAAGCAAGGCGAAGAGAACAGTTTTGATTGGCTGGAAGTTAGTTGGTGGAAAGAATGATAGGCAGAGAGAAAGAAAAATAAATTTTTTAAAAGAAGTTGATGGTTTCTGATTGGTATATTTTCTAGTTTCCATTTACTGTTTACATTGGCCTTTGGTTTGTTCATGTAAAAATTTAAAATGCCAGAGGTACCTCAGTCTAATGAGCTCCCAAGGAGAATTTTTTTTAAACAACTTAAACTATTAGGTCAAAATATCAACATCCTCCTGCACTAGTTCTAATCCTGGCATTTGAAGGAATTAGGGAGGTGGTGTGTTGAACAAAGTAAATCTGGTAGTGCAAAGATAAAAACAATTTTATCTTCAGAAGCCTATTTTTCTTTTCTTGGCTCTCCTATGTTAAGTTATACTTTTTCACCAGGTATTAATTATTCTGCCAGATTAACATGTTCTAATGTTTTGTGGGTTTTTTTGTTTACTTTGTTTTTTTTTTTTTGAGACAGAGTCTCGCTCTGCTGCCCAGGCTGGAGTGCAGTGGCCTGATCTCGGCTCACTGCAAGCTCTGCCTCCCAGGTTCACACCACTCTCCTGCTTCAGCCTCCCGAGTAGCTGGGACTACAGGCACCCGCCACCACGCCTGGCTAATTTTTTGTATTTTTAGTAGAGATGGGGTTTCACCGTGTTAGCCAGGATGGTTTTGATCTCCTGACCTCGTGATCTGGCCGCCTCGCCTCCCACAGTGCTGAGATTACAGGCGTAAGCCACCGTGCCCAGTCAACATGTTCTAATGTTTTACTGTGATCCTTAGCCAAAGGAGATCTTAAAAAGAGACCTGACTTCTTCAGGGACGTAGTTCTACAGATTATCATTATCTGTATCATTTTCATATTATCGATAACTGTTTATTCCCCTTAAGTTGATGACTTGAGTCAGACTTGCCCCAAAATAAAAACTTTCACTCCTTACACAATATTGCTCTGTCTTCTAGGCCAGAGTGCAATGGCCTGACCTGGGCTCACTGTAACCTCTGCCTCCTGGGTTCAGGCAATTCTCATGCACCACCACACCCAGCTATTTTTTTTTTATTTTTAATAGAGATGGGTTTTTGCCATGTTGGCCAGGCTGGTCTTTAATTCCTGGCCTCGTGTGATCTGAACTCCTTGGCCTCCAAAAGTGCTGGCATTCAAGGCATGAGCCACTGCGCTGACCTGGTTTTATTTTTGTTAGGAAACCTAGCAAAGTGACAATGGTTTTTGTTACTGGGTTGGTTTGTTAGAGCTACCCCCTGCTGCCCACCTCTTAATTTCCCTCCTTCCTCTAGTTCCTCTGTATCTGTGAATTTCTCAAATCCTGCTGGTACTTTCATATAAATAAATGTCTTTTTTAAGATTGCTCAAATGATTACTTAGGAGTAAATGTTGAGCACACTATGCTCCTGATAGAGTGATATTTCTTGACCCTTGAATTTAATTAATAGCAGATCTTTACGATCACTGTTTACCCATTTTCACTTGAGTAAAGTGTAGGTGATGTGTTTGGTTTGGATGTCTCTGTTACAGACCGCAGGCTCTTTGGCTTCCCATGTAATGGAAATTAACATGGAGCCGAGCAGATTTCCCAGATGAGGCTTTCAAATCAGGGCTTGTGCTCAAGCACAAGGGAGACAGTGGAGGTGAGGCACAGGGTCCTCTGACTGGCTCTGCAGGAAGCAGCAGGGGGAAGCTGGTAGGTGTTTTTTTATTAGGCAAAGCACAGATATTGTTATCAAGGCTAAAGTATACAGGCTTGGCTGGGCAAAGCACAAAAGAGGGGTAGGGTATGCGGGTCAGCATATCTGGTTGTAATAGTTATCTCGAGTGATGGGCTCCTCGCTGGTCTGGCCAGCAGCAACAAGGCTGTAAATCAATTGTTCGGCATTTCCTACTCAGGATAGGACACTCCACAATCTTGGTTTCCTGTTAAATCTCCTAAGGCCAGTTTCTGGACTAAGTGAAACATATTTAAACATTATGAGAGCAGAGAGAATGGCTCTTTTCTTTGTGTGACTAAGTCCTCAGGGTTAGCGGGTATGGCATCAGTGAGGTGGTAGAGGTGTGGGTTTTGTGAAGAGAAGAAGAAAGAAATACATGAAGGAGAAGCCGCGTCCCACTCCTGTTGTGTCATCTCTAACTCCCAAGGTCGTACTGCATTCTTGCTCCCCTCCATTTATGAGTAGACTGTATTTGAACACATTCTTTTGGGGAAGGTGTACTGAAGCAGGTGTTTGAGAACTTCCATGCAGTATTTGAACATTGTAGAGAAAATGCTGGTCCATGCTGTCATTCCTGGCAAGCTTAGTGTAATATCCTTTTCAGAATCCAGGGAAAGGAAAAAGAAAACTCTATGCAATAATGATAGGAGTCGAAAGAGAAAAAAATATATATATATTTGCATTTTAAAGATAGTCACTGCCGAAGATCAGGGAGTTTCGTAGCATCATGATAACCTGAAGTTGACCATAAGGAGCTTCTGTGTGGGAATATGTATGGTGACAAGCTATTCTGCAACCTGTTGTTAGATCATGCCTGGCTTAGAGCTTAGGGATTGCGTCCAGCTTAGAGTCTAATAGGAGATTTTTGGAAAATATTTTTTATTTACTCATCCATAGTGAAGCAGAGACCAAGAGTAGCTGTGCAAGATGGCTTCCTGCTTGTTAATTTATGATATTAATTTATGATGGAAGTTGCTCTTCTAACATTAATTTTAATTAAGATTTTTAAGCTTTGCCTTAACTATCATTCAAGCAGATTTTATTTCTTTTTTTAAAATCCACTGTACCATGTTCCGATGGTACATTTAGTGTACCTGTTTGGACACGTAGATCACCTGATATCGGTGGAATTTGTTTTTCTAGGTAGATTCTTTGAAATGCTTAATATCAAAATTTTTCTGAACGGGCTGGCTGAGGCTCTAGTCCTAGCCTGACTCCCCTTATGACATGCCATTGTTTGTAGCCTGCAGTTAAGTTTTACAACATGAAATGCCCCCCAAGGCACTGGAAACACTAGTGTACTCGTTACTGCCACATTCAAATCTGGTGAGCCAAGTGTGTGTTTGATTCCAGTAAATAAATAAGATTACGAAGCTATCTCAAACAGTCTAATCTCCTTCTTGCACTCAGCTGCAGTTTAGTGGTGTCAGCGTCAGCTCTACTACTCAGAAATCCACTGGGGCAGGCCAAGGTGTTTACAGGAAGCAGTAAGACCTTCTCTAGATCCTGGTGCCCCAGTGGCTCATGACAAGGGAACGAATCCTTATTGAGCTTTTTCATTACAGTTTTCTTCTAAGGTCTCCCAGCATAAGTAAATCTAAAGGGTTGAGGTCCTACCTAACTAGACGTACAGATACAAGAAAGTACTTTGAGAGAAGCAGCTCTTGACTGTCACTCCGAGGGACAGATAAAGGTCCAGCAGATTTATATAGATTGATGACACTTTTCTTTATTGTTGCTTTTTTTTTTAAATTGGAGACAGGGTCTCACTTTGTCACCCAAGCTGGAGTGCAGTAGTAAGAACATACCTCACTGTAGCCCTGAAATCCTGGCCTCATATAATCCTCATGCCTCCACTTCCTGAGTAACTAGGCACATGTCACCACTCCAGGCTAATATTTTAACTTTTTTGTAGAGACAGAGGACTTACAATGTTGCCCAGTCTGGTCTTGAACACCCCACCTCAGATGCTTCTCCCACCTCAGCCTCCCAAAGTGCTGGGATCACAGACATGAGACACCACATCTGGCCACACTTCTTTCTTAATACATCTTCTTAAAAACAGGTAAAATAAAAAGGCCATTTGGAATACTCTTACTATGGTTGGACAGTGTTTTGAGGAGATTTTCTGTGCCCCATCCACCCCCTGCTGTGATCTCTTAGACTGTGATTAAGTGGTATTTACATATAGCAAAAAAACTTAACTCTTAAATTAGAATTTAAGGTAACAGTGTGCTTTTATCTTTACACCCACCTAAACTCCACTAAAATGACAGTAGGATTCGTAGACCTTCAAGGACCCAAAGAATGAGAGAGGATTTTTCAAAACATCAGCAAACTTTGAAACATGGAAACCAGATAGACGTGTTCACTATTTAAGTTCCACAGAAAAAAACTGGATGCCAAATACTAAAGAAAGAAATAGATCAATCTGTCCCCACAGAACGCAGGGAAGGCCCAGGAACTGGGGGCCACTGGCTACCTCTGAGGGCAGTGAGTCGAACGAGGACAGCCCTTTAAAGCCTCTAAAATTAGTAAGTCGACCTTCTGAATGCCCTCCCCTGCTTTGATAGCCGCATACCCTTCCTCCCACCATTTTCTTTTTTTTTTTAAGACAAGTTTCACTCTTTCATCCAGTCTGGACTGCAGTGGCACGATCACTGCTCACTGCACCCTCCACTTCCTGGGCTCAAGGAATCCTCCCAAGTCCTCAGCTTCCAGAGTAGCAGGAGCCACAGGCACACACCACCATGCGCAGCTCATTTTTTAATTTTTTTGTAGAGATAGGGTCTTGTTTTGTTTCCCAGGTTGGTCTTTAACTGCTGGGCTCAAGCAATCCTCCTGCCTTGGCCTCCCAAATCGTTGGGATTACAGGTATGAGCCAGCATGCCCCCCTGCCCGCCCTACAATTTTCTGTTCTTTCTCTCTGATAAGTTTAATCCAGAGGTTTTGGACTTAGGAAATTAGGCTCAGTCGAGGCCCACGGGGAGATCCCCACGTTGAAAATAGCAGGATTCAGTGAAAGGTATAAACGTTTCACAGCAGGGCGTCTCTTCCCTCTCTACTTTCTCATGTACTTTTTCTCAGTTGCTTGAAGAAGTGAAAGAGAAGACATGGTGTCCAGTAGAGCAGAGGGGGAGAGGGAATCCCCAGGACAATGGCAAAGGGAAACCCTGGGACAACAGCTGTGCCGGAGATAGAAACCAGCCAGATTAGAGGAGTGGGGGCAGAGACGATGCCAAGAGACATGCTTCCAACCATGGCACCGAAGGAATGCCTGCTGGAGGGTGTGAAGTTGACATAGAGATAGATTCGTAGAAAACTGAGTAAACAACAACAAAATAAGATGATGATTAACTCCAGGGAAATCAAAAATCTTACAAAAAATGGAAACGTAGCCTAGTGTTCTGCCCCATGAATAATGTCTATATAGTCACAATAATATGAGGACTGAAAATTCATGAAACTGCAAATTGTGACTGTGGTATGATTTTAATATGGGAGTGGAAAGAAAGAGACGGGCAGGGTGTGTGTGGGTGTGTGTGTGTGTGTGGATGGGTGTGTGTGTTAAGAGAACCAAATAAATGTTCACTTTCCAGAGTTCTGCAGTTGAAAGTCAATAGATCATATTGAAAATAGAAAAACCAAAAAGAGATTGAAAGAGGTGACTTTTGAGCAGCAAGAATCAGAGGTGAAGTTAAAAGATTATTTGTATTACATACCTTTTAGTAATTTTTGATTATATAAATGATATACATATATTGCCTTGAGAAATTTTTTTTAATGAATCAGAAGGAATGTAGACAGCATATATAGGTACATACGAGACTGGAATAATTTCCAGGGACTAGAATGGCTTTTGTTTATCTTAATTAACTTTGGGTTTAACAAATGCCAGGTAATGGAGACTACTTTTTAAGAAAAGCAAAAGGTTTCATCTCTTCCAAGACTTTATACTCTAGCAGTTATCAGACTAGACCATGTTCTGCTGCTAGTTGCTGTCACAGTTTTAGTCTATAGCAAAATATCAGTGAAAGGCTGGTCCTTTCTTGAGAAACAGTTGTCTCTTCTGAGATTGTCCATGCAACTTATTTTTATGCAACAATACCGATAATAGTTGGTGCTTTGTTTCTTTAAAAAATTTATTTTCTCATTTAGCTAAACGAAAAACTGGCAATTCTATTTAGCTCCCTAAAATTTCTTTTGCAAATTTTCCTGTTTATGAAATTTGAAGCCTGCTATCCACTGGGTGAGATTATTTAATTTGTTTGTATTGATCGTTTTGAATAAAACCTATTTCCATTTGGTTTGTCTTCATTGCTTTGTCTAATGCATGGAAATGACAGGGAACAAATGCCAGGCCTGGCATTCTCTCTAAATGTCAAAGTCCCCCAGGGATTGTTTTTTTTACAGGCCATTTATTTAAAAGGATTGTGCTTGTTACCCAGCAAGTTTTTTTTTTTAATAAACTGTGCACGTTAACTTCATCATGTCCATAGTTATTAAATATAATTGACCGTTTTTCTTGGGTACTTAAAAAATATTGCATATATTTACAAGGTCACTTTAAATTTATGTTTTCCTATGTTCTCAAATTGCATTTTTTATTATGGTACATGCTTGCTACTTTCCAACACTTAAGGCTTACCAACAAGATGGACATTAACAAATTTCATCAAGTACATTCCAGAATCTTTATTGAAAATACTGGTTATGGTTATGTTTTTCACTGATATGGTTTAGCTGTCTAAACTAGACAAGTTTTTGATAAATTGATAAATTACAGTTTCAGAGGATCAGGGTATAAAAGTTAAAAACAAAATCAGGCCCGGCGCAGTGGCTCACGCCTGTAATTCCAGCACTTTGGGAGGCCAAGGCGGGCGGATAACAAGGTCAGGAGATCGAGACCATTCTGGCTAACACGGTGAAACCCCATCTCTACTAAAAATACAAAAAATTAGCCGGACGTCATGGCGGGCACCTATAGTCCCAGCTATTCGGGAGGCTGAGGCAGGAGAATGGCGTGAACCCAGGAGGCGGAGCTTGCAGTGAGCGGAGATCGCGCACTGCCCTCCAGCCTGGGCGACAAAGCGAGACTCCATCTCAAAAAAAAAAACAAAAAACAAAAAAACAAAATCAGGAGATGACTGTGAACACAATGGCTTCTGGAATCATGGTGCTTCCAAAGAAGAATAGTTAAATCTGCTGTGGAATACCTTGGAAGTTAACCTTTAATTCATTGTATAAGAAAGAAAGTGATTCACTCAGATCATAACTACATTACCTCTTGGAAAGAGAGTTGTGGCTGGCATAGGGTTGCCAGATTTCACAAATAAAAATACAGAACACCCAGGTAAATTTTAATTTTAGACAATTTTTAGTGTGTCTCATGTAAAATTGGAGGGCATGCTTATGCTAGAAATGTTATTATTTATCTGAAGTTCAAATTTAAGTGAGCATCTTGCATTTGATCTGGTAACTTTCAACCTACACCAAGCAACAATCTGCCTAACCTCCAGCTCCTAGATCGGCGAAGTGGAGTCATCCTACTTACTTCCTAGGACGTAGAAGCAGGTGTGAATCTAGGTCTGCAGCTTTCTAGTTTATTGTTCTTTTTTCCTGCCTTTGCTGCCTCCCATCATAATTGTGTTATACAGCATCGTCCTCACTGAAGCCCTTGCCTTCTCAGCAAATGAAACCCTCGCTGTGGTTAAGACAACTTACGAAGCATTATAGAGACTAAAGGGAGATGGAAGACTTGATCTCATCTGCAAGGAGCATAAAATCTAATGTCATCTCTATTTTTCATCGAAGAAGCAAAGTGTACACTGTGTGGTCAACATTCAAATTGTCCAGAAGATTATACATTGAAAATCCCCCCACCCTGCTCCCCGAGTTGCTGTGTCCGGAGTCAGTCATTGTCGGTGGGGTTGTGTGTATCCCCTCAGAAATGTTCTATTCGTGCCCAGATACTCGCACACATTTTTCCCCCACAAAATGGAAACATACCGTAACAATGTTTTGCACCTTACTTCTTTCCTTTATCTCTTAATGTATTTACCTCCTTCTTAGCTTAAATGACTTTAAATATCATAATGATACATTTCTGGTGCTACTGTTGAAACTGTTCGTTGTACCCAGTTTTTTATTTGTGCTTGAGGTATGTGAAAATGGTCCACCTTTCTCATATAATTTAGAAAAACAGCCTGATCCGTCCCTAATCCGCCACTGCCTGCCTTCATCCCAGTCAACTTACCTCACCTCTCACCCAGATTCCACCTGCCTCGCTGCTGTTTCCCTTTTTCTCTTATAATCCTTTCTCCACACAGAAGCGGAGCCACCCTTTAAAAACATGAATTACAGCAGGTCACCCTCCCGCTTAAAATCCTCTAGTGGTCACCCGGCCAGCACAGAATAAACCTCTAACTTTTCTGGTTTAAAAGCCCTTCGGGACCTGCTCACACCACAGCTGGGCCCATTTGCTCCAGCCGCACCAGCCCCGCTGGGTTTCTCAGACCCACCCGGTTCAGTGGTGCCCAGGAGCTGCTTACCTCGCTCCCCACACCTGTGCGTGGCTGCTCCCGGTCACTCACGTCTTACGTTTCCTTGCCCAGAGGCCTTCTCTGACCATCCAGGCTACGGCTACTCTTTCCAGTGACCTTATTTGAATCACCTTATAATAATTATCTGGTAGCCTACCAGAAAGTGACAGAATTATCGTCATCTGTTATTTTTCTTATTTATTACCTGCTTCCACCCCACTCAAATCTAAGTTCTGTGTCTGTTGTTCACCACTGGATTCACGATGCCTAAATAAATAACTGTTCAACTGAATATATGAATGAATAAATGAATGGTTTTAAGGGATTTATTTTTACTATTATAAGTGTTACAAACATGAATTAGTCTTCTAGTTGTTATAAAATACTTTACTGTATTAATACTTATACCATATGCTATACCATTACGGGATTCGCCCCTTATCTGCAGTTTCAGGTAGTTACTCATGGTTTCACTTAACTGCCATCAAACATCGTCCAAAAACATTAAAAGGAAAATTTTAGAGACAAACATTTCATAAGTTTTAAATCTCATGCCATCCGGCGTAGTGCGATGCAATCTCACTGTCGTGTGCCATCCCATGTGGACGCGAATCCTTCCTTTGTCCAGTGCCTCCCCACTGTGGATGCTCCCTGCCCTCAGTCACTTACTAGCTAAGTTGGTTATCAAATTGGCTGTCACAGCATCACAGTTCTTGCCTTCAAGTCACCCTTATTTTACTTAATAATAGCTGCAAAGTGCAAGAGTAGTGAAGCTGGCATATGTTATCATTGTTCTATTTTATTATTAGTTATTGTTAATTTCTTTCTGTCCCTAATTTACAAATTCAACCTTATAAGCATGTAAGTCTAGGAAAAAAACATACAATATATAGGGTTTGGTCCCATTCGTGGTTTCATGTTCCACTGGGAGCCTTGGAACATATTCCCCCAAGGATCGGGAGACTACTGTATCAGAAAAAGTACATTCTAATTAGTGTCTAGTAGTTACAAAAAACAATTTCCCTTCATATATCAGCATGTGTTATAATCAAATATTTGTTGTGGTCATTGTACAATAGACTAATACAATGAGGATGCATTAAGCAAGGTACGCTATGTAGGGAGATGGAGTAGACAAGTTATAAATAGTCAGTGATGTGTTAAAGGAGAATTTGAACTATAAACCATCAATTCATGTGCACTGTGATCATAAGTTTTCTTAGCCGTGAACTTAGGATGATGGATATCTTTCCCTGTGAAAACATTATTTTTTAAATAAACTAATAAGAAGGCCTAAGCTGATATAACAAAAGGAAAAGCTAAGAAATGTAATACTGTGGATAGCATTGTTTACTTTTAACTTTATTAACTCTGATTTCTAGGCAAGACATTTATCAGAGTTGCAAAATTTATTACTGATTATCTATATTTAAAATAATATGTACACAGGTGTGTATGTGAACAATACACATAATACTGACTTTAAAGTATGTATATATGTACACAGGTGTGTATGTGAACAGTACACATAATAATATACTTACATGGTGACAATATTGTGTTGTGATTAGGGCAGTTAAAAGCAGAGACTATGGCTTAGGAAAGACCTGTCTGAGATACCCAGCTCTGCTGTATGACCTTGGCAGCCTACTTAACCTTCATAGGCATCAGCTGTGGCATTTCTAGAGTGGGAATAATACTACCTCTCTCATATATGGCTGCTGTGAGAGTTCAGTGAGATCAAGTGAAAGTCAGGCTCTTAGCAGTATCACATAGTGGGGCCTCATTGATAGTTATTATCAGAGGAAGATCAGTTATTTGAAATGGCTAGAACATCATCGCAGCGTCAGAAATACCAGGCGAAACATGAAATATTCAGAAGTTTGTCTATAAATCAAAAATTGGAAATTTTGCCGTGTTTGTTCAGTGATTCTTACTGTTTCCTCCTTACAATTTCTAATCACAGTGAGAGGTGACAGCGTGCTGGCAGTCCTGGCAGCCCTTGCTCACTCTCCGCAACCCCTCGGCCTCTCTGCCCACTCTGGCCGCGCTTGAGGAACCCTTCAGCCTGCCGCTGCACTGTGGGAGCCCGTTTCTGGGCTGACCGAGGCCGGAGCCGGCTCCCTCAGCTTGCTGGGAGGTGTGCAGGGAGAGGCCTGGGCGGGAACCCGGGTTGCGCGCGGAGCTTGCGGGCCAGCGCGATTTCTTGGTGGGTGTGGCTTCCGCGGGCCCCACACTTGGAGCGGCCGGCCGGTGCCGCTGGCCTCGGGCAGTGAGGGGCTTAGTAACTGGGCCAGCAGCTGTGGAGGGTGCACCGGGTCCCCCAGCAGTGCCGGCCTGCCGGCGCTACACTCAGATTCTCCCCAGGCCTCAGCTGCCTCCCTGCGGGGCAGGGCTCGGAGGCTCTGCAGCCCGCCATGCCTGAGCCTCCCCCACCCCGCCATGGGCTCCTTGCCCCGCCTGAGCCTCCCTGACGAGTACCGCCCCCTGCTCCGCAGCGCCTGGTCCCATCAGCTGCCTAAGGGCTGAGGAGTGCAGGCACACGGCGGGACTGGCGGGCAGCTCTGCCTGCCGCCTGGTTCAGGATCCACTGGGTGAAGCCAGCTGGGCTCCTAAATCTATTTGGGGACTTGAAGAATCTTTATGTCTAGGTAAGGGATTGTAAACACGCCAATCAGCACCCTGTGTCTACCTCAGGGTTTGTGGAGGCACCAGTGGGCACTCTGTATCTAGCTAATCTGGTGGGGACTTGGAGAATCTTCATGTCTAGCTAAGGGCTTGGGAATACACCAATCGGCACTCTGTATCTAGCTCAAGGTTTGTAAATGCACCAATCAGCACTTTGTGTCTAGCTCAGGGTTTGTAAATACACCAATCAGCACTCTGTATCTAGCTAATCTAGTGGGTAGGTGGAGAAGTTTTGTGTCTAGCTCAGGGATTGTAAATGCACCAGTCAGCACCTTGTCAAAATGGACCAATCAGTTCTCTGTAAAACAGAGTAATCGGCTCTCTGTAAAATGGACCAATCAGCAGGATGTGGGTGGGGCCAGATAAGAGAATAAAAGCAGGCTGCCTGAGCCACCAGTGGCAACTCGCTGGGGTCCCCTTCCACACTGCCTTTATGAGCTGTAACACTCAACACAAAGGTCTGCAGCTTCACTCCTGAAGCCAGCGAGACCACGAACCCACAAGAAGGAAAAAACTCCCAACACATCCAGCAAGACCATGAACCCACCGGGAGGAATGAACAAACTGCGGACACGTCTCCTTTAAGAACTGTAACACTGACCGCGAGGGAAGTCAGTGAGACCAAGAACCCACCAATTCTGGACACAATAGCATTCCAATCTGTTTCAAAATTGGTGTCCTCTTTGATAGTGGATGTGCTTGTCTCACCCACAGTAGTTTACATTGCTCTCTCTGTTGACATACTTGAACATTTGCCAGCCTTGAATAATGTGTGCTTCCAGCTACTTCCCCCCACCCCCCAAAAAAAAGCAATAGTGAAGCTACATTCCCACTTGGTTGAAATCAGGCTACAGCTGAGTGCTAGCTTACCTTGTACATGGAGCTTTCTCCAAACCCCCGGAGTCTCTCCCTGGCCTTCCTGACTTATCTGTTACGAGATATTTGAGTTGTAACTCTTAGTTTGTTTTTTGATGATGAACCAGCATTTGGACTTAATGTTCTAATCAGTTCATTAGATGTTTACAGTTGTAACTAGGGGAAAAATTCTTTAAACAGGCAGACCTTGGAGATACTACAGGTTCAGTTCTAGACCACAGCAATAAAACAAATACCGCGATAAAGCAAGCCACAGGAATTTTTTGGTGTCCGTATGCATTTAGAAGTTATGTTTACACAGCTGGGTGAGGTGGCTCACGCCTTTAATCACAGAACTTTGGGATGCCAAAGCGGGCGGATCACCTGAGGTCAGGAGTTCAAGACCAGCCTGGCCAACATGGCGAAACCCTGTCTCTACTAAAAATACAAAAATAAACAGGACACAGTGGCGTGCCCCTATAATTCCAGCTACTCAGGAGGCTAAGGCAAGAGAACCACTTGAACCCAGGAGGCAGAAGTTGCAGTAAGTGGAGATCGTGCCACACTGCAGTCCAGCCTGGGTGACACACAAGACTGTCTCAAAAAAAAAGGTATGTTTACACTATACTGTAGTTTATTATGTGTGTCATTGGAGCCTTCAGCAAGTTGTCATCGTTTTGCTTATGGAGGGTCTCACCTTGATGTTGATGGCTGCTGACTAATCAGGGTGGTGGCTGCTGAAGGTTGATATGACTGTGGCAATTTCTGAAAAGGCAGTAATTAAGCTTGCTGCATCATTAGTTTTGTTTGTTTGTTTTTTAAGACTGGGTCTCGCTGTCTCACCCAGGCTGAAGTGCAGTGGCACGATCACAGCTCACTGCAGCCTTGATCTCCCAGGCTCAAACAGTCTTCTCACCTCAGCCTCTCAAATAGCTGAGACCATTGGCATGCACGCCACCCACACCCAGCTGTAGACTCTTTCATGAAAGATTTCTGTGTAGCATTTGATGCTGTTTGTTAGCATTTTACCCACAGTAGAACTTCATTCAGAAATGCAGTCATTCCCCTCAAACCCTGCTACTGCTTTATGAACTATGTTTATTTCATATTCTAAATCCTTTTTTGTCATTTTAACAGTGTTCATAGCATCTTCACCGGGGGTAGTTTCCATCTCAGGAAACTACTTTCTTTGCTCATCCATACAAATCCTCATCTGTTCATGTTTTACCATGAGATTGCAGCAATGCAGTCATATCTTTAGGCTCCACGTCTAATTCTAGCTGTGTTACTGTTTCCACCACATCTGCAGTGACTTCCTCTGCTGAAGTCTCAAACCCCCCAAAGTCATTCCATGAGGGTTGGAATCAACTTCTTCCAAACTCCTGTTGATGTTGATATTTTGACCTCCCATGAATCACAGATGTTCTTGAAGACATCCAAAATGGTGAATCCTTTCTAGAAGGTTTTCAGTTTACTTTGCCCATATCCATCAGAGGAATCGCTATCTATGGCAGTTACAGCCTTGTGAAATGTATTTAAATAATAAGACTTGGCAGTAGAAATCACTTCTTGATCCATGGTCTACGGAATGGATGTTGTGTTAGCAGGCATGAAAACAACAGTCATCTCCTTGTACATCTCCATCAGAGTTCTTGGGTGACGAGGTGCTCTGTTAATGACCAGTAACATTTTGAAAGGAATCCTTTTTTCTGAGCAATAGGTCTCGACAATGGACTAAAAATATTTAGCAAACCATCCTGTCAACAGATATGCTGCCATCCTGGCTTTGTTGTTACACTTAAAGAGCAAAGGCAGAGTAAGGGCCTCAGGATTTTCAGAATGATACTTGAGCATTGGCTTCAGCTTAAGGTCACCAGCTTCATTGCCCCATTGCCCCTAAGAAGAGAGTCAGCCTGACTTTTGAAGCTTTGAAGCCAGGCATTGACTTCTCCCTAGCTATCAAAGTCCTAGATGGCATTATCTTCCAATAAAAGGCTGTTTTGTATATACTGAAAATCTGTTGTTTAGTATAGCCACCTTCATCAGTGATCTTAGCTGGATCTTCTGGATAACTTGCTGCAGCTTCTCCATCACCGGTTGCAGCTTTACCTTGGACTTTTATATTACAGGGTCTGCTTCTTTCCTTAAACCTCACGAACCGACATCTGTTACCTTCAAACTTTTCTTCTGCAGCTTTCTCACTTGTCTCAGCTTTTGCAGGGTGGAAGACAGTTAGGTCCTTGCTCTGAATTAGGCTTTGGCCTTAAGGGAATGTTGTGGCTAGTTTGATCTTCTATCCAGACCATTTAAACTTTCTCCATATCAGCAATAAAGCTGTTTCACTCTCTTATATTTTGTGTGTTCCCTGGAGTAACACTTTTAATTTTCTTCAAGAACTTTTTCTTTTCATTTACAACTTGGTTAACTGGTGCAAGAAACCTCACCTTCAGCGTAGCCTTAGCCTCACTAAGCTTAATCATTTCTAGCTTTTGATTTAAAGTGAGAGACATGCAACTCTTCCTTTTACTTGAACAGTTAGAGACCATTGCAGGATTACTAATTGGTCTAATTTCAGTATTGTTGTATCTTAGGGAACAGCTGGTCAGTGCAGTGCTCAGAACACATAACATTTATTAAGTTTACCATCTTATGTGGAGATGGTTAATGGCTCCCCAAAACAATTACAGTAGTAACATCAAAGATCACTGATTACCATAGCAAATATAATAATCAAATGTTTGAATTGTGAGAATTGTCAAAATGTGACAGAGAGATACAAAGTGAAACTGTGCTGCTGGAAAAAAATGTCACTGACAGATTTGCTCAAAACAGGGTAGCCACAAACCTTCAAGTTGTAAAGCATTATCGTATACGTGAAGCTCAGTGAGGCAAAGCACAATACAGTGAGGTATCCCTATACTTAAAACCTTTACTCTACAAAGAACTTAGCAGCAATCTTAATGTTTTGTTTACATTTAGAATAGTGTTATTCATACTAGCATAGTTAAGACACTTTCTCTGAGACACAACAGCCAGTTCAATAGAAGGTAATCTCAAGGTGAAGCAAAAGTAGTTTAGGAGAAATGTGCTGTGTTTGAATACATCTTATTGATCAAGTCCACCCCCAAAATAAATAAATGAATGCATACACACATTAGTAAAACTTTGAAGTATTATGTTAGTACAAAAGATAATTAGCAATTACATTTTTATTCGGTTTTTTTTTTTTTGCTTTTTGGTTTTTTGAGACAAAGTCTCATTCTGTCGCCCAGGCTGGAGTGCAGTGGCATGATCTTGGCTCACTGAAACCTCCACCTCCCTGGTTGAAGCAATCCTCCTGCATCAGCCTCTAAGTAGCTGGGACTACAGGCACGTGTCACCACACCTGGCTAATTTTTGTGTTTTTAGTAAAGGCTGGGTTTCGCCACGTTGGCTAGGCTGGTTTCGAACTCCTGGGCTCAAGTGATCCTCCCTCTGCGGCTCCCAAAGTGCTGGGATTACATTTGTGAGCCACTGCGCCCGGCCTTCACTTTCAGGTTTGATTTTGTGCATCCCCAGAGATGCTGGCCATATTCTTTGGCAGGTGTGTTTAGTTAGTATTGTCTTTGGCTACCTTATTTTTCTTCAGTAATAATGAAGAAATGGTGGTTCAAACTGTTGTAGCTCAGAAAGGTGCATTTGACAAGAAGCAGTCAGAGTCCCATTGCTCCCCTTCCCCCACCTCATAATATTTCTCTGGCTTTCTTGCTGTAGCTCCCACTCCCTCTCCTATTCTTGTTCGTTCATTTGCAATTTTAAAATGTGCATTTATTAATCTGTAAAAGCTGTGCCTAGGATTTGAGAGCAGGTAGTCATGCTATTGATCAAAAACCATGGCAAAAAATATTTAGTGAGGAACACAGGAAAAGGGAGCAGAGACTAAAGAAAGGACTAGTTTGGGAGTTTGGCTGGGTGATAGCTAAGGTCTTTCTCAAGCTGAATTGTAAAATAGTAGATCTGGAAGGGGGCAAAGAACACTAACTTTATGCAGCCCTCTCCTATTGCATGTAAAGAAAATGAGGGCCAGGTAAATTGATTTGTCTTAAATGTACAAGTCAGTGATAGGTGCCCCACCCACCCGTTTCAAATTCTTTGCTCATAAGATTGGATCTGTTCTCTGTTTTATCAAATCTTTCTCTCAAGAAAATATGTATAACATAATGTCACATATTAGATACTGTGTGTGAAAGTGTCTCACACATTGTAAGTAGGAAAAAAATTAGTTGACTCCATTAGCTGACTAATTCTTCACTAGGTAAAGTTCAGTCAGGGTTAGCAGCACATTTTGTATTCCTTATATAAGAGGCCTCTGAAGACAGAACAGATTCATCTGTACCTAGCATAATGCCTCCCTAGCCTCTGGAATGTGCTTAAAAATGATTACATGATGAATTATACATATTAATTATACTTCAGATTCTCTTTCAATAAGATAAGGGCTTGAAGAGTAATTTTCTAGTGTTCATTAATACGAATTTGTGCTGGGACATCTATTCATGGTTAGGTGGTTTTGGGACTGTGACTGGGTTTGGAAGTACATCACAACATAAGACTAATTGCCCGAGATACAGATTTCAGCTCTGTTTACATGTTGACTCGATTTCAAAACTACATCTTACCATAGAAGTGAAAAAAAAAAAATTCAAGCATGTTCTATTACCCTAAATAAGAGCTGAAAAGATGAATGTTGACCAGGTTGCTTATGAATATACATTCTCTAATGTGGCGCTCTTTAAACTTGGGCATGTGAAAACTGTCCAGTGGGTACGGGAGAACACAAATAGCTTAAAGGGAATCCATTTCCAGAAACTCATCTTCTGTATGTACTTCTCCCTAAAATGGATCTACCTGTGAATTCTCTTGTGGTCAAGCCTTCAGGCTATTTCTCCTTTTGCATCTCTGCTTAACAATTGCCCTTTGCCACTTAAGAAAAAAAAGTCATAACCCTCACCTATAACCTTATTT
Source organism: Homo sapiens (assembly GCF_000001405.40). NCBI lineage: Eukaryota > Metazoa > Chordata > Mammalia > Primates > Hominidae > Homo > Homo sapiens. Next base: position 18,661,666 of record NC_000008.11, on the reverse strand, counting down.
GGTACATCGCAAGGTGTAAGGACCTCCACTGGTGCGGAGGGGGCAAAAAAAGAGTCAATTCCAAATCCTAGTTTTGGAGAAGCTTCCTATAGTGAGAGATAGTGCAGTTTTTCAATATTATTTTAAGGCATAGAGACGATAGTAGAAGTTGAAGACCATTGCAAAGTATTTTGAGTTTTTCTAACCATTTTGATATTTATCTAATAACTGGTTTTATCATTAATTTTTAACCAGTGTCTTTTTCAAACATGCTCTTTCTCTGATAACACTGCCAGAGTGGTGCATATTTAATTCTATACTTAACAGTCTGCTTGATCTAAGTATCTGCATGAGAGCCAGCATAGCATTTGAAAGAGAGAATTGTGGTACGGATGGTGTCATAATTCTTTCTGAGTACAAATTCCACTGCGGTCACTGTCAGTTTCACTGAAAGTGGAAGCTGTGATATCCTCCATACTTTTCATAATGATTCAGGAACCACAGAGAAAAAAATTCATTGGAGTTTAGAGATGATTGAACTAAAATACACGAATTCCATCAACTGTGCAAAATATGTTGGAGAGAGAAAGAGAGACTCACGGTTACACAATGCATGGTAATGTAGAAAAGCTTCAGAGAGCCCTGTGTGGGCTGGCAATGACAGCACTAAAGCCTTGAATAAAATTGCATTTTATCGTCTCTGAGAAGCAACCAAAAGTGAGGAACAACGACTTAAAATTAAATTTAGACCAGAATATGTTTACCTCTGTAATTTAAGCAATTTTCTTTGCTTTGTTATTCTTAAAAATGATGATCTTCAAATTCAAAGAGTCATTCTGTCCTGGCTAGTGTCGAGAGAGGTATGTGATTGTGATCTGGCTCTGGGGTTAAGTTACAGAAATTACAGTTAGATAAAAGATTGGTAAGCTTGCAAAGCAGTGATTTTTTAACCAAGGCTTCCAATCAGAGTTACATGTGGAGCATTTAGAAATATTCATGCAGTTTCCTCGTCCAAGGAGCTGATGTGGTAGATCTAGGACAGGGCACAATAATCAGTGTTTTTAAAAATTCCTCGGTTGATTTTCTTGTGCACTGTCACATCTTTAGATAAGACCACTGTGGGGAAAGACTGTTTGTCCTAGGGACTGACCCTGGAACTATTTCCTGAAATCCACCTGTGGGTATATCATCATTCTTTGCTAGGTATCTGCTATTCTCTAGTACGCTAGAGTATTAGTTTCCTCGGGCTGCTGAAACAAATTACCACAAACTTGGTGTCTTAAAAACAGAAATGCATTCTCACAATTGCAGAGGCCAGAGGTCTGAAATCAAGAGGTCAACAGGGCTTTTTACCCTCTGGAGGGTTCAGGGGAAAAGTCTCTTCCTCGCCTCTTCTAACCTCTGGTGGTCGCCAGCATTCTTTGACTTACGTGTGTATTACTCTAATTTCCATATTCCTCTTCATGTTGCCTTCTTTTCTTTCTTAAATCTCCGTCTGCCTTCTATAAAGACACTTGTGATTGCATTTAGAGCCCACCCACGTACGTTCCCCATCTCAAGTTCTTTAACTTAATCACATCTTTAAAGTTTTTGCCATATAAGGTAACATTCACAAGTTCTAGAGATTGGGACCTGGACATTAGGGGTGCCATTCTTCAGCCTTCCACAGTGAGTTATCGCTTCACTGTATGTATTCATATGGGCTGCCCTGTCCCATTAAGGTCCATGTGGTAACTTTCTCCACTTAGCTCTAACTACCAGTCCATAGCAATGTTTCTCCCCAAACCCTGCCCTCTTGCAGCTAGGCCAGATAACCCCTCACATAGCTGGAGATAAGTTGTTTTTCTGAGCCATAGACTATGCCTCCAGTTTTAGCCATTCTCATGACAAATGCCTTTGGTCCTAAATGGACTAAGAGTATAGGATCAGTGCAGCCAGCCCATCATCCTCACCAACAAAGGCGCTTCAAGCATGTGTCCTAGCAACGGTGGCTCTTTAAAGCTCATCTTTTAAGAATAGAACATTACCAGATTATTTGAATATATTCTAAGAGAGGCACAAGTCTTATTATCTTTTCAAATGGGCTCTGACTTTGGCCAGGCATATACGATGCTATAAGGTTTGGTCTTAGGAGGAGACAATGTACTTAGTTGATGTAAACATGAAGTGTTATTTACTTGAGTCAGTGTTTGTGAAAAACAAGTTATGGAATGTGGAGAGAAGTTAATTAACATGGGATTTCATTTCCTCATCCGTATAAGGAAACCTTTGTTTCATGATCTCTGAGTTCAGTTCTGAAATCCCATTTTGTTGGTTCTTCCCTTACCATCAGAAAGGAGAAATAGGTGCTAGTGCAGATGCATTTTAGAGGAGATGGCGAGAGGCTCATGAATGAAGACCCTGCTGAAGTTTGAGTTGATGAATATTCAATGGCATTAATTTGTTCTATTGTTTAATTTTCTCTAGTAGTGCTGAATTAGTCACATACAAATAGGGGAGGCTGCGAAGTTCAGGAGGATTATTAGTGGCTAGGTCAGTGCTGCCCTTCATTAATACCCACCTCCCCACAACCCCCTAGTCCCCTTGGCTTCAGAGATGGGCCGAGTCATAGAACTTTCTCCTAGCCACGCAGATCTGTCCATGGGAAGGATAGGTGAACTGAACCTCTACTGGGAACTTTCATACTGGAGCTGGGAGAAATAACTAGTTTGTTGTTGTTACTATTGAGAGAGACAAGCTGTGAAAAGGTGTTGCTTGTTTTGGATGTGTTTCTTGTGTAGTGGAGAAACAAGGACTGCAGATGGTTGGGGTAGAAAGAGGCGAATTGAGATGAGAGAGAAATTCCTGGATCCCTGAGGCTACTAGAGCATACTTTTTATGATCTGACTACATTAATTATTAGGCCTCCTTACCCTTAAGGTAGTGTTTAGGTATTTGACATTTGAAAGTAAAAGAAATCTTAACTAATCTGTAGGATTTTCATACGGAGAAATCAGAGTAGGATTGATCAAGAGTTATATAGGTGTAACCACAGCTACTTAGAAGGCTAAGGCAAGAGGATCCCTTGAGCCCAGGATTTTGAGGCTGCAGTGAGCTATGACTGCACCACTGTACTCCAGCCCGGGTGACCAAGCAAGACCCTGTCTCAAAAAAAAAAAAAAAAGAATTATATAGTATCTATTAATATTTTCATGTACAACAGCAGAACAAAGAAATCGAAGATACTAACTAGACTGGTGGAGGTGAGAGACTATGACGTCTAGGCTACACGGGAAAGGAAGTAATGACTGCCAGGTTAGAGATAAAGAAGAATCAAGGGAATTCATTTCTTAACTAGGCTGAGTAGATAAAAAGATGGGAAGTTGTGTTGAGAGTGTATTTAAGTTTTGGATGCATTTGTAAAGCGTCTTCCTTTTATTAAGAAAAATAATAATTGTGATAAAGCACTACAAAGAACAAGGAAAATTCTTTGCAATTTTGCAATTGAAAAGAATAGGGATGACACCCACTGTCTGGATTCGGCATGCTACAAAAAAAATTCTATTCTATGTTGTTTACACAGTGAGAGGACTTGACCTGCAATACTGCAAGTCTGTGGAATTCGGCAAGATGATTTATAATAGATTATCTTCATGAGATATCTGGCTGATTGAATAGCAAGAATTTTTAAATTTACAATTCTACTTCTCTTTGAACAAAATATTCTTGAGGGAAAAAGTATTTGAAAAAATTTGTGCTAGAACAGAAATGAATGTATTAGAAAAATTTTAGCTGTTTAGCGGTCATTTAAACTTTCTACCTTTATGAACAGATTTTTTAAAAATCTTTGCCACATTTTGAATTACTCTGGGTAATATTGAGTATGATAGTAGCATCTAAAGAACCTTTAATGATCTGTCTCTTTTCATTTGTAGTTTCTCAGCCCACTGTTACTTGTGGGTTCAAAATGGCTCATGCAAGTAATATAATTCATTTAAAAGGCGTTTATCCAACGAAAGCCCTCCTGAGACTTGAGCCAGTTTTCAACTCTCTCTGCACTTCCATAGGTGTTCAGCCTCCTGATACATTAACTATATCATAGATTGGATCTCTTCAGTAATCCTGAGTTCTTCAAAACAAATATGCAATTTATAGCATAGTCTTTGTGCCTCAGTATACTCCGTATTTTAATTGTACGTTCTATCCCTTTTGTGTTTGAGAATACCTATCATGTCCTGAAAAATATAAAATGTGACCTGGTTTTTATTAGCTACTGTAATATTTCAATAGTTGAATTGACTATGAAGCCACAATTGAGAACTTTCATGAAGTTTGTCAAGATACTGGCTAAGAATACACGTATTGAGTCGTAAATAATATAAATTCTACAACTTAAATAAATTTGTACTGAATTTGGAAGTATTTTGCTGAAAAGTGAATTTACTATTGGTGTGCATTGTTTGCTTACACACATGTAAACACTTGAATGAGACAATGTTAAGGGCGAAAGGATAGAAATACAAGGCAGTTCTGCTCTGCTGTGCTGCTTGGACAACTTTCTGAACCTGCCTTTTCTTGTTTGAAAGACAAGAGGTTAGATGACATGTGATCCCCCTTTTTTCTATCTCAGAGTAAATGAAGTCTTGGCTAAGCCTTCAAGTTCTAATTGATCCAAGTCATTCTTTGAGGAAAAATGTTCCAACATCATCATAATATTGTTATGCATACCGTTCTTTTGTTAAATATAATTTGCTCTTGTGGTTTTGTACCTTAGAAATGCATTTGTGTGTTCCTTATAACATCTTACTTAAAATTCAAAGGTAAAGCCAGACACTGTGGCATATGCCTGTAGTCCCAGCTGTTCAGGAAGCTGAGGCAGGAGAATCACTTGAGCCCTGGAGTTTGAGGCTGTTGTGCACTATTATCATGGTCATGAATAGTCGCTGCACTGCAGCCTGGGAAACACAGCAAGACCCTGTGTCTTAAAAAAATGTTTCTCGGTAGTTGGTATAGTGGAACAAGCTGACTACAAGGACCTTTGTAATGCTAGAGCTGGGAGAATCAGGGTAGCAGTCTTGTGCTGACTTTACCATTATTGTTACCAAGGGTCTAAAGAAGTTTTTTATCCAATCTGCCACAACCACACACACCCAAAATGTAATACTTAACTGTAAGGCAGAATTGGGATGTTACATTTATAATAAAAACTGGATTAAGTCAGTGGTATCGAAACTCTAAAACTATCCTAAGATGCTTTTCCATGTCTGGCTTCAGTCCCCCTACCAAGTATCTTACTCTTTAATTTGCCATGAAAACAATTCTATTTCTTTCATTAACGAAAAAAAAAAAGCAGCCAGACACAGTGGCTCATGCCTCTAATCCCAGCACTTTGGGAGGCTGAGGCAGGTGGATCACCTGAGATCAGGAGTTCAAGACCAGTCTGGCCAACATGGTGAAACCCCGTCTCTACTAAAAATACAAAAATTAGCCAGGTGTGGTGGCACACGCCTGTAATCCCAGCTACTCGGGAGGCTGAAGCAAGAGAATCACTTGAACCCAGGAGGCAGAGGTTGCAGTGAGCCAAGATTGTGCCGTTGCACTCCAGCCTGGGCAATGGAGTGAGACTCCGTCTGAAAAAAAGAAGAAAAGAAAAAAGTATGAGTACTCCACTGTCCAACTGAGTGAAACTACAAGACCATATTTTCAATATGAGAAATAGCATGCACAGTGTAATTTTAATCACATCCTAATATTTTACTATAATGAAATGTAGTACAGTACTGTGCCTTATTGATAAAAGACAGTTATAACTTTGTGAAAGTTTCTTTGTTTCATGAAACGTTCGTTGTTCACCCAATGCTCATTTGCCTCCCCATGTATTCTTCACCTTTCTAAAAGCAAGGTGACTGACAAGGGGGGCTTCGTGCCTATCCTTTTATGAAGGAATTACTTGGTCATTTGCTGAATTCAAAATGTGGAACAGAATGGAAAGAATAATGTGATCTCATTTTCTCTCTTTACAGGCTCTGTACAACTCAATCAAGAATGAGAAGCTTGAATGGGCAGTGTAAGTGTGCTGGACGTCAGCCTTTTAATAATGAACTACTCACTTTTTTCCTACTGTCTTTATGCCTTGGAAGTGATCTTAGAGAAGGATTAAATATGCATTGCCAATTCTCATTTTACACCAAGTGTCTTACCTACTTTGTGGCTTTATACAAGTAAACCCAGATACAAGTAAAACCTATTTCGGTTTTATACAAGTAAACCCAGAGTATCCTGTGGTTTTTTGGTACTCAGTGTGTTCCTATTCTGCTTTTAAAATGGTTGCTGTACCTGTAGGTAATTAATTGTCTTTTAATTTTTTTTTTTTTTTTTTTGAGGTGGAGTCTGGCTTTGTCGCCCAGGCTGGAGTGCAGTGGCGCAATCTCGGCTCACTGCAAGCTCCGCCTCCCGGGTTCACGCCATTCTCCTGCCTCAGCCTCCCGAGTAGCTGGGACTACAGGCGCCCACCACCACTCCCAGCTAATTTTTTTTTTTTGCATTTTTAGTAGAGACGGGGTTTCACAGTGTTAGCCAGGATGGTCTCGATCTCCTGACCTCGTGATCCACCTGCCTCGGCCTCCCAAAGTTCTGGGATTACAGGAGTGAGCGACCACGCCCGGCCTTAAATTTATCTTTTAAAAAGTAACATTCTAAAAGAAAAATCTGCTGATGAATAGTGTGTATTGCAAAATGTAATACAAATGGTTTTGGTATCATCCACTTATTTTAATTATCTCCTTCCTATCATCATAGATCATGGCTTTCCAGGTTTATTTCCTATGATACTAATCATACTAGGACACTGATAGATACTAAGCACAAAACAACAACAGCAACCAAAAAAAGGTTCTCTGAATGGAATAAGCTTGGGAGATGATGGATTGAATAAAGCTATTTTATTTAAACTTCAGAACTTCTAGGAGCTTATCCAATGCCAATGTGTGTTATCAGTCCCCAAGAGAGGAATAGAATGTGTAATGTTTCCTGACTCTCTTTGACAGTGACATATAGTGTTTCAGGGTACATACTTTGAGAAATACTATTAAAGATGAGCTACACCTAGGTCTACGTAGAACAATACCACTGTTGTTAAAATTTCCCTAATCAATATAGCAGTTCAAAATTTTAATTTTTATAAAATTATTATGGAAGAATATGAAATTTTTAATCACATTACCAGGAAATTAGGTCAAAATGTGTTCTTTGTAATTAGAACTTCGTGGATTTTATTTTTTATTTTTACTAAGTATTCATAAGTATTGTTTTACCACGTGACCTAACAGAGCATTCTACAATGAACTCGGGTTTACAGAATCATAACTTGGGAGATAAAACTTGTTATGTTATCTGCACGTTGGAGGAACATGGGTTAATAGTTGACTGTGTATTACATATAATGTGCAGGAATTTATTTTTGAAGTATCAGCACCACTTGAATTGCGTCTACTCACTGTAGAGTCATGGTCCTATTGCAAGTTAGGGAGTCAAAAGTTAAGACTTTAATATTTGCATATATATATATATGGCTTATGTGTCTGTATGTATATTCATGATGAGACTCATTTAAAGGCAGCGTGCCATTTCAAGGAAAACTGATCATTAAGAATTCATGGTCTGCTATCAAAGGTGATCATTCTTCTTTAGGCTTATTTCTCATGAACAAAAGTGGGTTTCATAGGAAAATTTTGTGAAGGATATAGTCAGAATCTTGCTGAAATGCAAAAAGGACATCCTGACATATGCAGAATATGTAGTCTAGAGAAAATAAATAAAAATGGCATCATCATATTCACTCTGGGCAAGAGAATACATTGAAGATTCTTTTATGAAGTTATTTTAAAAAACAAATACATATACTCTTGAGGACCTGTTTTGTAAATCTAGGTTTTTTTTTTTAATTTGTTACAGCAGATTTTATTTATTCATTTATAGGTAGTCGGAGTTTGATGCAAGAAAGCTATATCTTGCGTGTTACCCAAGGGTGGAGGGGCGGGAGTTTACCCAGTAACTGGTTTCTTCTTGTGAAGTTAGCAGAGCATCTTGTTCAGAAGCCTGGATTTCAGAGTCAGATAAATTTTGGTGTGAATTACAGCTTTTTCATGTAGTAGCTGGTTCACTGACCAAGTTAACCTGTAGTCCTCAGTTTCCTCTTTTGCAAGACTGAGCAAATATTGAGTCTCATGTAACCTTCAGGATGACACTGAAATGTTTGAAAACACTGAACATAAAGCAAGTTGCTCTTCAATTGATGCCTGATGCTGTAGCTTTCAAAGCTCCAATTTCTTTTTTTTTTTGTCTTTTTTTCTTTTTCTCTCTTGTTCATATGCATATACATAGACTACATTTTTATACATTGTCAAGAATTAGAAGAAGACACTATAGTGGTTATCGTATAATTTCTATCTTCACCTATAAAATGAAGGAATTGGATGAAATGATCACAAGTATTTTTTCTAGTTCTAATATTCTGTAAATTTCTGAGTTTTGCCATATTTCAGTGTTTCCTCCTGTGGAAGAAGTACTGCTCTATCAAGCAGATATAAAACAAAGGGATTATGGGTCAACTAAGTCTTGGAATGAATGCTAGCTCAAACAAAATTAAACAGATCTCTCTGTTATCATCCTGTTCAATCAACGTACATCTTGAATTTCTGCAGGAGAAATTTGAATTTAAAAACCTGATGTACATCTTGAATTTCTGTAGGAAATAAATGGCCAATACCCCAATTTATTAAATCACTGAATCTTATTTTTGTCTTAAAGCACCTTTTAACATCTACTAAAACTGGTGCTTTTTATTTAGAACACACTTCTGAGAACACTGACATCTATCAGTGTATGTGATCCTTTAGCAAAGGAGCTAAGCAGCTGGGCACGGTCGCTGACACCTGTAATCCCAACACTTTGGGAGGCTGAGGAGCCTGGATCACTTGAGGTCAGGAGTTCGAGACCAGCCTGGCCAACATGGTGAAACCTCATCTCTACTAAAAATACAAAAATTAGCTGGGCGTGGTGGCGTGCACTTGTAATCCCAGCTACTCAGGAGGCTGAGGCGGGAGAATTGCTTGAACCCAAGAAACAGAGGTTGCAGTGAGCTGAGATTGTGCCACTATACCCCAGCCTGGGTGACAGAGTGAGACTTGGTCTCAAAAAAAAAAAAAAAAAAAAAACTAAGCTTTTTCCTTGATAAAAGTGTATGTACATGGATATAATTATTTATAACACTGTGCTCTCCCGTTTCTCCCATACCTCTCTAACTAGACTTTCTCTGACCCATTTTCCTCATATTATCCCTTAGCGTTAGATGGACACTTTGAATTGTCTTCTTCCAATGTAGTCTCCTCCTCAGCAATTGCAATTCACTCTTAAAACTTCTTCTGCCATTTCTGTAAAAATTCTTCCTATATATATATACAGCTCTGACCTCTTTCCCAAGTTTCAATTCAGTGTTTGCATTTTCCTGCAGGATGTTTCTGCTGGCACTTAGCGCTCATCGTCTGTCTCCAAACTTGTCGTGTGTGCTCCATTTCTATTAATGACACCAGCGTTTCCGGCTTACCTGGATTTTAGCCTTTACATCATCTTTGACACCCTCCCACACCACCACTTCGAACCCCTGCAGAAATGGCTCCAAACAGCATCTTTCCTCTTCACTCCTGCCATTCTTTTGTTTTTCAGGCATTTATAGTGTTTGCCTCCTCAACAAGGCCTTCTGTCTCCAATCTTCCCTGTACTTTAACCTCTGTGAAGTTCCTATGTGCTGTAAAACTTTAATTAGGCCCTTCACGTTCTGCCAATAATTGATTTTGTTCTCCATTCAGTGTTCGTGAAGTCACCTCTGCTAGGAACCTGTATCCCATAATCATTTTATGTTCAAAGCCTATCATCCTTCACAGTCCAGCTCCTATTCCATCTGTTTTCTTGAAGTTTTTTCTGATCTTGCTAACCAGAAGTATGATCTCAGCCTTAAGCTTCCATTTTACTTTATCTGATGACACCAGCAGTTTCTACACCCCATTATGGTTATTTGTAGTAATGTGCCATTAGATTGTAAGCTCTTTAAGGAAATGATACATGTCTGGATTTGTCCCTTTATCTCCTCTGTTGCTGATCATAGTGTTTATATGTAATGAAGGCTCCATAAAAGGCTATAGAAAGGATGTTAATGGTAATGAAGGAACCACATTTCTTAAAAGATAAGCCTACAATGTGTAGTTTAGAAAATAGTTACAGGAAAGGTGGTGATGCTACAAAGTTTGTAGGATAATGCATGGAAGACTTGCGCAGGAGGCATCTTGATGTGGATGTTAGAACCTTAGAGGAAATCACGATAGAATTATTGAGTGTTAGAACCGGAGAATGTTATAACTGTTATAAACCTTATAGGTTTTTATATCATTGGTTTTCTGACTGGGTTCAGTGTAACCTTGGGTTACAGGGAGATGCCTTGGGGCCTTACCTGGGAGTGTGACTGAAAATTGTTGGGGACCCAGTTCTGCTTCCTTAAGTATTATGCCTAGTTCAGCTGATCAAAACAGCTCCACTTTTATCTCTTTTGAATATATGTATAGGGTTCTATTTCATATTTTTAAGGTATATGTTCTTGAAAAATTTTTTGAAAGGTACTTACGTAGTCCATTGTTGTTACTTTATATATGAGGAAAATTAAGTCAAGAAGTGTTCATCAATAGGTCCAAGTCCAGTATGGTGGGAAGGCCAGGATTTTCCCCAGCTGTTATGGCCTCCTATGGCACCACCATGCTGCCTGGCATCTCTGTAGCCACCCCGTCTTATAAAGTCTTTGAAGAGCAGAGAGTGAGTCTGAATGTTTCTGTGCTAGCCTTTGATACAGTGCACATTAAGAGAATGTTGTATTAATTTGCTAGTCTCATTAAATGCTCATAGAATTACTAGAGTTTTTCCTTAAGTTAGTAGCAAGGATCATTTATTTATTCATCTATTCTGCAATCTCTATCCAGCTTCTCCTGTGCCTGGCCCAGTGCTGTGCCCTAGATACAAATATGAATAAGACACAGATCCTTGCCTAATGAGAACACAACATGAGATTTAGGGGAGAGGGAGGACTGTACAAAGATAAAAATACAAAAACTGTAATGAAGAGTGCAGTGAGTCAAATTGACTTGTGGAAGGTCTCTGCTACGTCATATAGGACCATGACCATTTGCCTTTCCAAGTTCCTTTGCTCAATTGTTCATTATTAGTGAAGCATCTATTTGTTGACCTACTTGCATCATGCAGCCTGCTGATAATTTGGGGAGAACAAAACTATATAAGGCATTGAGGCATTTTTCTTGGCTTTAAAAAATTTCCAGTCTAAGTGATAAACAAAGTGAGTAATTACTCTTTGTGATTGGGATGGCGTAGGATGAGGTGAGTTGAGGTGGATATGGGAGTTTATATCTTATGTTGGAATTGTTTAAAATGTATCTGCATGAGGATCTTCAGAAAATACAACGATTAACACAAATAGGAAAATAAAATAAGTTCAGTATTGTCTATTAGGAAAATTAATGTTCCTCTCTTTCATCCTTTGACTTTCATGTTTATTGCTGCTTTCTACAACAGTGTTTACAAATTGTAAGAAATCTCCCTGTTTTAGTCTGTTCTTGCACTGCTACAAAGCAATACTTAAGACTGGGTAATTTGTAAACAAAAGAGGTTTAATTGGCTCACAGTCTTCAGGCCGTACAGGAAGTATGATGCTAGCATCTGCTCAGCTTCTGGGGAAGCCTCAGGAAACTTTCAGTCATGACAGGAGGCAAAGAGGGAGTCAGCACTTCACATGGCCAGAGCAGGGTGGGGTGGAAGTGCCACACTTTTAAACAACCAGATCTCACAATAACTTACTCACTACCATGAGAACAGCACCAAAGGGGGAAATCTTCCCCCATGATCCAATCACTTACCGCCAGATCCCACCTCCAACAGTGGGGATTACAATTCAACATTAGATTTGTGTGGGAGCACAGATCCAAACCATATCATTCCATCCCTGGCGCCTCTAAAATCTCATGTCCTTCTCACATTGCAAAATACAGTCATGCCTTCCCAACAGTCCCTCAAAGTCTTAACTCATTTCAGCCTTAACTCACTCTTATCTGAGACAAGCCTAGTCCCTTGTGCCTATGAGCCTGTAAAATTAAAAACAAATTAGTTGCTCCCAAGATACAATGGGGGTACAGGCATTGGCTAAATACTCCTATTCCAAAAGGAAGAAAGCAGCCAAAAGAAAGGGGCTACAGGCACTGTGCAAGTCCGAAACCCCGGCAGGACAGTCATTAAATCTTAAAGCTCCAATAATAACCTGCTTTGACTCCATTTCTTATATTCAGGGCACACTGGTGTGAGGAGTGGGCTCCCAAGGCCTTGGGCAGCTCTGCCCCTGTGGCTTTTCCAGAGTTCAGTCCCTGCGGTTGCTCTCATGGGCTGGCGTTGAGTGCCTATGGCTTTTCCAGGTGCAGGGTGCAAACTGCTGGGGGCTCTACCATTCTGGGGTTTGGAGGATGGTAGCCCTCTTCTCACAGCTCCACTAAGCAGTGACCCATTGGGGACTCTTTGTTGGGGCACCAACCCCACATTTCTCTTCTGCACTCCCCTAGTAAAGGTTCTCCAAGAGGGTTCCACCCCTGCCGCAGATGTCTGCCTGGATATCCAGGCTTTTCCATACATTCTCTGACATCTAGGCAAAGGCTCCGAAGCCTTAACTCTTGCATTCTGCATACCCATAGGCTTAACGCCATGTGGAAGCCACCAAGGCTTATGGCTTACACTCTCTGGAGTGACAGCTTGAGCTGTACCTTGGCCCTTTTAGCCACAGCTGTAGCTAGAGTGGCTGGGATGCAGGGAGCAGTATAGGGCAGTGAAACTTCCCGGGGACTGGCCTATGAAACCATTCTTCTCTCCTAAGCCTCCAGGCCTGTGATAGGAGGGGCTGCTGCAAAGGTCTCTGAAATGCCTTTGAGGCATTTTCCCCATTTTCTTGCTATCAGCACTTGCCTGCCTTTTAGTAAAGCAAATTTCTTCAGCCTGCTGCAAATTTTCACATGGCCAGGCTGCAAATTTTCCAAACTTTTAGATATAAGTTCCAGTTTTATGTCATTTATTTGCTCGCACATATAAGCATAGGTTGTTAGAAGCAGCCAGGTTACTTCTTTAATGCTTTGCTGCTTAGAAATTTCTTCTGCCAGATACCCTAAATCATCACTCTCAAGTTCAAAATTCCACAGATCCCTAGGGCAGGGGCACAGTGCCTCCAAGTTCTTTGCTTCCGCATAACAAACATAACCTTTGCTTTAGTTCCCAATAAGTTCCTCATTGCCATCTGATACCTCCACAGCCTGGACTTTATTGTCCGTATCACTATCAGCATTTTGGTCACAACAATTTAAGAAGCCTCTAGGAAGTCTCAAACTTTCCCTCATCTTCCTGTCATCTTCTGAGCCATCCACACTCTTCCAACCTCTGCCCATTACCCAGTTCCCAAAGTTGCTGCTACATTTTCAGGTATTTTTTATAGCAATTCCCCACTTCTTGGGACCCATTTTTCTGAATTCGTTTATTCTGGCACTGCCATAAAGGATACCTGAGACTGGGTAATTTATATAAAAAGAAGTTTAATTGGCTGATGGTTCTGCAGGCTACACAGGAAGCGTGGTGCTGGC